>NC_000008.11:32284345-32587375 GCF_000001405.40 Homo sapiens
AAATCTTCATTTGTCCTTGTTGTCTTCAATGTCGAGGCCAATCTCTTTCCCCTACCATAATATCTCTATTGAAATAGTCCTGAACAAAGTCTTCCTTGCCATTTTCACACGTGCCAGAATAATGCTTGCCTCCCTGCCTGCCTGCCTTCCTTCCTTCCTTCCTTCCTTCCTTCCTTCCTTCCTTCCTTCCTTCCTTCTTTCTTTCCACAGAATCTCGCTCTGTCACCCAGGCTAGAGTGCAGCGGTATAATCAAGGCTCACAGCAGCCTCGGCCTTCCAGGCTCAAGTGATCCTCCCAGCTCAGCCTCCCGAGTAGCTGGGACCACAGGCACATATCAGCACGCTTGGCTAATTCTTTTTTGCCTTTTGTTTGTTTGTTTGTTTGTAGAGACAAAGTTTCACTATATTGCCCAGGCTGGTCTCAAACTGCTGGGCTCAAGCAATCCTCTTGCTTCAAGGTCCCAAAGTACTGGGATTACAGGCATGAGCCACTGCACCCAGCCTCACAATTTTTTCTTTAACAATGCCCAGAGCATATGCTGAGCTTCCCGTCACTCTCTGGGGCGGAATGGAATATTACACAACTGGCACGGTAAAGAATGCACTTGGTTTTGGTGGTGGATAACATTTTCCTTTGCACCTGAAGCACTTCCACAAATAGCCCATTTGTCCTCCTTGCAATTAAATTAGAAAAACTGTCTCTAAGCTTGGTTTGACCTATCTGTAGCTCTTTGAAAAGACTGCTTGATCTTTCCTCACTCTCCGTGTACCTAAATCTTGTTCAGGCTCTGTCCAGAAATCAATAGGAAACATAAAACCTTGAAGCATTATAAAATCAGGCATTCTAAACTGGAAAGGGCCTTTGATTATTTAGCCCAAATGCATCACCTGTTTTACAGACGAGCAACCTGAAGTTCGGAGAGGTGGAACTTCCTCCAGGTCATCTGCTGCACTGGTGATAGAGGCAGGACTAAACACTCTCGGTGCAGTGTTCCTTCTCTGAGTCATGTTGACTACTATATGCTCATTCACAGTCACAAACTAAAAATCTCAGACAAGTCAAAAGCATACAATTACAGGACCAGAAGACTCCTCAGTGATTATCTGGGAGTCCAGGCATCCAAGGGACTTGACCAAGTTTTTGCAGCTATTGCTGGTAGACCAAGTACGGAAATACACTTCTCTTGACTCTCAGTCTAGTGCTCCTTTCCCTGCAGTACTCTGTGCAATACCAAAAGATATGGATCTCCAGGATTGGCTGAGGTTAGCAATTAATATGGTATTTTTAGTCATGTCTACTTGGAGTAGGGGGTGCTGATTTTTGTTTCATGTGTGTTCTTGAGACTTTTTGATGAGGTTCCGTATGCCTCACTCTAGGTGATGTTTTTATTAGTACCATGTTGTCTTCCTATAAAGAGTTTTTATGGCGAACAGAAAGCTGTCTGGATTCTTGCTATGGTTGTAGGCAGGAGGGAACATGGTGTGTGGCTTCTGAACAAACTCTGGCTGCTCTTTAAGTTCAATGAAGTGAAAAAAAGGCAAGTTAATTGACTACAGACATATGCAAGAGAGCTCTCAATTGAGCCATAAGATCTTTTGGGATGTGGGTGTTTACAAGGTAGCTATAAGCACTCTCATAAGTACTGCACCTGTGAATCATGGACTTTCATTGTACATAGCTTTCCACTGCTTGCTTCTTGAGGCTACTGTTCAGCCCATCAGTAATTTTTAAAGATCCTTTAGAAAGTTATATAGAGGAATGCAAATGTGAGTAAACAAGGCGCCTCTACCTACTGATGGCATCTTCAATATTTACATTGGCCCGTTGAGTTTTATCAGCTGGATATTGCTATAAAACACATCACCTGAAAATTAAGTGGTTTGAAATAATGAGTATTTGTAGTTGTTCACAAACCTGTGGGTCAGCTGGGCGGTGCTGCAGATCTGAACCAGGTGTGGCTGATCTTGAATGGGCTCTTTCCTGCTGCGGAAGGCAGCCAGCAAGGTAGGTGGGGGCTGATGGTCAGGGATGGCCTCACTCCTATGTTTTCCCATTGGCTGACTATCAGCCAGGGCTGCAGTGATGACTGGTGAAATAGTTTGGATATTTGTCCACTCTAAATCTCATGATGAAACTTGATCCCTACAGTTATAGGTGGGGCTTAATAGGAGGTGTGTGGGTCATGGGGGCAGATCTATGATAGATGGCTTGGTGCCATTCTGGCAGGATCCAGTGAGTTCTCACTCTTAGTTCTTGAGAGATCTGGCTGTAAAAAAGAACCTGGCACCTTCCTCTCCTCTCTTTCTTCCTTTCTGTCTGGCCATATGATGCCTGCTACCCTTTACCTTCCACCATGAGTAGAAGTTTCCTGGCCGGGCACGGTGGCTCACGCCTGTAATCCTAACACTTAGAGGCCGAGGCAGGTGGATCACCTGAGGTCACGAGTTCAAGACCAGCTTGGCCAACCTGGTGAAACCCTGTCTGTACTAAAAATACAAAAATTAGTTGGGCATGGTGGCGGGCACCTGTAATCCCAGCTACTCAGGAGGCTGAGGCAGGAGAATTACTTGAACCCGGGAGGCAGAGGTTGCAGTGAGCCGAGATTGTGCCATTGCACTCCAGCCTGAGCAACAGAGCGAGACTCCATCTGAAAACAAAACAAAACAAAACAAAAAAAACCTCCATGCTTCTTGTATAGCCTGTAGAACTATGAGCCAAATAAACTTATTTTCTTTATAAATTGCCCTGCCACAGGTATTTCTTCATAACAACGCAAATGAACTAAGACAACAAGTCTCTGTGTTCTCCTTCATCTATCATACTACCCGAGGTTTGTTTACGTGGTAAAGACAAGGTTCGGAGAGAAATGGTTGAAACCAGCATAGCTTCTTGAGACACAATGACACTTATGCCACATGCTATTGGCCAGAGCAAGTCACAGAACATCTGGATTCAAGAGGAGGGAAATGGATTCCACACCTTGATGGAGGAGATGCAAAGTCATATCACTTGGGACATGGATACAGGGAGGGGTGCAATTTGGGATGTTTTTGCAATTAACCTACCACAGGCTTAAGGAGGCTTTTAGGATTTACCTTCTGCTCTAATGAGTTTCAACCACCATGGCTTAGAGAACATTTCTTAAAACTCAGTCATCTTTCATGTATCCATTGTTCTCCAAAGGGACTAAGTTTTGTTCCATGGTCAGTCTTTTCCATGTGTTCTTGGACCTTATACAAAACCCAAGCCTGGAATTACAGCACCTGGATTTATTCATCAAGCATTCGCCAGTTCCTGGTTCTATGCATGTGTTCACAAAACTCAGAACAGGGCATTCCTCTGAATAGAGAAGAAAAATAGAGTCAGTCAGAAAAGAAATTTTTTGTCTAAGAATACAATCCACCGTACTACCACCAGACTTGGTTCCCTTTCAATGTCGAGAGTAACACATTCCTTTTATGTGTTGCTTAATTTGCTTGTTTTAAGCAGTTCCTTGTTTTTGGAGTGTCTTTTTTGATAACATTGAGATACCACATCCACTGATCATGTCTAAAAGCTGACAATTTCTGAAGGAAATAAACTGTTCAAAATTAACTACTCTCTCACTATATATATAGCATTGTATTTTCAGTACACATTTTTGGTACACATATTCGTGGTACATATTTTCCAGCTGGCTTGTGCTAATGTACTAGTGATTAGAACCAAGACTAAGAAAAAAGTGCATTGCCATTTTCAATCAACGTGGGTAGAGCTGAATGGTTGATTCCAAATCAAGTTATTTTGCCTAAAGCAAGACAGATAGGAGAGAGAGAGAGAGAGAGATAATACAGAGATAGATAATCACAAACTGCCATTTAGAGAAAATCATTACTACTATCAATTATAAGAGTGATTAGCAAGTTTATGGATAGCATGATGGCTAGCAATCTTTATACAAATGTGGCTGATTTTCACTAAGTCTTTTAATTCTCAGAATTGTTTCATGACTTTTTTGGAGAAAATTGTTGAGGCATGAAAAGAATTTCATGACTGAGATAGATATTGTACCTTAGGAAATATAAAATTTAACAAATCTGTAGAAAAGGAAGACTTAGGCTTTGACTTTAAAAGCCCATTCCACTTACAAGATTTCATTTTTTGTTTATTCAATTTGGAAAGCACATTTTCTTATATAATCAATAAGAAGATTTTTATGGCATGCTCGAGTGTAGTCTGATTCCAGGTCTCATAATTCCTTTGCACTCAAAAAAGGAACTTTGTTACATCTTGCCACTCATGCTCACTCTTCAGTGGGCAAAGTGACTTTGCCATACTGTCACCATCCTTGAGCCACTGCCCGGTCCTTGAAAACTAGGATTCTTCATTTCCTTTTGCATCGTCAGCGTGAGGAAGGGGAGGGGGAGGTAAGATTCTGGACAGCTGGACTGAAAACAATGGAAAATCCCTAGTAACAGCTTGAATCACTCACTAGCAGGAGGAAAATGTGACTCGTTTCTTTTCCTCTTTAGCTTTTGTTGATTTTTTTCATAATGAGCTCAGAAAGAGGGAAAGATCAATATTCATGTTGAGTTGGTATCCATCATAGTGATATTCAGTGATTATAACTCTCCAATTCTCACTAGGACAAATATAACCACGCAAACTGGCTAACTGCACTTGCTGGCATGGTTCCTTTGGAAACTCCTGGATTTCTCTGAATTACAAACAGAAGGAGAGTTATAGATTTTGTCTCTTTAATTTTCTGTCTCTTGAAATCTCAGATCACAAAAATTGAGTCTTTCTTAACTGGTGATTTCTTATTCGTCAATGACTCCTTAAAAGATATGCAGAAAGTAATGGCCCTCTAACCCTTCACCTTTGTAAGCTCTTTAATCCTGAGGGGATGGACTTCCTGATTTCTGTTCTCTCAGATTCTAAGGAGGAAAAGACTAGCTGTTGTCTCTCAAGTCTACCTATTGCTGTCCTACAGAGCAAGGACCCCTCTTGTTCTCCAGCTCCTCAGGAATAGGATTCTTGGTTCCCTAACTCTAAAATAGGAGCTCACAAGGTTATTGTCAAGGACAAATGAGGGCAGTGTTAACGTATTAAAAAAAAAAAACTAGTCAGAGATTGCTTGATTTTCAAACTTGATAGTATGCTTTCGAAGTTACATAATCAAAATTATAGTTGTATTTAAAATGTTAAGTTCAGCTTACAAACCTTCTTAACCTATTTGTAAGTCAAGCAAATTTTAAAAATCCTTCTTAAGGGAAGCTTGATTAATGATTTCTTCTCATTTTCAAATGTAGTTAAACATTTTTAAACACTTAAAGCTTGATTTGTAAATTTAATACATTTAATTTTAAGTACTTTAGCTTGTCTAACTTAACAAATGAGATACTCATGAATATTTGAATAGCTCATCAATTAGATACTTATAAATATGAAATATAGTTTTTAAGTTCTTTTAAAGTTCTCAATGTACTTGTAAACTTGTAAGGATTTCAGGTCAAAACGATAAGTTTAAATCATTTACTCGATTTAACATTTTAAATTGGAAGCACAATTCTAATTCACTATTATTTTAATAGGCCAAAATATCTTAAAATTACAAGTATATAAAATATCAGGGCCAGGCACAGTGGCTCATGCCTGTAATCTCAGTGCTTTTGGAGGTGAAGCCAGGAGAATCACTCAAAGCCAGGAGTTTGAGCCCAGCCTGAGCAACACAGGAGGACCCTGTCTCTACAAAAAATACAGAAATTAGCCAGAGGTGGTGGCATGCACCTGTAGTCCTAGCTATTTGGGAGGCTAAGGCAGAAGGATACCTTGAGCCCAGGAGTTTGGGGCTGCAGTGAGCTGTGATCACACCACTGCTCTCCAGCTTGGGTGATACATCAAAACTCTGTGTCTATAAAGATAATAAAATAAAAATATGACTAATGCAAAATTATTTGATACTATGGGTTTCATTTCATACAGTCATATGAAATGAAATAATTATGTATACAATTATATATATATACATATATATAGAGAGAGGGTGTAAATATATAATTTATTCTTAATGCTCAATCTTATCAGAGCTGAAAGATGGTTACCCATGAAGGAATCAATGACACCATTTCACATATGATTGCAGTTACCATTCCCTTGTAGTTGCTGGGCTAGCTCTCTCAGCTTTCCGAGATTTTTTTGAGGCTCAGAGGACCTCCTCTCCTGAATGAGAACTGGGTTCTAACGAATGACCCTAACTGTGCCCTGTTACAGTGGCTCTGTCTTATGCCCACGTGAAGTGATGTCACAGACCATATTCACGATATCGAAGCTACACATTACTAAACCTTCTGCCGACCCACAGAAGCCCAAAACTCCCATCCTCATAGTCATATCAATGGATTAGATTTTATTATATTTGCTGCAAACTCTTTTTATAATGTTCTTCCTACTCACCTTATTCTTATGTCTATTCTATTGAGATCTAATTAAATTATGAATGTCTCTTAAGACTCTATCTGGCTTTATAGTGACAACATCAAAGGATATTTGTATTAGTTAGGGTTCTGCAGAGACACAGGATGTGTGTGTGTGTGTGTGTGCATGCATTTGTGTGTGTGTACACAAGTCCCAAGATGTACAGGTTATGTTGGCAAGCCAGGAGAACCAATGGTGTAGTTCCCGTATGAAAGCCAGCAGGCTCCATACCCAGGAAGAGCTGACATTTCAGTTCCAGTCCAAAGTCAGGAAAAAGCCAATGTCCCAGTTTGAATACAATCAGGAAGGAGAAGTTCTTTCTTATTCAGGGGAAGGTCGCCATTTTGTTCTCTTCGTGTCTTCAACTGACTAGATGAGATCCAGTTACATGAGGTAGGGCAATCTGTTTTAGTCAATTTATATTTAAATGTTAATCTAATCTAAAGCCACCCTCACAGAAACACCAGAATAATGCTTGACCAAATGTTGGGTCTCCTCATAACATACAAAGTTAGCCATCACGATATTTTCCTGGCATACACTGTGAAACCACTGACCTGGAACCCTCTGACTTCTGTCAGCTATTTAATAGATAAGTCTTTCTAATCTTGAGTGTTTGTAAAGCAGTTGGATATAAATTTGAAAATTTTTAAATGAAACGATAAATCATGTGTGACCTCTTGAGCCTATTAATCCTAAAGTAAAAAGTCCTTGTACAAATTTTTATCCACTTTTTTTTTTTTTTTTTTTTTTTGAGACAGAGTCTCGCTGTGTTGCCCATGCTGGAGTGCAGTGGCAAGATCTCGGCTCACTGCAACCTCCACCTCCTGGGTTCAAGTGATTCCCCTGCCTCAGCCTTCCTCTCAAGTAGCTAGGACTACAGGTGCACACCACCACTCCCGGCTAATTTGTTCGTATTTTTAGTAGAAATGGGGTTTCACCATGTTGGCCAGGCTGGTCTTGAGCTCCTGACCTCAAGTGATCTGCTGGCCTCTGCCTCCCATAGTGCTGAGATTATTGCTATCCACTCTTGATACTGTTTGGCATGTGACTTAAAACAAGCAACAGTTGAAAATATAAACTAGAAAATGAGCATATATGTTCATTGTTGCTAAAGGCTTGGTACCAGCACCAGCTACAGGAGTTTATAGCATACCTTCTCAGAGAAAGGCCTCTTCATTCTGGGTTTAGAGGTGTTGGTATCCTCTGTTGCAAGATGTTATTCAATCAATTCAATCCTGAGTTTTCAACATCAGCAACATTACATGTGCATTTACAGGAAGAAGACCAGAGTAGGAACACTTTCATTTTTTCCCCCAACCATCTACAAAAATGAAGATTACCTGAAATGTTTACTTTATACTATGATCTTAAAACTATTTATTTTAATAATATCTATATAACCCAGATCAAGAAAACCAGTGAAAATTAGCCTATTCAATCCTTTCAAAAGGCTTTTTTATTCCAAAAGATTGAATAAAATTAGTTACTCCCTTTATCCTGAATTTCACTACAAATATTACATTTGCAAATGTCCCATCTGACTGTAATAAATGCCAGTGACTTTAACTCTGTGGTTGGTGATATGAAGAAAACCATATGTGATAGATTCTAAATATATAACCACAAAAGCCAAACTGACGGTTTGGAACATCTCAGCAACTATTATTGATTACTACAGTTGAAGAGGTTGAATCAGTTTGCATGGCAATTCTCCTCCTCTTCTTCCTCCCATACCCACTCCTCCTCTTTCTTATTTTTCTCTCTTGCTCTCTCTCTCTGTTCTCCATTCGTTGTTTCTTTCTAATTCGCAGTAGCAGTAGCAGCAACCAGAAAAATATTTGAGAACTTTAAACTAAATGGTTAACTAATAAGGCAATAAATAGAAGGTGTGACACTGAACGAGGAGTAAAAGCCAATGCATTCCACTACATTGAGAGACATTTATGAAGTATATTGAGTTACACAGACACTAACATTCAGAAACAATAAAATAGAGACAGTGTAAAAGGCTAAAAATGGGCTGGGCTCGGTGGCTCACGCCTGTAATCCCAGCACCTTGGGAGGCCAAGGCAGGCTGATCACGAGGTCAGGAATTTGAGACCAGCCTGACCAATATGGTGAAACCCCGTCTCTACTAAAAATACAAAAATTAGCCAGGTGTGGTGGCACACGCCTTTAATCCCAGCTACTCAGGAGGCTGAGGCAGGAGAATCGCTTGAACCTGGGAGGCAGAGTTTGCAGTGAGCCAAGATCATGCCACTGCACTCCAGCCTGGGCAACAGAGTGAGACTACGTCTAAAATATAAAATAAAATAAAATAAAATAAAGACTAAAAATGGCCCCCAAAAGATATCAGGTTAAATCCCTGGAACCTGTGATTGTTCCGTTATATGATAAAATATATGATTTAGTTAAGGATCCCCAGAGGAGGAGCTTAATCTAAATTATGAATGTAGTAAATGCAATCACATGGGTTCTTCTAAGAGAGACAGGGGGTGTTTTGAGATAGACACACAGGGAAGGCAATGCAAAAATGGAGCAGAAGGGGTTATAGCTAAAAGGAATGCCAAGGGCCACCAGAGCTGTGAGAGGCAAGGAACAGATTTTTCCCTGGAGCCTCCGGAGGAAGCAGGCCATGCTGACACATTGATTTTGTCCTTCTGGCCCCCAGATCTAAGAATATATTTCTGTTGTGTTAAGCCAGCAGGTTTGTAGCCATTTAGCAGCCACAGAATACTAATATGGACAATGATTTCTGAGAAAATAAAAAGATTATTTTGAGAAAATAACAACATTCCTTGTTTGATTTTTAGGAAAAGCCATTTTATTTTAATTTTTTTCTATTTTTTTATTTTTATTTTTTACATTGAGGTTCTCTTTATTTTTTACTATTTCTTTTTTCTTTTCTTCTTCTTTTTTTTTTTTTTTTTTTGAGATGGAGTTTCACTCTGTCGCCCAGGCTGGAGAGCAATGGTGCTATCTCAGCTCACTGCAACATCTGCTTCCCGGGTTCAAGCAATTTCCCACCTCAGCCTCCCAAGCAGCTGGGATTACAGGCAACTGCTATCATGCCCAGCTAATTTTTGTATTTTTGTAGAAATGGAGTTTCACCATGTTGGCCAGGCTGGTCTTGAACTCCTTACCTCAGGTTATCAGCCCACCTGGGCCTCCCAAACTGCTTGGATTACAGGCATGAGCTACAGTGCACAGCCTATTTCTGACTATTTCTTGACGGCCATCCATGCTGGGGGAACACCCTCATGTGCCTGTCAAGCCCAAATCCCACTCTAAAAATTCAGATTCCCTTTTCTGACTCCGTAGGATGCCTGTCCACGGAGGTCTCATAAATCCCCAAGCCCACATTTTCCCCAAGTCCTCCCCCTGCTGGTTACCTTTCCTTTCCCACTCACATGGAGCAGGTGTCCGAAACAATGGGTTTTGGGCAGAAAACGCATTTTAGTCAACTGTTGTATAAATATTCTAAACTAGTAATTAAGATTTTAAGCATGTGCTCTGGCTGGTCATGGTGGTCAGATTGCAAACAGTTGGCAATCTTATTTCAGCAGTAGACTAGAATCTGGTCATAATTTATCCAAGGGAAAAAAGACTTGTCATTAAATTCTCTCCAACGGTCCTAAAATTTTAATTTATCCACGCCTACCTTGTCCATTACTGTTTTAAAACAGCTTTTTAAACGTCTAGATTCCAGCCCTGTGTAGAATCAAATATATTAGAACTTAGTCTTGTTACTTGGTCTGAATTGGAAACATTTCCAGTGCCTACCAGTTGCACACATCATTATCCACTCATAATTAGTTGTTTAATCTGAAAAGAGCAAGTTCTGCTCCATCACCTAACATCTGTTCACTTTTACTCTTAGCTCTGTTCAACCAAATCCCATTATTGTCAGGAGAGGCTCTGGCAGACTTGTATCATTTACGAATGGTTTCTATTTCTTTGTAGATTTCTAATTCTTTGTTCTCGTAGCTGCTACATTCTCTGATAATAAATAACATTATGCAGTTATTTTTCGGAACTTGTGCTTGTTTTCAAAATAACAAGACTAAGAACTAAAGATTTATTTGTCTGAAGTCACACAGTGCCTCAAAACATATCTCAAACACTAAAAATATTAACATCCACAAACTAACACCTACTTATAAAAACTCTAGCAATTCTGAGAGAAATGGATTATTTACAATCCTCTCTCTGCTGATGTTACTGTTAAATGTCATATTAACTCCCAGTTATACTGAAACCATTTTAAATGTTATAGTACTTTGACCTTGGTTGTGAAAATAAAGTGTCTAGTGTAATTATTTAGGGATAGTATAGTTCCTAATTAAGACAAAATTTTCAGCAAAGATGATTAAAATTTGATAAGCTTTTAAATTTTTGTGTAATTTCTCCAAATAATGAAATGATTTCTTTTTCTAAAAAAATCTATAAATTTCCAGACTGAAATATGCATGTCAGAATAAAGGAAAATTTTATTATGGATCTGAAGTTTGCTCCATTTTATAACACATCTAGAAAATTTGGGGTACTGGCAGAGTGAACCCACAGAAGAGATTCTGATGAAACTGAAAGTGGATTGGTAGGAAAATTGCTTTACAATAATCTCTACTACTTGCTTTTCATGTAGGGGTTTGGGAATTAGTCTCTTATTTCTACAACTTTCTATTTAACTGAAAAGACCTAACATCTTATAATAGGATTACACTTTCTGGTAGAATTTTCATGATACAATTCATTTAAACTATGTTCTTTGCATGTTCTGATGAAGACATTTCCTATGATGGCATTTTGGTCTTTCTATCTCCAGGGAAGTCAAGTGATTGGAAAGAATTTTAAAGAGACTTGGGCTGAGTGCAGTGGCTCACGCCTGTAATCCCAGCACTTTGGGAGGCCCAGGCAGGTGGATCACGGGTCAGGAGTTAGAGACCAGCCTGGCCAACATGGTAGAACCTCGTCTTTACTAAAGATACAAAAAATTAGCCAGGCAGGGTGGCAGGAGAATACTCAGGAGGCCGAGGCAGGGGAATTGCTTGAACCCGGGAGGCGGAGGTTGCAGTGAGCCAAGATCGCGCCATTGCACTCCAGCCTGGGTGACAGGGCAAGACTAGGTCTCAAGGAAAAAAAAAAAAAAAAGAGAGAGAGAGAGACTTGATGGTTTTCTCTTGAAAAAATAATCTCTTAGCCATTTTCCACTGCCACGAGTACATGTACATTGAAATTAGTGATACTGAATTTATCATTGGCAAGATATCTAAATAAGATTTACTGTAGATTACCAGCGCATTAAGGAGCTCCTGGACAAAACATGTGCACATTTTCTGGCTGAGAAGTGCAGTCATTGAAGATTTGTAGACCAGAACATAACATATTGAACCCCATATCTATCTATATGCCAGTGTGTGTACTTACATATTAATTTCTCCTATGAAAGAGGAATTAATAGGAAAAGAAAAGCAAGGAAGTAATGTTCAAAACTTCCTTAATGGCCAGGTGCGGTGGCTCACGCCTGTAACCCCAGCCCTTTGGGGGGCTGAGAGGGGTGGATCACCTGAGGTCAGGAGTTCAAGACCAGCTGAGGTCAGGAGTTCCAGACCATCCTGGCCAAACTAGTGAAACCTCGTCTCTACTGAAAATACAAAAATTAGCTAGGCATGGTGTCAGGTGCCTGTAATCCCAACTACTTGGGAGGCTGGCACAGGAGAATCGCTTAAACCTGGAAAGTGGAGGTTGCAATGAGCCAAGATCCTGTGCCATGGCACTCCAGCCTGGGCGACAAGAGTGAAACTTTGTCCCAAAAAAAAAAAAAAAAAGCTTCCTTAAAAACAAAAAAAGCTTATGTTGCCATTATTTGGGCTATTGATTTTTTTCTAGTGCAAAACATATACATATTTGATATATAACCTTGGAAAATACACAAAAGACAATAACAAAACACTCAAAGTCCTGCTATCTAAAAATAAACACTTTGCTTCTAGAGTTACTTTTATTCATATTTTTAAAACATATTTATAGGCCGGGTGTGGTGGTTCATGCCTGTAATCCCAACACTTTGGGAGGCCAAGGCGGGTGGATCACAAGGTCAAGAGATCGAAACCATCCTGGCCAACATGATGAAACCCCCACTCTACTAAAAATACAAAAATTAGCTGGGCGTGGTGGCCCGCACCTGTAGTCCCAACTACTCCGGAAGCTGAGGCAGGAGAATCGCTTGAAACCAGGAGGCGGAGGTTGCAGTGAGCCAAGATCGCGCCACTGCACTCCAGCCTGGTGACAGAATGAGACGCTGTCTCAAAGAAAAAAAAATTATATTTATAATTATAGTGAGTATTCCATTTCTGTGTCCTGCCTTTTTGTATTTATCTAAAATTTAATTTAAAAATTTCTAGATTTCTCTGTAAAATCCTGGGAAAATCAAGGCAAGTTCATAGTGATCTATGAGTAATCTATTGAAATAGCTTGGCATTACATAAAAGCAATCCCTTCAGGTCTGAATAAAACCATAAATAGAATTTTCCTTTTGGCATTTACTTCATTTTAGACTCATTTAAATAGTAGGTTTATCAATGCAGTTTATTCTGAGCAGAGGGATGATGTAATGTATAATCAGTTACTCAAGTCAAAATGCCAGGAAAGTATATGAATAGGTAGCAACAAGGTATTGGGTTGAAAAGAAAATGCTTGGCTGGCTCTTAGATGGCTTGCCCTTTAGTTGCTACTTTCCTTGGACCCTTTCCAGGGTCTCCAAGCATGAAGGACCCATCTCTCAGGAAGAAGTCCTTGCCCAGGGCTGTTTATCTTAGTTGAGTACAGCCAAGTACAAACCAGAGCGAAGTTGGGTCTTGATCTCCTATTGGGTGCCACTGTCTCTGCTTTCTTTTATGGCTAACAAGCCTATACTACCACAAGCCACATTTCATTTGATAGCATGGGTAGTGGAAGAGAGCATCCAAAGCCAGTCAATCCTAAATCATGTCTGCAAAAATATCTGTAAGGATAAGGCCTGGTGGACCTCAAGAACTGTCTCCCTCTAGTAATAATCATATAACATTATTATTTTGCAGTGAAAAATTATCCAGTACACAAGCAGTCTATGCAATGTAATGAGAAGAATGCTTTGCAACTGTACTACTAGAAGCGAACTAATTCATGATTTATTTTTAAGTGATTAGAACCCTTAGTTTATCTGTGAGAACATCACTTAAATAAAATGTTTTAAAATATGCAATGCATATGCAATAGCATTAAAGTATTAAATAGCATCTTAAAGAGCAAAAGAAACTATTAAGAATAATTAAGTGGATTTATTGGCTAATTGGTGTTTCCACATGTAGTTATTTCTGCAATTATTATTCATTTGCTGATTTACATAGAGCTATTCTCTAAAATTACTCTGGCATTAAATGAAGTTAGAAGACATCTCCAGTTTGGAAAATCTATTAAGCAAATCCTTTTCAACTTAAAGTTGAGGTGATACTGAATCAAGGCCTGGCAGAACTGACTACAGACTCAGAGGGAGTATGTTTATTGCTTTTAATTCTTCCTATTTCTGTTTGAACTAACATGGCAAAGGCTTTCATCTTCCAAACTACACTTATCCAGTCTATAAAACAAAGATGATATTGTTTCAACTATAAAGCACAGATTAACTTTGGGAGGCTGAGGCAGGCAGATCACCAGAGGTCGGGAGTTCGAGACTAGCTTGACCAACATGGAGGAGCCCCGTCTTTACTAAAAATACAAAATAACCGTGTGTGGCGGTGAATGCCTGTAATCCTAGCTACTCGAAAGGCTGAGGCAGGAGAATCGCTTGAACCCAGGAGGCGGAGGTTGCAGTGAGCCGAGACTGCACCATTGCACTCCATCCTGGGCAACAAGAGCGAAACTCAGTCTCAAAAAAAAAAAAAAAAGAAAAGAAAAGAAAAAGATCGGGTGCGGGGGCTCACGCCTGTAATCCCAGCACTTTGGGAGGCCAAGGCGGGCGGATCATGAGGTCAAGAGATCAAGAACATCCTGACCAACATTGTGAAACCCCGTCTCTACTAAAAACACAAAAATTAGCTGGGGATGGTGGCATGTACCTGTAGTCCCAGCTACTCAGGAGGCTGAGGCAGGAGAATTGCTTGAACCAGGGAGTCAGAGGTTGCAGTGAGCCAAGATGGTGCCAATGCACTCCAGCCTGGGGACAAAGTTAGACTCTATCTCAAAAAAAAAAAAAAAAAAAAAAAGAAAGAAATAAAAAGCAAATACTACCAAATTCTTACCTACCAGAGTTACGACTGCTATAACCCTTAACATTTAAACAAGGGAAATCATCATTTGGGAATTGTATTTCCTCTTCATACAAACTAGTCTTCCATGGTAATAGATTGGCTGGATGTTTTTCCAGTATGTTTTCTAGATAAATAGTCCTTGGAGCCATTGTTTCCCTAAGAATTACCAAAAAAATAAAAACAGAAAGCAAAAACATGTTTGCTTTCTGCTGGAACATACATCTCAGGCAGTGCCGAGGACTAAAGATAAATTTGATACCTATGGAGGAATACATTCTAAAAATAAGATTTTATATCTGTTTGCATGTTAACAAAACTTATTTGTAAAGACACACATTCTAGAAAGTAACCTCAAAAGTACTCTTATAAAGCACCTCATTTTGAAAGTCAAGTAGAGCAATTCCTGGGCAGATGATAATGATACTGCAGAGACATGTGAAGAAGGAAAAAAAATAATAATTTCGCTCCCTGTGTTAGTCTGTTCTCATGCTGCTAATGAAGACATACCCAAGACTGGGCAATTTATAAAGCAAAAGAGATTTAATGGACTCACAGTTCCACATGGCTGGGGAGGCCTCACAATTATGGTAGAAAGCAAAGGAGGCGCAAAGGCACATCTTACATAGAGGCAGTCAAGAGGGCATGTGCAGAGGAACTGCCCTTTATCAAACCACCAGATCTCGTGATACTTATTCACTATCACGAGAACAGGATGGGAAAAACCCACTGCCATGATTGAATTCCCTTCCACTGGGTCCCTCCTGTGACACGTGTGGATTATGGGAGCTGGAATTAGAGATGAGATTTGGGTGGGGAAACAGCCAAACCATATCACTCCCTAAGACTATTACATTTCAGCAGTTAGATGAAGAGAGAAGGACAGGGTTCAGATTGAATCATTTTGGATGGAGGAGAACATATAAATAATTGAACAATAGGAGCACCACCTAGTTTAGAGACAACCTACCACAGGCAAATACCTCACATGACTTCATTGTTCTCCCCCACACCTTCTCTACCATCAGATTTCACCCAGAACCCTCATGTGCCACAGAACTTCAAGTAAATACCAGCCCTGGAATACTAGTCAGAAAGCTGAAAAAAACGTGCAATATGAGTTTGAACACTCTGAGATCGTTAACACTTTTTTCAATAAGGTTAGATAACTAAGATGATAAATAAAAATATTTTAAAACATTAATAAAGAGGAAATGATTCTCATAGAATTAGTATAGCCAAATTTTATCTTCTTAATTGTTGTATTTCATCAAGAGACATAGATAGGATTAATTTTGGTTTTCTACTATAACTGCTTCCATCAGGGAAAATAGATTAATTTCTAAAATACCACCAGAATCTTAGAGTTGTTTATCCAAGAATCTCTAAAGACACTTTACATTGCAGAGTAAGTCAATAACATGGGCAAATATAAAGCTAGGGAACATGTGAAAAATAAAATTATGAGTTACAAACATTAAACATTATTTCAGTAGAAACAGATTGGTGGCTGCAGTTGATTATTAAAGAATGCCATTAAGTTGTCAGGAATAACTGTTGTAGTTTTCTGAAAATAGTCATTTTGTTGTAGCTTTAGATTGGATTAGCTAGAGCTATACACACGAGAGATGCACATCAGGCCTTAGACACAAATTCCTTCAGGAAAATGATTCACTGGCTATTTAGGGGGTTGACAGCCAGTATATGTTGTTTTCGAGTCACAGAGAAAATTGTATGGTTGTATATTCTGCTTTAATTTACATCAATGGAAGATGAGCTACAAAGCAGCTATTGATACAAAAGGCAAACCCATTGTAGAAAATGAACATTTTCTGTAAGCTACATCTACATTCTTCCTGATCAGAAAATAATACAGAAAGTGACATACTTGTTCCTTTTTCACATTTGAAGAAAATGTTACAAATGCCTCCATGATGCAATTCTGTATTTAGACAATCTAAGCATTGAGTCTTGGGATACTTATTCTGTAACTATTTTCTAAGAATAACCTGAATAGAAAACATGGAATTTGGTAGTAAAAGATATAAATAATGAAAATAGGGGTAGGGTCCTGTGCCTCAGTGAAGTTTAAAATTTAATTGAACTTCTAAATAAATGTTTAAAAATAGAGCAGTTTCAAAAATACAAAAGCTAGAATATTCATAGACCCCTGAAGATACTTCTACAGTATCCCACAGTTCCACAATCTCTGATTCAGGAAATTACATTAAAAGTTATATGTTGGCATTTTGGAATTTCATTTGGTATACATACCTGCAGACAGAGGCAATAAAATCACATCAATGGTCGGTTACAAATGAAGTCATCCAGTTGACCCAGGGTATGCTTTGGCTAAATTTTGTTTTAGATTTGCCCTAAAATATAATTGCAATATTGAATATCTCTAATAGATCTCAAGGGCCCTCTATTAGTCCATTTTCGTGCTGCTGATAAAGACATACCCAAGACTGGACAATTTACAAAAGAAAGAGGTTTATTGGAGTTACAGTTCCACACGGCTGGGGAGGCCTCACAATCATGGTGAAAGTCAAGGAGGAGCAAATCACATCTTAGGTGGATGGCAGCAGGCAAAAAGAGAGCTTGTGCAGAGAAACCTCCATTTTGAAAACCATCAGATCTCGTGAGACTCATTCGCTATCATGAGAACAGTGCAGGAAAGACCGGCCTGCATAATTCCATCAGCTCCCACGGGTTCCTCCCACAACACGTAAGAACTGTGGAGTTACACTTCAACATGAGATTTGGGTGGGGACACAGCCAAACCATATCAGGCCCACTTTGCAAAATATCAAAACAGAGGGGAAAAGTATAAGTAACTGAAGAGAAGGGTGCGGTGTGCTGAATACAAAGATGCTGACTGGGGGGAGTGAATGTACCTGCATCCCAATTTGCCTGGGAGGTCTGGTTTTACCCATTGTCTGACATTCTGTCTAATTTAGCATTTGTCCTGAATATTTCATTTAGTGATGTATTATTGTTATTAGTTGCATTAAAACAAGCCAAGATGGATTAGGTAGACCTCCACGTTGTACTTCCAGTTTCGTCATGTTATGGTCTTGGGGGTGCAGGAATTCCCAGGTTTCCTTGAGGTGAAATCTGAAAGCTGAGAAATATAGCACAGCTCACAAGGAAGAAGTGGATAAAACAGTGTCCTCAGAGCAGCCAGGGAATCCTAACCCCTGACGATCTTCAGTGAGGCATTTGGTACTCCAACCTGTTGTGCCTTAGCCCTGAGCCCCAGTCTGTGAGGTGCATATGGTCCTAGCTAATAGGTCAGTGGGAAAAGGGAGAAATAATAAACGAGGCTGTGTGTAAACTTACGTGTAGGAAACAGGTTAAGCTGTTCTGCCCTGTTGCATGCAGAGAGTAGTCTGAATGCTATTGCCACAGTGGTTTTATTTTTATTGTGTGATGTAACCATATGCCAATTTTTTTCTTTGACTATTGACTCACTATTTTATAATGCATCCTTCTGGCAATAATGAAATAAAAATTAGTAAACAGAAGTAACTGTTTAATGAAAATGAAGTATTTGTATTTCTATTTATCAAGAAAGAAAAGACGAACCTGTGGCATGCAGAGAGTAGTCTGAATGCTATTGCCACAGTGGTTTTATTTTTATTGTGTGATGTAACCATATGCCAATTTTTTTCTTTGACTATTGACTCACTATTTTATAATGCATCCTTCTGGCAATAATGAAATAAAAATTAGTAAACAGAAGTAACTGTTTAATGAAAATGAAGTATTTGTATTTCTATTTATCAAGAAAGAAAAGACGAACCTGTGGCCGAGCACGGGGGCTCACGCCTGTAATCCTAGCACTTTCGGAGGCCGAGGAGGGCGGATCACCTGAGGTCAGGAGTTCGAGACCAGCCTGGCCAACGTGGTAAAGCCCTGTCTCTGCTAAAAATACAAAAATTAGCCGGGCGTGGTGGCTGATGCCTGTAATCCCAGCTACTCAGAAGGCTGAGGCAGGAGAATCACTTGAACCCGGGAGGCAGAACTTGCAGTGAGCCAGATTGCACCATTGCACTCCAGCTTGGGGCAGAAAGAAGAGAAACTCAGTCTCCAAAAAAAAAAAAAAAAAAAAAAAGAGAAAAGAAAGAAAAGAAAAGATGAACATGTAACTTACACAAAACACTTGTTGCCATTTACCATGGGGATATAATGAACTAACATTCAGAAGTCACACATATGCTGAAGAAGCATCAGGATCTACTTCAAAAGTTAAAAACATTAAAAAAAAACACAGAAAAAAAGAGTGCATCTTAAAATGACTTAACACACACAACTGCAGAAGGTGGAGCTACAGAACATGCTTGGAAGCACGACTTTTTATTTAGATCAGATGATTGTTCTTTGACATTAAGTTAGCTCATTGGCAATTTCATGATTTCTTGTGCATATCCCAAAATGAAATGACACCTGTTAAAGTGCCAGCACCGTTAGCAAAAGAACATTTAAAACAGAAAGTGGTGCCAGTTTTATTTCAATGTCATCAGATGTTCCAAACAGAAAATCACTCCAGTTAATTCTTGTAATGGTTTCGTTTTCTCATCCAATTCCGAGGAAGAAACTAAAGCTTTTTGAAATTAATTCTGTTGAATGTATTATTCATACTATTTTAAATTCAGTTAATATTTAGCCTACATTTCTAGCATTTGTCTAATATTAACACAGTTTTTGGTGGAGTACTGCATCATGAAGAAACCTAACACTCTGAAATTTAAAGATACGAAATTTACTTGGAAATAGTTTTTATGTACATATAATTCATACTTACATCCAAATAAATGTTGATAGTCTCTCAATTAAAATAAAAGCTGTAAGTTTCAAATTTTTGAAATAGGTACATATACAATTGGATCATCTGAACTGTGAAATTTTGTTAGGAAGGTAATGTTGACTACAAAAAAAACTCAGAATATCAGGATTCACTTTTTCTCTCTGCTGCCTTTCTTCGGTTGGATTTTAGAAACGTTCATGAGTGTTTAATCTTCTGTGCTTTTAAAATTCTTCTGAGTGTCTTAAAATAGTACTGAAGTTTTCATGACAGTCTTTTCATTTTTGGCTGAATATTGTTTTAAAATCATCTAGAAATCTTTCATCAAAGTACCAGTGAATGGAACAGCAAAAGCTAAAGATTTCAAAGCTTTTATCAAAATGCGATTTTCGCAAACAAATTATGAAAATAGGAAGGCATGGATATGTATCTGCAAAGGCAAGGGAGAAACTAAAGAATTGTAGAATAAAGCTCAAATATTATAAAATATGTAATTTGAAAACTCCAATTGTGTTTTGAAATATTCAGTTTGTGGGAATAATAGTTTGATGAAGTTTCAATTTTTAATTAAATAAATTTATATAGAGCAGATATAATGAAATTGAAGACTTAGTAAAACTTTCAAAAAAATCCTAAAGACAGTTTATTTGATGATTTTTGACTTTTAAATATTTGTTAATGAAAAGTATTCTTAGTAAAAAAAATATAAAATATTTGGGCTGAAATATTTAATATAAATAATTGAATTGAAAATATTTTCTGTTTAGCACAAGCTCTGAGCTTGTTAAGTACCTTGTGCCTGTGGGAGAAGCTAGTCTTTAAAAGTTTAAATATTGGCCAGGTGTGGTTGTCTCACACCTGTAATCCCAGGCGTGATTAATTTGGGAGGCTGAAGCAGGCAGATCACTTAAGGACAGGAGTTCAAGACCAGCCTGGCCAACAGGAGAAACCCCGTCTCTACTAAAAATACAAAAATTAGCTGGTCATGGTAGCCCACACCTGTAATCCTAGCTACTAGAGAGGCTGAGAATCTCTTGAACCCAGGAGGCGGAGGTTACAGTGAGCCAAGAACATGCCACTGCACTCCAGCCTGGGCGACAGAGAGAGACTCTGTCTCCAATAAATACATAAAAATAAAAATAAAAATTTAAATATTATTGATTAAAGATAAGAATGAATTAGTTTTGTCACTAATTTCATACATATTAACCATATCATGCCACTTTGAAGAAGATTGTAGGTAATTTATGAAAAATGTTCAAATAAGACTGTATTTTTTTAAATACTTTTCTTAGAAAAATACTAGTGATATACTATTAAAGACAGATAAAACTTTAAAAAATTGATTAAAGTACTTGCATTCTACTTATTTTAATGTTCAGATTGATTTTATGAAGAATTTTTGCGTTAGTGAATGAAGCTTTGTGTTATTTTATATTTTAGAAATAATTCTAGCATAGCATAGAATATTTTATAGGTATACGAATATAATAAAACCAGAATGTTGTTCACCAGACGAATTCTTCAAAAAAAAATACAATCTTCACTTTTAGTCTACTTTCTTACTCTCAAAAGTATCCTAATTAGTCTAGTGCTGAAGAGTTTCAAACTCATTTAAAGAGAAGTAGACAAATAAGTGACAGGAAGGATTGCCGTGTGTATCTTCCAGTCTGGGGTGATGTTTAAATTCCTCAGAGTCCACTTAGCTTTGTCTCTTCACCAGCCTTGGTTTGCCCCAGTGCTGTTCATCATTTTAACAAAAATAGATCTCACAGGATGTTCACCCAGTCACCTTTTTGTAGGGACAAGCTTTATAGTCCTAGCACTTGCTGATTCTTTAAATACTGTGCTTTGGTCCAGGGGATGTTACCTTAAGCCCATTTTTTGTAGTTAGTAAATAAGACTTCTTCCCAAAGTCACGTGCATGTTCAAGTTCTTGCATTGCCAGTGTGTAATGGATAAAGACAAATGTATAGTAAAAAAATCATGAGGCAGTCTTTGGTTCTCATCCCAGCCCTGTTGGCTGTGTGATATTTGGCAAATTATTTTACTTCTCTGAGCCTCTTTTCTTTCCATTGTAAAATACAGAGAATGATAGTTAAGAGTATTTTTGTGGAAATGAACCAACACAATGCAGCTCAAGTATCTTAGCAGAGTGCCTGTGTTCAATAAATATTAATAAAATGACCCTTAACTCCCCTCAGCAAGTTTAAAAACAGGAAGTTTCCATTTCACCATTTACTTTCCAATTCTTTGTTAAAGATGGCCATAATAAGTAATGAGAGTGTGCATTTGTAAATGTCTGTCACCAATGTGAATTTACTTGAGATGACTCAAACCACATTCTATACTGGAAAAGGTGCATTTAACGGGCAAAAGAAAAGCCCAGGCCAGTTTCTTTCTGTATCAACCCTGGGTAAATCTCCTTAAGAAAAAATTAACAATCATGATTTATTCATAGGGAAAGAATTTAACTACTTGTTAGCATTCGAATGGGTCCTAAGGAAACTCCCAAGTTAATTAAATCAGAACTTTCTTCTTGAGTTTGATCCATTATAGTGAGTTACCAGCTGGGTATCAACTGCTTTCCCAGAAAGGCCCCATTGAAATTAATGGACTCAGGGCTTTGTTGAGTCTGGACACTAGAGAATTGGACAAATGACACTGTGGTTTATTAAAGAATTATGACTGCAAATACATTATATGATGCTTTCTCCCTCTCTCTCCATTTAATTATGAATCTGCCTCTCAAAAGCCTTGACTCTGTATTTTAAAGTTGACATAAATGGTAGGACGAGGTTACTTTTTCCAGTAATGGAGAAAGGAGGAGAAAGGTTGCTCCGAATTTTGTGATCTTGTTCATTTTCCGATGAAGTTTTTTTGCTGGTCCAAATATTAATTAATCGATTGATTGAAAATGCTACAAAAGAGGAGCCATTCATCAAAGAACCAAATCCAGTGATTCGTGATCTGGGGTTTTATCACTTATATTTCTAGAGCATCCTTTTGCTTTTACAACTTAAATTTAATTGAAATTTTAATCCCTAGCAGGTTTTTAATAATGGGCAGCTTTTGAGACATTAAAAAACATTGCTCTCACTTCCCAGATAAGGAGGTTGTCCAGATATCCTTATGCTTTAGGGAGCATTTACTAAGTGATGGTACTTCCCAGCGCACATTTTTGGTTTTGTTAAAGTATCTTAAACCGCCCATGTGTAGTCAACTTCCCCTTATGGAATCCATTGATAAATCATGGCAAAAGGAAACCACTCTATGGAAATAACGTCTAAAGGAGACCCTCTTTATCCCGGAGAGGAAAACCAGAGAGCAGTCACAATCTGGCTAACATAAAAAGAACCACTCCTTGATGCAAATCAAAAGACTAGATGTAGCTAATTAGACATGGGAAAAGGGTGGTTCTCCTGAAAATCTGGGGCCTCAGGCATTTTCTGGAATGTGTACAGTCAGAACGTGCAAGTTAGTCAGCAAAGAGAAAACAAGCAGCCACACCTCTCCCAAATACCGAATAGTCATCCTTCTTTTGTGGTTCAGAGGTGTTTGTTTGTCTTAGAATGCTGCAACTTAAAACCAATTGATTTTAAATAAAAATGGTAACATTATAAAGTGTGAAAGTGTGGGGTTAGGAATCATTTCCCACCCTGTGAAAATGGCTCTATGGTCACCCAGGGGTTTGTGTGTGTGTGTGTGTGTGTGTGTGTGTGTGTGTGTGTTTGTGTGTTTAACCTGTGAGATAAGAATGGTCAACCAGTTGACTCCTCAAGAACAGTCTAGATTGCTACAGGCATGAAGTTGCTTTGAGAGCAGGTTGAATGCCCACACATGTAGGTTTGGTAGAGGTGGTGGTGAAAGCGGTGAGCATGGCTGCAGGGTACTCATGCCACTCACTCCTTTTTGTTACCTCTCACAACCTCTCTCTGTCTCCATCTGACATGCCTCCCTAGACTGTCTCTAATACCATTAGAAACTTCAGCGCAAATTGTGCAACCTCTCCGACACTGACCACAAACCCTTTCCAGCCTCAGAAATGTTCATAGATAGATGAGGGTTATCAGGGTTGCTCAGCCAGTGAACTCCGACCACGCTGGGTGAGGCTACATTTGTAATCTGTTCTGGAAAACGGGAACCATGCTCCATTTTCAACCTGCACTCACCCACTCCTATTTCTTTCTAGGGTGTCTCTGTTTTTTTGCTTTTAACCTTGGGTTTGACTTTTTCCAGTGGACATTTCTAACTAGGAAACTTGATGGTTTCCACTTAGATTCCCTTATTCTCCAACTTAATAAACATCAATACATTTAGAATCCTTCGCTTTCCAAGACTCTAACTGATTTGTGGCCACAGTGATCTTTAAAATTCATTAGACTTTCGTCATTCCATTTTCTTTATTAAGGCATCCATATGAGCTGCCATGTGTTTGCTCTCTTTCATATATCTGAATTTACTGATTGTTGTCTCCAAAACATGTTCTATCTTAGACACTATCTCATCCTCTTCTCTGCCAGATATTGATTATTCATACATTCTCTGATCCCAACCACCAGCTTTACTCATTGTTATGTCTTTGTAGCTTTTTCTTCCCTTAAATACAAGGACAACCTATTATTTCCACAATTCAGCACTTTTTACTGGGTCTTTTACCTCTCTAAACCCAACAAGAGCATCAAAGCATGATGTTGGGCTTGGTGCCTCTCTTCCACCATTCTTTCTCTTTTTAACTCCACATGTGTGCTGGACTCTTGCTTATGATCTTCCCTGTGTAGCTACCACCACAAAAATGTGTCCCCGGCCTTTACAAATGAAGTGTTCAGATGCAAGCCATTCTCTTATAGACATGGCAGTAAAGACCAATTAAAAAAGGGGGAAAATTGGTGCTACAATGTCACTTTGCGGGAGAATGATGTCTGTAAAGTGGGAGCCTATGTCTTGCAATATGCTGATGCCCTGGTTGAATAGACCAAACTATTCATTCCTTCCTCTATGGCCTGGGGAGATCTCTCTCCATCACACCTCAGTGAAGACAGCTTTGATGCATTTGACTGTGGTGCCTTGGGCCTCCCAGTTTTCAATTTTTATTTGTTTTTTTCTGGTGGCTGCCTTCTTGACTGCTGATGTGTAGCTTATGAAGGAGTGAAGGATGTGCCATCCCAAAATATGGCAGATTGGTATATTGAGTATTTCAAGTTGAAAACATTGGAGACAGTGTAGTTTCAGAAAAGGAAGTCTGACCTGTCTCTTCCTGCATGTAGCACACCATAAAGATTCCTCTGGGAGGGGTACCCTTGCCTTACCAGGGCGAGAAAATAGCCCTTAATTACCAGAGACTTGGAACTGGAGGCTACACTGGACCTGATATATACACTTAACAAAGTAACGCTTATGTGCCTGTGGTTTTACACCCCCCCACCCCAAATATCTCCTAGTGACTCCCCTAGAAAATGTACTGCCCTGGCCAGATTTTCTTTTTGCTGTCATTTCTTCTCAAATGTATTATCATTCATTGTCTAAAAAATATAAAAGCCCCTTCTTCAGACTTCACTGTCTTGTGAAGATCTTCATGTACACGTGAAATTAATCAAATGTGTATACTTTTCTCTTGTTAATCTGCCTGGTGTCGATTTGGTTTCTAGGTCCTGCTGAGGAGCCCACTAAGAGCTAAAAGGAGGATTGGGGGTGATCACTGGCTCTCCTACAGTTATGCCCTATTGTTTTTTTTCTTTAAATACCTTTTCCAACAACTCGAAGCTCAGCAGTATGGTGGACTTCCTCCCTTGTGCATAGATATTGTTGCATCATTTCTGTCTTCCAGAGAACTACACTTGCTAAGTTCAGAATACTTTATCAGCTTACTTTGTGTCCTTGTTCCCATGGTGGTGACACCGATCTTGAAGCTTAAAAAATCCCCCAAATTCCGCCTCCCACCTCTGTGACACTCTTTTGCAAAAATATGCAATTTTTCTACACACATTTCTGACAAAAAGGAAAAAAATGTTAAGTCCACCCTAGTTCTGTCCAGACAAGCACAGAGAGAGGCGTGTTAGATTTCCAGACAAATATTTTCGCCTAGATTTTGCTCAATGAACTTGATTCACTGCAGGGCTTTTTTTCCCACAAGCGCGTGGCAGAGGTGGGCTGCCACAGGAGTGGCCAGTGCCCGCTCTCTGCAGGGCACTGCTATGAATCACCATTTTCATGAATGGAAAGAATAGGAGGAGGGGAAAAAGGACAAGCAGCTTGTTGCTAATGCCCTCAAACAAGGCAAACATTTTGTGAATAATTTTTAGATAATATATGACGGTTTGGATCTTTGGTTTTGTTGTTTTGAATGGAATGCATAGAAAAAAGAACTTGTTTCAACAAAAGTTTGATCTGATATCCTATTCATGGGCTGATTCTTTCTCAAATATTTGGCAGCTCATCCAGGGCACAGAAAAGGCACAGTGTTGAATCATGTTGCTTTCAAGCTCTGTATCAGTGGAAGGCACTGGAAGGGATTATCGATCCCACAAAATACACAAGGAAAGTATGTGCCCACTTCATTTCTGAGGAAATTTAGGGTTCAGATGGACCTTGCCATAGACTCAGTGTCTTTAGTAGAGGCCAAATAAATAAATAAGCCAACATAGATGCCAGGCAACTTACCATACAGCATGCTGAATTTCTTCCCTCATGTCTGGTGACTGGTTTTATAGAACCCATTCAGTGAGAATGCAGGAGAAGTCTAAGAATTAGAAGGAACAAAGAAAAGAGAATGAGCACGGGAATAAAAGTAAATAATAATCATGTCTATTCTTGATTCTGGGGACTGGCTAACTTCTGTCACTTTAAACCACTTCACCTCATTTGAAAGTCCAGGCTTCTCAGCTTGATGTCCAAGGTTCTCCATGACACATATCTTCTTGAGCACTTCACTTCATGCCCCGACCAAGCTTGGACTTCTTCCCCCTCACATGCTTGCTGTTTCATGTTTCATGTTTTAGCTCATGCTGTTCCCTCTACCTGGAACATCTTGGTTCACTCAACTAATTCTACCCATCAGAATTTAGCACAGGTGTCCTCCTCTCTTCATGGTCTTCCTAAATACCTCTTGGGTTCATTATTCCTCTTCCATGTTCATAGATCACCCTGGGTATTACTCTGTGCTAGCACTTTCCTTCTTTCTGCTATGTAGTACCAGTCAGGCACTCAGGGGAAACGACTATGCCATTCACTCATTCAGTCATTCATTCATTCATTCAACAAAGACGTATTGGATTACTATTATGTTCCAGGCACTGTTTTAGGGACTGAAGATAAGGTGGTGAACAAGACAGATAAGATTCCTGTTGTACAGGAGTATGCATTCTGGCAGGGGGATAGATTAAAAGGGAAATCAATAAGCTAACACGTTAAGTGCTACCGATAAGATGAAAATATGTCAATGGGAAGAAGAGTGCCTGCTGATTTAGACTGGGTGGTCAGGCAAAGCTTTGCCAAAGAGATGGCTGAAGCTGAGAGTTCAAATGCAAGAAGGAGTCTATGAGGATCTGGGCACGGAGTGTCTGAGTTGGAGGAAATGCAAGCACAAGGCCCTAGAGGAAGAATGAGAACTGTGAGCTCAAAAACCTAGAATAAGCCATGTGACTAGTGAACAGCATGTCCCAGCAAAAGTCACACTTAGAAAATATAGGGCCTGAGGGTCACAGGAAAAGTTGTTTATTCTTTACCTGATGGGAAACCTTGGGACAATTCTAAGCAGGGAGTTGGAAGACGTGATTTATATTTTGCAGAAATCACCAAGGCTCTGCATGCTGAATAGATTTTTTCTTTGCATCCCCAGAACCTAGCACAATGCCTGCCTCTGTTTCAGTAGGGCCCAGAGCCGTGCTGCTTTTCCACACAGGAAAATTGCCTTTTCCAAGGTGCATGGCTGCCCAGTAGAGAGGAAAGCTCAAAGTCATATCAATTCAACACGCAGTACTAAGTCTCTCCTCTTGCTCCATTTTCTACTGGCCTGTGACCAACTACTTCCTAAAGTTGAAATTGCTTCCGATTTCTTTTTTCTCTATTTCATGGATAATCCATGCAGTGTTTGCTCAACCTGTTTACACTGAGATGTGTTGAGGAACTGTCCCACGGCAAGACCACAAGGTGGGGCAGTAATGAGTAATTGGAAGAAAACTGCGGTACCTTCTAAAGCTCAAATGTGGCTTTCTAGAACACGATGAAGTGGAGCCCTACATTCATTATTTGACCTTGTTTGTTTTTTTTTTTTTTTTTTTTTTTGAGACAGAGGAGTCTCACTGTCTCCCAGACTGGAGTGCAATGGCATGATCTCGGCTCACTGCATCCTCCGCCTCCTGGGCTCAAGCGATTCTCCAGCCTCAGCCTCCTGAGTAGCTGGGACTACAGGCGCAAGCCACCATGCCCAGCTAATTTTTTTTTTTTTTTTTTTTTTTTAGTAGAGACGGGATTTCACTATGTTGGCCAGGATGGTCTGAAACTCCGGACCTCAAGTGCTCCACCTGCCTCGGCCTCCCAAAGTGCTGGGATTACAGGCATGAGCCACCATGCCTAGCCCTGTGACTTTTTCTCAAGGGCTTCAAACAGTCCCTCTGCAAGTTAACCTAGGCATACTCACAGAGCAAGAAGGCATTCATGATACCACAAGGGAGGTGAGGTTTGTGCCATTTGCTCCATGTCACTGAGGCAGGACAGCCCTGTGTGGCTCCATTCCCACGAGAGACCGTCTTGCTCCGTTAGGACTGCCTCCCACCTGCTAAGGGTGCTTTTCTTCCATGGTACAGTGATCTTTAATCATTTGTTTCAAAAATGTACCAACCTCCCGGGAATGAAACTAACCAAACTTCCCTCCCTCCCTCTCTCCTTCCCTTCCTTCCTTCCTTCCTTCCTTCCATCCTTCCTGTTTGCCTTCCTTCCTTCCTTTTGGATTATGTTGTTTCATTAAAATATATTTAGCTGGGCATAGTGGCTCACACCTGTAATCCCAGCACTCTGGGAGGCAGAGGTGGGCAGTTCACTTAAGGTCAGGAGTTTAAGACCAGCCTGGCCACCATGGTGAAACCCTGTCTCTACTAAAAATACAAAATTAGCCGCGTGTGGTGGTGGACGCCTGTAATCCCAGCTACTCGGGAGGCTGAGGCAGGAGAATTGCTTGAACCCAAAAAAAGCAGAGGTTTCAGTGAGCTGAGATCGTACCACTGCACTCCAGCCTGGGCAACAGAGTGAGATTCCGTCATATATATATTCACATGATTTAGGAAATTCTGTATTTCAGCATCACAGTATAAAGACTTAAGTTCTAAGAGTTGATATTGCTGTAGATGTTGGGAATGGAATCTTAGGAGTAACCTTTACCGGAGGCAACTTCTACTGCCCTTGCTACCTTTGGTGTGACCTGAAACCCCCTTTCTTCATTAGTACCAAGTGACTTGTTTGCCACTACTCAGCTGTCCCAGAATAGCTTGACTCCACACATCCATGCATTTCTAGGAAGAAATTAGGTGCATTATAAATAACGAGTCCTCTGAAAATGCCGAAGTGTCTTAATCTTTTGAAAAAAATTATCTCAAATTTACATTCACAAGGAGCCATGTCTTTTGCCACTAACTGAAACTCAGTAACAACACTGAAGTATGAGCTTGGGCCTTGTCTGACAATAAAAAGGAAATGCTAGGTCCCAGGGACCACTTCAAGATGTGCTTGTTCCTTTAAAGCAGGGAGTTGTCACATCCAATTTTTAACACATATGTATATTTTAACACATATGCATATTTTAACACACATATATATTTCTGATTATACTGTAAAACTGGTAAATTATTTTTAAAACATCATAAGGCCCCCAAATCCCAGAGAAAGTTGTTTCTATTACAATTTTAGTCTATTTGTCTCTTTTAAGTTTCTCTTCCCTCTGAGCATATGTATCTCTAATGCATGTCTGCTTATGTAGGCATATTTATACATACACCCTTTCTTTTACAAAACTGATATCAATTTTTGTATTTTAAATAAAATACAAATGTTTTACATTCTTTCTAAACAAGCAGACACTACTTTTGGCACCTCCCAATGCTGGCCAGGTCATGTTAACTACCCTTAATCAGCTTTTTTTCTTGCAATATTTGTAATATGCATCATCTCAGGGCAAGAGACAAATTAGATCATTTGAAGATTAATAAATCCTTACCTCTGTTTGGTTGCACTTAGCCAGCAAATTCATCACATGCTTAGTCTTTGCTTTATTCTGGGCCATGTAGACTAGCTGTTAAGTGGAAAAAAAAAAAATTCTTCTTCGGGGCAGAGTGGCAGGATGGCTCTTTGGAAAGAGTCTTGGAGCAGGAGTCAAATGGTCTGGCTTTACACCCCAGCTATGCTTACAAAAGCTGGGTAACTTGCAGTTCCCTTACCACTAAAGTGGAAACATGGATGTCTAAAGCTTTTTTACAGCTAGAAAAGTCTATGCTTGGTTAGCATTGTGCTGATGCAATTCTGTTCCAGATAACCGAGGGAGGGAATGGCGGTCCTCGCGTGAAGACTAAGTAGACGTGCTATTACCCTCCTCGGTTGGCTCCAGCAATAAGCCTAATGACCTCTACAAAGCTGTTCTGTAATACAGAAGTAAACACTTACTCTGCACAATTTCTCCTTGCATGTGCTTCCCACTGGTAGAACATTATTCATCTTGTTGGTCTTTCCAAAGAGATTCATTACTTCCTTGCTCCTTCTTATTCATCCTTCATAATAGAAATGCTAAAAGTCTGAAAGACGAGGAAGGGAGCACATTTCCTCCCTGCAGTCTGAGGAATGGCTGTATCTCTTCATGAGCACCAAGAGGAAGCCCCCAGATGGGTCCCTGTCCTTACAGCCTTGTTTCCATGTGCATTTCCACCCCAGCCTCTTCCATAATCGCTCCCCATCTCTATGCCCCAGCGATGCCAGTTGTTCCATCAAACACTGTCCTCTCTGTTCTCAGCCTCGGAGCTTCTGCTCCCTCTGTTAGGGGTGACTGATTCTCACCACCACCAGGCTAATTCTGACTGTTCTGGTTTCACCGCGGATGTCACCTCCTCCAAGAAGCTCTTCTCGACTTTCTGCCTGCAGACCCTCATCTAAGCTTTCACAACACCCTGTGTTCTGTGTTTACACCCACCCAACTTTTTCTTTTTTAAATTTTATTTTAAGTTCTGGGATACATGTGCAGGACGTGCAGGTTTGTTACATAGGTAAACGTGTGCCATGGTGTTTTGCTGCCCCTATCAACCCTTCACCTAGATATTAAGCCCCACACGCATTAGCTGTTTGTCATAGTGCTCTCCCTCTGCCCACCCCCCTGACAGGTCCTGGTGTGTGTTGTTCCCCTCCCTGTGTCCATGTGTTCTCATTGTTCAGCTCCCACTTATGAGTGAGAACATGCTGAGTTTGGTTTTCTGTTCCTTATGTTAGTTTGCTGAGGATGGTGGCTTCCAGCTTCATCCATGCAAAGCACTGGATATCATTCCTTTTTATGGCTACATAGTATTCTATGGTATATATGTACCACATTGTCTATCCAGTCTATCATTAATGGGCATTTGGGTTGGTTCCATGTCTTTGCTATTGTGAATAGTGCTGCAATAAACATATGCACACTCACCGAACTTTGCTTCACTGTCTATCAGAAAACTGCCAGTTTTTCAGTTGCATTTATCTCCTAGAATATAAAGGCTTTGAATAGATCCAATGGTCTTGTTTACCATTGAATCTGATACCTAACATGGAATCTGACACCTGCTAGACACCCTCAGAATGTCTGTGAAATGATGTAACTCTACGTGATGTGTGTCTACTCATAGCTGTAAAATGAGTGAGCCCTCCTGTAGGTCACAGTGTCCAGCAGACTGGCAGGGACCTGATATGAACATCACAGAGGAAAAAAACACATACGAAACAATTAATGCTTGCCATTGGGCCAAATGCTTTGTATGTGTTATTTCATTTATATTTTTATTTAATACTAAGCAGACTTCATGTACCCTGTATTTTGCTAGGCAGTGGAGTACATAGAAAGGAACAGAAACTGCGTATCTTGTCTTCCCAACTGAAAGGAGACGATTAACCTACTTGAAGATGTTAGAATACAAATACATGATATCTGAGGACAGGGTGAAGAAAAACAAACAAATAAGAACATGAAAAACTGTGTTTGTCTTGACTATTCAGGATATGAAAGTGCCGCAACATTCATGTATCTAGAAACTCCATGAAGGAATCTACACTTAGGGCTTAAAGAATCCTAAGGGACCGGGCGCGGTGGCTCACGCCTGTAATCCCAACACATTGGGAGGCCGAGGTGGGCAGATCAGGAAGTCCAGAGATCAAGACCATTCTGGCCAACATGGTGAAACCCCATCTCTACTAAAAATACAAAAATTAGCTGGGCTTGGTGGCGCATGCCTGTAGTCCCAGCTACTCGGGAGGCTGAGGCAGGAGAATCGCTTGAACCTGGGAGGCGGAGGGTGCAGTGAGCCAAGATCGTGCCACTGCACTCCAGACTGGTGACAGAGGGAGACTCCATCAAAAAAAAAAAAAAAAAAAGAATCCTAAGGATTCCTGGTTCCTGACAGGTGCTTGTTCCTTGAAGTATACTTGTGCCGGGAAGCAAATCTTCTCTCTCTCGTTTTGAACTTGGAGGAGACAGCAGCTCCCTTCTCCTTTTCATACAGGTTATTGTTTATAAGAGCAATGTGATGAAAGCTTCCTCTGCTAAGACTGCAACTCCAGCGTTACCTTTTCTTTACCTCACCTTGATCCTCGGTGTGAAACTTCACTCATTACTGATGCATTGCAATTAACAGATCTCCTCTTTCAAGACACATTAGGGTATGTTCTGACTATCAGCTCCAAAAAAATAAAATAAAATAAAATAAAATAAAACACATTAGGAAATTTAAATGAATTAGTGTAATCAGCTGAGATAGTACTTGAAAGGGACCGTGTAGGCTTGTGGTGGAATAGGTACTTTCAGACAGAAGTCTCTAGAATATTCCTGAGGAAGTATTTTCTCCTGCCCTTCAATGAATAGAGTGGTAAGGTTTGTGAAAAGCAGGCCTCTGGCCTGAGTTAGGGAAATTATATATTGTTTGTCCAAAGTAGTAAACTCTGTCTAAAATGAAACTCTAGACTAGATATTATTTTTTGATGTTAGATGTATACGTTCTCTCCATGATTTAGCAGACTTTCCAGGGAATGATGAGTCTCCCCTCTACTGAATACTATAAACATGTTATCTCAGTGGGAAAAATAGAAAGAGATCCAGAGAAGAAGAGGGAACATCTTGCTTTTGAAGCATCTCTGCTTACGAGTCCATAGGAAATAAATTACATTTCCCAGGGTTCTGATTTGGTTTTTAATAACTTACTGGCCCTGCTAAACAAGACACTCAGGAGAAAGTGCATGTGAATAGATGGAGATCTACATTTTTAGAAAATATGTTTCTTTCTTTTGGGATCACAATCAGAACATAGGCATCATTGAAACAAAGCCGAGGAAGAAGAATTTTCTCATGCTATGCAGAAGTTTTCTGTTAAAGATATCAGAGGCTTTGCACCCTGAGAGCTGTAATCTTCTCTCCTTGAGTTCTTCATTGAGATTTACTGCAGAGGCCTCAGATGTGTTTATTTCTATTATCCAGTTGCTCCTAATATTACTTGCAATTGTTTTGGCATGAGGGTTAGAAATTGCAAGAACTCCTAGCTCGAAATCACAGAACGTACACAAAGACAAAACAGAAATAAAGCAGAACAAATGCAAGGATAAAATAGATAAAAATATCTCCCCACCCTAATTGTGCTCTTTTAAAGGAATGCTATTGAAATGACAAATGAAGGAGATTTCTACCTGTTGTTATATAGCTGGGCAGAGTGACATTTTTGGCTGTATTCTAGTGTTGAGCAGTTGCAAAGCTTTCTTTCCCCCTGAAGCAGTAGAGGGTGCTATGTGGATATAATTGAAGAGATGCTAAGTTTCTATATGACGCCAGGGCTTAGGGACTGCCCTCTCTTTTCAAGCCACTTGCTTTTCCCAAAATAACTAAGAAAAGGGAGAAAAAAAATGAGTACAGAGGCCATGCTAGAAGACATAGATAAAATATTAAGTCTTAAGAAAGGTAGGAAATAATCAGATTCTAAAGTTCTCACAAGGTTTGGTATTTTGAAGTATTTGGCAGAAGGCAAGGGTATGGAAAACTTTAAGAAATTGTAAGCTTAGGACTTTATCGTAAGCTTAAGACAGAGATGTTATCTGTCTGAAAACAGAGGGAAAATTTTGAACAGAGTGATTCTTGTAATAAGAGAAGACTTTTGACAAGTTATGAATTCCTTGAATTTCATTATTTTTTCTTGCTGTTTAAGTAGTATATATTGTATATTTGATGACAGTCAGATTTTACTGATAGAGATTTGAAATATATTTTGATAGGGCTACCTCATGCTTTTTGTAGAATCAAACATTTTAGAGCTGTTCAGCCCCTTGGAGCCATTAAGTACAATCTTAATGTTTTTGCATAAGGAGACATTGGCACCAAGAAGTTAAGTGACTTAACCTGTAACAGGCTGGTCCAAACATCCGAGCCTCAACTAGAACCAGTGTCCTTACCCCTGGTCCAAAGCTCTCTGTCTTTTGCTACCCTGCTTTGAGTTACAGCATTTTATATGCTGACAATACATAATCCTAATACATTTATATATTGTTTTCACTTACAAAGCAGTTTATGTACATTTTTCCACACTTATGTACCAAAACGTCCTTTGAAAATATGTTATTTGTTGATTTACTCAAAGAAGACTTGCCCAGTTTTATGACAGGCTGAGAAGTTAAGTCTCCTGTTGCAATTCCGTTTGCAATTCAGTATCCATTACACCTGGTCAATCAAGTTTCTTATTAATCCCACGTTTTCCCTGCCTGTAAACTCCCTTCTTAGTGACCGATTTTGCTATTTTGTGTGAGCACTTGAGTAAAATTCAACTGACTCAGAGTAGGGAATCCTGGCTGGATTAATGGGATTGTGTAACACCTTCATCACTTGAGGCCCAGATAGGAGTGACTGTGCGATGTAAAAAAGGCTTGCCAACACCACTGATGTTTGACGTGAAGGTGAAAAGTTCAGTGGCCCAGAGAAGTGCTTTAAGGGTTCTTCTTAAATCTAACACCTGAGGAACACCTTCAGATTATCCAGCAGTTGTGATCCCCTATGCAGTGTCTATTTGTCTAGACTTCTTCCCCAACACACATTCCCTAGTACATTTAAATGGAAAGAAAGGTCTGGGAGGTTATTTGCAGGGGTGTTGATGGAAACAGGACCCATCACAGCTAGGGTCATGTTATCAGAGTGCAGATTTTGAATTCCTTTCTGCCTTTCCTGCATGACTTTAAGTAAGAAAATGGTCACCTTAAATTTGCCCAATAAGACTCAGCTTGGAAATCATTCTTGGGATGCAGAAGGATCTGGTCCAGAAAGCTTCAGAGAAGCCTTGAGAACTGCCTATTCAAGAGGAGAAGAAGGCTGAGAGAGGGAACCTGCAAAGATCTAGCAGGAAAAGAGTCTTCTATGTGCAAACAACACTAGACCCTTTCCCAGAATTGGGGCACTAACAAAAGATAATGCCTCTGAAATATTGGGAAAATTGTTGGAGAATATGATCTCGTTCCCTATGCTGTCACTCCAGGTAACACCCATGATGCTCAAAGGATTTTTTTAAATTAAAAGGAGTACCACTTTATTTAACAGGTAGAAAATTATGGAAATTATTATACCAAGAAAGGACATAGGCTAATAACATAAATTAGGCTTAAGGAGAGTTTCATAAATTATGTATCTCCAATGGATTAATGAAGGAAATTAGGAATAATTTTTATATTATCTCTACTTTTTTACTTATATATTTGGACTTGAGGTTTTCTGCATATAATATGCACACTAATATAAATATTAATATAATGCTAATACAAAGGAATACTCTCTCAGAGATTGTGCATTAATGTATGTTTCAGTGACAAAATATAGTGCGTGACCTTAGCCCCAGGAGGAAGAATAGGATATGTGAAAGAACCTAAGATTTTGAACCCAGGATAACCTGGTTTTAAGCCCAGGTCTGCTACTTAAGAGCTGTACGACTGTGAGCAAGTTATTTTAAATTGCTGGATCTTGTTTTCCTCATTTACAAAATAGAAACACTGATATCTGCATCATACATCATACTATTGTTATGATTTTTAAATTAAAAATATATGCCAATGAACCTAGCAATTGGTGACCATATTGTAGGTACTTCATGGATATCTGCCTCTTCCTTCCATGTGCAAAAGGAATTCTGGCATCATCTTTTATAATTACTAGGAATTTTTTACTGCCTTCAGAAAATATTTCTAGACTTATCCTGCTAATTTTTGTTTAGAAGTTAGCCTCTGTTTCAGTCCATTCTCTCATTGCTATAAAGAACTACCTGAGACTGGGTAATTTATAGAGAAAAGAGGTTTAATTGGCTCGTGGTTCTACAAGTTGTACTAGAAGCATGGCTGGAAAGGCCTCAGGAAGCTTACAATCATGGCAGAAGGTGAAGAGGAAGAAGAGAAGTCTCAAATGACTGAAGCAAGAGGAAGAGAGCAATAGGGGAGGTGCTACACACTTTTAAACAACCAGATCTCAGGAGAACTCACTCACTATCACAAGAAAAGCAAGGGGAAATCTGCCCCCATGGTTCAATCACCTCCCACAGGGCCCCTCCTCCAACACTGGGGATTACAATTCGACCTGAGATTTGGGTGGGGACACAAATCCAAACCATACAGTCCCTGAATATATATGTGCAGAAATAGACTGCTCACCTAGACTTCAAAAGACATGTCATCATTACGCACCTCTGAGACATTGTATGGTCTTGGTTTTAAATTTCTTGAGTAATCTGGTTAATTCTGATACTAGCGATCAACAGCTTTGGTGTAAAGGTAGGTCAGATTGGTGATATATTGCTACAGCAATTTGAGGAAATCAATTTCCTCCCTAAAAGTTTTGACAATCTTGTTTATTTATATATTTTATGGTGGTGAGGGGAGAAATTATTCTTGAGATCTTGCTTCTTTGAAATATGGTTCTTCTCAGGAATATCCTATGTTATTAGATGATCTAAAACACTGTGGCACTTCTTAAATAACCAATACTTAAGATACCATGAAAATTACAACCCCCGTGAGATATAGTATCAATTAAACTATGCCATATACCTCGATTGGTTGAGTTCCATCCACTAGTCAATTTCAAAATTACCTCGTAAATCACTAAGACAATAGGAAAGAAAGCCTTACTATAACTTGCCTTACTATAACTTGTCTTACTCCCAAATTTAGCAATATCTTTTTAGCTTATTGATGGTATTTCAGGAAAATCAAATGTAGTTCCACATTATAAGGATGGAGACATGTGTTACCTCTTTATGTTCCTGTATGGCAAATTAGTTGATACTCTTTGGTCTTGTCGACATCTCTTTAACCTTGTAAGATTATAAAGGTTAGAATCATGTTTACCACCTGTAAAAAAAAAAAAAATCTGACAGCAGTGGGTTTTTTTTTTTTCTTCTTCTTCTTTTTCTCCACCACATCCCCTGATAATGATTTCCATGGGCTGGAAATACTGGGAGGAGAGAAATATTTAGTTGAATTCATTTTAAATGAAACCAATAGCTTCACTAGTGATCTCATAACCTCAAAGCACTTTACAAACTGAGTAATCATTGAAGATGCTAAATATAGTAAATACAATGTTTAAAACCTTCACAAATAAATCCATATTAAAGTCTTATTCTACCACAAAGTAGCTTTGCTTTTGATATACCTTTTAAAGTCATGGATTTCTTGATGGAGATATTGAGTTGGGTTGTTCCTGTTGCTTTTTGTTTCTTTGATTTTTTTTTTTCTATTATATAAGCTAGACCTCACTCTCTTAGTCATTTCATTATATGTAGAGACAAGATGCTGCCTTAACTAGAGCTTTATTCCAGGTGCCCAAAGGTCTTCATTTAGTTCCTAGCTCAATTCGTGAGTAAATATTTCTTTTCCAGCTTTAAAATTTTTTAAATGACATTGTCAGGCACGGTGGTGCATACCTGTATCCCCAGCTACTTGGGAACCTGAGATGGGAAGATCACTTGAGCCTGGCGGTTCCAGTCTGTAGTGCACAGTGATCATGCCTGTGAATGGCCACTGTACTCCAGCCTGGACAACATAGCAAGACCCCATCTCTAAAAAAAAAGAAAAAAAAAGAATGATAGCATTTCCTTTACTTGTGGAGATTTTCTGACTATAACATGCACACTATTATTATAAAATAATAGACTTTACAAAATATAATGGTTGTAGTTTCATTTGCACTAAATAACGATAAACCTTATTTAAGTGCAACCTTATTTTATATATATATATATATATATACCCATTAATTTGATTGTTTTTAATGTAGCCATGGACATGGAGAGTTCACAAATTATAATTTATAAATGTATTAAGATAGAATAATTGCAGAATAGAAGGATTTTTAAACAATTTAAATAGTCACCATTTCTGCCACCCATTAATCCTATATATTGGTTCTAGGACTTATTCCTGGAGTTATATCCTGCACATTGGCTTCAGGCATGAAGGACTTGATCCCACATCTTCTCCAGTGGGATTGTGGAGATCGTGTCACTGCTGGCCTGTCCTGCAGGCTCTTGTGGTGATCATTATAAAAGCCAGCCCTGGGGTAGCTCAGGACAGGAAAGGAAGGATATTCTGAAATGATTTTCTCCTTTTAGTTAACACATTTTGGTTCCAGAACACTGAGCAAATCATCAACTGAAGCCCCATGATATATTTTCAAAGAGTGAATTTCTCTTACCTGACTGAGGCATTTTATTCTATAATAGCAATTCTCTGGGTTTTTTTTTTTTCATACTTATAACAAAGCGGATTAATATATACTCACCTAAGACACCAAAGATACTGATGGCTTTCACCACTCTATCTAAGCAGGAGTAAACACCTGGGAACTAGAAATCTGAGAAAGAGGACAACACCCAACACCACCTAACTATGGCCCTCGATACAGTCATTTAACTTAATAACCTTCCGTGAGAGTAAGGTCATTATGAAATATGCTCGGTTTTACACAAAGCTTTAAAAAAAGCCACATAAAATAGTATATGAGGTCACCTCTGATTCCTATGTAAAGAAGATTCCTCCTCCCTTCCCTCATTCATTGTTCTCCACACTCTACTCCACACCTCCCCTCACCCTGCAATCCAACTTATCAAAAGTTTAATTTTCCCTTTCCAAAAGCAATGTACTTGAAATTCCTATTCTTAGTTATGTGCATTTTGGTTTCCTCTTTGATTTTCCTTTTTTTCCAGGTTTCCTGTTGATACCAACATGAATCTCAAGGGCTTCCCTTTGCTTCTTTTGGAAAAAAATAAAGAAAAGAGACTGATTTAGAGCCTATAGGGTGGAAAATCACAGCCAGGAAAAGGCAGGCATAGCATGCAGCAGTTCAGAGACAGGGCTCACCCGCCCATCTCTTCCATCAGCCACCTCCCTGGTAGGGCATCCCTTGGAACAGAAGCCAGCAATGGTCCTGCAGGGATTGGAGAATTGTGAGCTCTAAATGATAAAACGTTGAGTCATAGGTTATCACTGTACAGAGTGATCCTTTGGCCTCTGCCTTGAGGGCACGTAAGCCATTTTTTCCTTACTTGTTGGAATTTGATTCATTTCCTCTTTTTCTCCTTTAGCTCTCTAATCTAGAATTCTCAGTTTATCTATAAAAGGATTCAATATCTGGGTTGATCCTGAGGAGTCAAAGGGTTGGTTTTGTGAGCAGATGGGTGGCAGACAATAGCTTTTGTAGAGATGCCTCTGAATGAGCCCACATGGTGGGGCTTTGAGAAGCCTAGTGTGGAATCAGTAACAAAGTCCACCTTGGAATAATAGTACCATAGTTTCAGTAACTGCTGATTCCAAAAATGTTTCCTATCACACATCTTCCTCATCTGCCTCTCACAACAATCGTGTCAGGAGAAAGCTAATCCAACTATAAAGTGGCTACGTGATCAGAAATGACAGGATGGGTTCATTGCAATGTCAAGCCTCAGTAGTTTTTCATCAAAGCCCTCAAAAAAAAAAAAATTCCACCCCAAACTGATTGTGTATTATTCAACCAGACTTCTGGTATCTTCAGGCACACTGTTTGCAAAGGCCAGGCATCTCTTATGTCCTGCTGTCTGTAGACCTCTGTGGTTTATGGATGGGAAAACTCAAACAGTCTGCTCTTAGATGGTCCTTATTGCAGAAAGCAGGCTTATGCCCTGTAAGCCGGGGGTATCTCCAAATCGTGCAGGAGGAGAGGTACTGATTGCTCATTTGCTTCTTCTGTGCCTTAAAATCACCATCCTTGTTAAAGAAATGCAAGCATTGAGTAGAGAAGTGTCTTGCTTGGGCTTGCTTTTGAGTACCGGGAATTCAGCTTTCCTGCTTTGGAAACCTGAGTTGGGATGTAGGTGTGTAGCAAAAGGAATGGGTGGAGGCTTCTAACTAATGGGGAAGGCATCTCTGAAACAAGCTGAGATGTGGATCTGGGATTCTGGGAATCAAATAATTCTTCCCAGCACCAAACTTTGATGAGAGAATACTTTAATGTCTGTGGTTGCAGAATAAATATGATTCACTCTGAGGATTCTGCACTGCAATTGAATATGTCAGAAAAGGCAAATAAAAAATTGGAAAATTTATCTGTAAATAGTTCTCAATAGTTTTAGAAGAGCTTCCAAGGACATTAATTTCTTCCTAGCCATTATTTATTAAAACCTTCAGGATAGCATCTCATTTTTTGGCCACACTAATGTAGCAACTAAGTGTGCAGGCCCTGGATTCAGAGCTAAATCTGACTCTTTCAAGCTGTAAGCCCTTGAGAAATCTACATAAATCTCTCTGTGCCTCATTAATGTCAACTGTAAAGTGAGGAATAATGATATTATGTATTTTGTAAGGTTGTCCGAATGTTTAAATTAGATTATAATACTTAATATTAATTGACCACTTTGGAAGTGAGCATTGTTCTAAATGCTTTAAGTATGAATTTTATTGTCATCGCCATCCATATCAATTATCCTTATTTATTATGCTGTTATAAGAAGCTTTGATTTCACAAAGAAAGAAATTCAACACTTAAGGAGGAGGCATGAGAAAACATCTTATTGAGGTTTTTAATCATCTTCTAGTGAACCAAGCAAGACTGAACCTTTATTGCAATGTTTTACTAGGCTTTATAGCACTTTTAAAGGGTCAGGTAAATAAAGTCATAATTCAAAACAGCTGTTACGGGGTGGGGCACAATGGCATTGATATCAAGAGACTCTAGTACTGAATCAGTTACTTCCTATTTATATAATTAAAAAATTTTTTTGTTGTTGTTTGTTTGTTTTGAGACAGAGACAGCTCTGTCCCCCAGGCTGAAGTGCAGTGGCACAAACGTGGCTCACTGCAGCCTCAAACTCTCAGGCTCAGGCCTTTCCCACCTCAGCCTTCTGAGCAGCTGGGACTATAGGCATGTGCTGCTATGCCTGGTTAATTTTTTATATTTTGTAGAGATAGGGTTTCACCATGTTGACCAGGCTGGTCTGAAACTCCTGGGCATAAGTGATTCTCCTGCCTCGGCTTCCCAAAGTGCTGGGAATATAGGCATGTGCCCACACCTGGCCTATTTGTATAATTTTGAATAAATCATTTAATCTTGCTGAGCCTCAAAAAGCAAGCTTTAAATAAAGAATAAATTAAAAATTAAAAGGTTGAATTAGGTGATATCAAAGGTTCCTTTCACATCTATGATTCTAAATATTACTCAGTATTTACTCTGTGCAGAATGTCTATTTCCACAGGCTATTGCTTACAGCACAACACAGTGATCATATTCCTCTTTCGTAACTAGGGAGCTGAGCACCACGATGCTGGCTACTGGCAGAGTTTATCCCTCAGCCCATATTAAGTCTAGAAATGATTTTGTCCAACTGATGTTTTCTCTTCACATCAGATGTCACTTTTTTTTTTTTTTTTGATATGGAGTCTCTGTCTGTCACCTAGGCTGGGTGCAATGGCGTGATCTAGGCTCACTGCAACCTCCACCTCCTGGGTTCAAGCGATTCTCCTGCCTCAGCCTCCTGAGTAGCTGCGATTACAGGCGCACGCCACCATGCCCAGCTAATTTTTGTATTTTTAGTAGAGACAGGGTTTCACCATGTTGGTCAGGCTGGTCTTGAACTCCTGGCCTTGTGATCTGCCGACCTTGGTCTCCCAAAGTGCTGAGATTACAGGTGTGAGCCACTGTGCCCAGGCTTTTTTTTTTTTTTTTTTTTTTGAGACAAGGTCTCACTCTGTCACCCAGGCTGGAGTGTAGTGGTGCAATCAAAGCTCACTGCATCTTCAACTTCCTGGGCTCAAGCCATTCTCCCATCTCAGTCTCCCAAGTATCTGGGACTATATCCAGTTATTTAATTTTAAATTCACCACACTCAGCTAATTTTTGTATTTTTTGTAGAGACATGGTCTCACTATGTTGCCCAGGCTGGTCTTGAACTTCTAGCCTCAAGCAATCAATCTATCTGCCTTGGCCTCCCAAAGTTCTGGGACTACAGGCATGAGCCACCACGCGCAGCCAGCCATCACATTTTTAGATAAAACATCGAGGAAGTACTTATACTGATATATACATTTTACTATAGCAACTATAGTAAAGAGAAACCAGTGAGTCCTAAAACTGAATTTTTAAAAAAATTAGAAACATAGAGTTAAAATTAAGATTATACTCAAAGTTCTTCAGAGATAAGTATTAAAGTCATATTTCCAAACCTTTAGGCACTATAAAGAATTCCATAAATAAGAGGTTATTTAAAATTAAAAAAACCTATGCTCAAGCAATATCTTTGATCATAAGACAATTCTGGCAATGAGACAAATTCTTGAAATCTCAACAACACTAACATGGGCTCAGATTTTTGCTTTCAATAAATAGAACCTCATCAAAGAGGTCTTGGAAATTCTGCTAGTCAATGGAATAAAATAATGAATCGGATAGAAGTCCTCCAGCCCTGTGCTGGACCGAAATGTCTCTGACTGCCTGTCATATTTCAGAGGATCGTGCTCCTCAGAGCAGTGTGGGGCTGGCACAGAGATGAAAGAAAGAAGAGGTTCCTCCCTGGTTTCTGTTTATTTGAACCTGAATCAGAATAGAGAGGAAGCAAAGGAGAATGAATGGTGTGATCCAACTTTTCTTCCATATGTGAACAATATTGACTTATATGGCATAATTATGCCCAGATGCTGTCGTGACAGGGTGTAGAGATTTCTGACTTGCATAACTGAATATATTTTTTAAAGACAACAAAGAAAAAGAAATCAGTCACAACATTGCTTTAGCATCTTGAGTCTTGGAGTGCTTCTGCCATGGAAAGTTATAGTCTCTGCTCTTTTCTGCTTAGACTGTATCTTAAAACTAGCTTCAATATTGGATGGCCTATTTTAAGGGAGATCCTGACACTTAGTATCCAAATTACAAAAGATGACTAGGTTACTGAGGATCTGAAGATTGTCCCATATAAGTTATAGTTGAATCTTCTGTGGAAGTTTAACTTGGATAAAATAAGCAGAGAAATGACAAATGTGTTCACATATGTGAAGATCATCCTTGTTTTTCTTGTTTTGTTTTGTTGTTTTATATTCTAGGAAGCACAGTGGAATTTGAAAGACAGACTTTAGATCACCATATTGGAGACCTTTATAACAATTAAAACATAGGAATGGGGCAGGAAGCCTTATTAGGTGGTGAGATTGTGAGATTCCTCTGCTGTTGATGGAGACTAGACAGAGGCCAGATGAATGTGTCAATAATGTTGCAAGCACTGCTTCCATATTGGCTAGAAATTTGGAAGGTTAGAAAAAGTCACCAACTCTATCATCATAAGAAAACTGAGTTGAGGGCAGAAAGTAATATGATATCTGGGTTTTGGGGAAACCAGTTACCTCTCTTCAAATCTTTAATGTGGAAAGAATGAAACCATCTTAGACCTTTTTGAGTACAGAATGACTTGAAGTCAGAGGAAGGAGCATGGCAGACACAGAATGTCCCAAATTGAGACAGCATCTTTTAAGCAAATTGTTGTCCCTTTGGGTAGAGTGGGAATAATAATATCGCACTCACATTTATCTCACAGATGCTGTGAGGGTGTGTGACTCAGTGTTTTTAAAGAGCTTTGGATACCTGCTGTGGTTAATGTGTCACTCACTGCGAAGCTTTCCAAGGCAATTATTTTGATCAGAATGTCACTCAGAGTTAGTAGGCTGGCTTCATGAATCATTTGGGGAGGGTAGTATAATTCAAATTTGTTATGTATTGTCAAACATTTAAAAAGAATAATAGTATAAAACAAAATACTTGCTTTTACACTAAAATTTAACATCTTTTTTTTTTTTTTCTGGGAAAATAGAATGTTGCCTAAACTGAAGTCCAAACAACTTTACTTTTTACCTTTTCAAATATCCATGTGGCATCAAGCCAGGCCATTTAAAATGACATCCAGTTATTTAATTTTAAATTCATTTTGTAGAAATCCCACCTCTCTGGGGAGTATGTACAGCAAAAGTAAGGCCATCACAAAAGCTGAATGTCCCAAAGTGGTGCTTTTTAGCAGAAAATGTAATTTTTTTAAGATGAAACTTGCCTTCAGTGTTCTTAGAGAGTGGGTTCCATATTGGTTTCTGAAGGAGAGTCAAGCCTGGTCTCCACAGTGCACTAAATGCAGTAGGGGGTCAAGCAAATGATGGGAAAAGCATAAATCATCTTGGAATTATAGATTCCTCTTTGCTGTTTGACTTTAAATTCACCATCTGCTGGCTGAATCTTGATGGGAGTTGAACATAAACATAAGGCCAGTGCATGACTGTGACGTGGAAGGTGGAAGAAAGTTCCTTCTGACTTGTTAAAACCCTTAAAATCTACACATTATTATTATTATAATTTAGACAATGTCTCACTCTGTCACCCAGACTGGAGTGCAGGGGCACGACCTCAGATCACTGCAGCCTCAACCTCTCCAGCTCAAGCGATCCTCCCACCTCAGTTTCAAGTAGCTGGCACTATGGGCATGCATCACCATGCCTGGCTAATTGTTTCTATTTTTTTGTAGAGGTGGGTTTTCCCTATGTTGCCCAGGCTGGTCTTGACTTCGTGGGCTCAAGAGATCCTCCCACTTCAGCCTCCCAAAGTGCTGGGATTACAGGTGTGAGCCACTGCGCCCAGCTGACATCTACAGATTATCATCTATTATTCTTGTATTTGTTAACCATGATCTCAAAATGATTTAATTATAAAACTCAAACCTTAAAGGACAATTGGATTCCAAAATGTAGATTATATGTAGATAATATTTCTGTTCACAAGTCTAGGTGTACATTAGTATCCATTCAGAAAAGTGAAAAAAAGTTTAAAAGCATTTTTAAAAACATGATGAAACTATAACACTCAAAATAATGTGATGGGGGATAAAAGGCAGTTGATTGATAAATGAGTCATTGACAGGTCAATGCTGTAAAAGGCCGAGTCTAAGTTGATGGCTCTCAGTCCTGGTTCGTCACTGCTGTTGTGGAACTTGGCAACGAGTCCCTCTTGGGAATTATAGGCTTAGCATCATGCTCTTGCTCGTATTAGCTGCTTCTTCTATCACTCTTTCAACAGTAACATATTAAAAACAAAAACAGGAAAAAAAACCCTCAAAACTTCTCAGGTAAGTAGTATTAAGGACACAAAAATATTTCAGGCTTGATTTAGAACTACATTTATGAAAGTAAACTACGTGATATAGAGCAAAACCACAACCTTTAGGTTTTGGGGGGTTTTGGTCTTATTTCTCTTTTTAAAAATAAGAGATAGGGGGTCTCATTCTGTCATCCAGGTTGGAATGCAATAGCTTGATCACAGCTCATTGCAGCCTGGAACCCCTGACCACAAAGGGATCCTCCCACCTCAGTCTCCTGAAGCTAGAACTACAGGCATGTGCCTCCACACCTAGCTAATTAAAAAAAAAAAAAAAAAAAAAAAAAAAAAAAAAAAAAAAAGTGTGTAGGGAAGGGGTCTTGCTGTGTTGCTAATGTTGAACTCCTGGCCCTAAGTGATCCTCCTGCCTTACCTGGGATTACAGGCATGCACCTTGTGTCTCACTAATAGATTTGCTTTCTAGGTCTTTCCTGTCAGGTCCACCAATATTTTAGATGGATGGAGCACTTGATTAGATCAGGAGTCAAAATTCTATTCCTGAATCTATTACTTACCAGTTGTACTACTTTGAATGAATGGCTTAATTTTTTAGTGACTTTGAATTGTTCCAGATATAAAATGACAGGATAGGTCTAGAGAGTTGCCTTAGATGAATTAGGAAACAGTTTCTGAGATAGAGATGTTAGTGCAGTAGGTTTATTGGGGAGTGTTCTCAGGAATGCCTGTGGGGAAGTGAAGGATGTGGAGGAGGAAGATGGACTGGAATTCATTTGCCAGAGTCCTCAGCAGATCCTACCAGCTCTAGAGCTGGGATGGCCCTTCAGAGTTATCCTGATCCACAAGGGGTCAGCCCCTAGGCATTCATAAGTCACTTTGTCCAGTCATTGGGGTTGACCCCAGGAAAAGGTATGGTTTGGGGTAAGAGGACTCTTCAGTTGAGGGTAGTTCCTAGGAAGCTAGTGAGCTATGAGTTGGCATCAGGCAACATTTCCAGCAATTTGGTCAATGAGTTCCCCTTAAGGCTGGATCTGGGCCACGGACCATGGCACTCACTGCCATATTCACAGCGTCGTTTTCAGTGTGAAATTCTACTGTGTTAAAGTATTGTACAGTCACTGAAATGAGAGTATTTTTATATTTGGCTACCCATGACATTTATTCTCTTCTGATTATATTGTTTCTCTCCTGATCTAGAGTTTTAGATTGTTTTGTTTGTTTTGTTTTGTTTTCCTGTACTTTTCTGTCTGTTGAGGAAAAAGAGTTTTATTCTTCTAGTATGAGAGTTTCTATTAGTCCTCCTTTTTAGACAGATGAACACCCTGTGACAATTCCTTTTGCCTTTTTGTGGCGTGTAAAAAAAAAGAAATCCATAAATAGAGTCGTTACGCAAGTCTTCATGAGTTAATTTCTCTCTCCAGTTTTCTTACTACTTTTTCCAGTTTTCATTTTCTTCAACAGAAAGCTTCTTCTTCTGGCTGGACACAGCGGCTCACGCCTGTAATCCCAGCACTTTGGAAGGCTGAGGGGGATGTAATCCCAGCACTTTGGAAGGCTGAACTCCTGAGTTCAGGAGTTCCAGACCAGCCTGGGCAACATGGCGAAACTCCCAACTCTACAAAAAATACAAAAAAAAAAAAAAAAATAGCTGGGTGTGGTGATATGCCCCTGTTGTCCTAGCTAAAGGGGAGGCTAAGCTGGGAGGATTGCTAGAGGCTGGGATGTTGAGGCTGCAGTGAGTTGTGATCATACCACTGCACTCCAGCCTGGGTGACAGAGGGAGATCTTGTCTCTTAAAAAAACAAAAGTTTCTTCAAATTGCCCCTTTACAATTTAATATGCATGAACACATTTCTTTACAAAGAGAAGGTTATCTTTTATCTATATTCAAAATCATATGCCCTGGGGATCTTTACATCACAATGCAAATAAATGTTGAGTTAACCAAAGGAAGTGTGAGTAACAAGTTAGTGACTGGGTTAGGGGGTGGTTAGGACAGTGGCGTGTGATTAAGAGATGAACATCTCAGACCGATGCTTAGTAAAACCTACAGGGGGAAGCATGATGACCTAGCCTTGAATATCTCATTTAGGAAGTTACACACGTGTCTGGGCTTTTCAAAATGTTTGCATGCCATTAATCAGCATCTTACATCAGCTTGCTCAATGAATGATGACTATGTCAAATGGAAGTAAAACATATAAGGCCAGAGAAGGATGAAGGGAAGTTTTTTTTAATGCAGTAAAGGATAAAGAAGGATGGAAGTGGCCAGGAGTGGTGGCTCATACATGTAACCCCAACACTTTGGGAGGCTGAAGTGGGAAGATCACTTGAACCCAGGAGTTTGAGACCAGCCTGGGCAGCATAGCAAGACCCCATCTCTGTTTTTTAAAAATAAAAAAATATAAAAAAAAGAAGGTTGTAAGTTATTCAAACCCATAAGGAGTTCAGCCAATGTATTGAGGTTTCACACTTTAGATATGATCAATTTGCTGTCTTTGGCCTTAAAGGAAAAACACAAACACAGCAGCCTCGTGTTCTTCTCAGACATTGGTTTCTCCTCCTTTCTTCCTAAGACAGCTCTTTTCCCACTTTCTCTCTGGCCAAGTCCATGCTCAGCATTGCGTGACTTCACTGTTAGTCTAGGTTTATTCTGCTCTGGGAAGTTTCCCTGACCCCCTTCTTGACAGCTGCAGATCCTGTCAGTCACTTCTCTGTGTGCTTCCCTTGCCTTCCTTGTAGATTTTTATTACATCAATTAGGATACACCATTACAATGCATTATTTTGTATAATAAACACCTGTATAGTTTCTACCATATGCCGGGCACTAATCTAAGTGATTTACAAATGATTATTCTTCTGACCCTCATCACAATTCTATGAGAGCAGTCTATTATTTTCACCAATTTATAGAAAAGGAAACTGAAGCATAGAGAATTGAATACATTTTCTTTGATGTCATAGCAAGTAAGAAAAAAGGCTAGGATTCTAATCCAGGGAGTCTGGCTCCACAACAGGTGCAATTAACCACCAGACCGTGAGGCCTCTCTGTCATATGCAAGCTCGTCTGTTTTGCTCAGAAGACTGTGTTTTACTCACTCACTCCCAACTTCTTATGGTAAAAATTGCTTTTTAATGATTTAAATAATACATGCCCATGTAAAAGTTAAATCAATGACTAAAGCATTCTGAAGAAAGGAAAGGTTACCTGGAATCCCATGACCCTGAAATAACCATCATTAAAATTTTGTTCTTTATCCTTCCATGCATTGTTTAATGTACCACCTACCCACACCCATACACAGTAATTAAATGGGACAATATAACCATTTTTTTAAAGAAGGATGGACATCATCTGCTCTCATCCTACCAGAGTTGTCTATCCCAAAAAGACAGGTTAAAAATCTATGTGTTTTTTCTATACCTTTTATTCTCTCATAGGCTTGTATCTCTCATTTACGTTAATGGAACTCATTGGTGTTTCAAAAACATGATCATCTTAAATGTACTCTTTTAGATGTTGCTTTGCTCACTCAGCAGTCACCCCATGTCACCTGGCAAAGCCCTAATTTATTTTTTTCACTGGCCACGTGACATTCATTCCACAGTGTAGATGTATCACAATGCATTCAGGTATTCTCCTATGGTATTAACTTGGCTTCTAGAATGCAGGGGCTGTCTTTAACCCTGGTGTTTGTGACATTGTGATGGGCATAATGGGATCCCTTGAATAAATATTTGTAAAACATGGATGGAAGTCAGATTTTAGAAAGAATAAATTAGTTTTTTCTTAATTATGCATGGATATGGTCTTGAATCGGTTCTCAATAAATCAAATTTCAGTAAGGGACTCACTTAAATGTATGAGAAGAGACCCCTGTAATCAATGTTTTTAAAGTTAAATGATTGTCTTTTACATTTTAACTGGTGTAAAATAACTAATTATTGTTCCAAATAGAATTTTTGCTTAAAGATACGTACAATGGAACGTTATAAAACCACCTATATTTACAGATACCTTGTGCTTTGTGATCTGGCTTGTATTTTTCCTGTTCCTTTCCTGTTACCCTGTGTACGAAATGTATGTTCTTCCCATAAAAAAACTAAACTACTTCCAGTTGTGTAAACACAACAGATTCTTTCAGACCACTATGCCTTGGTGTATGTCAACCCTCAGCTAGGAATAACATTTCCATCTCTGTGATTCCATTGGCAATTTCTGCTCACCTTTTCCTAGGTTGAAGTGCCACTTCTTCTGCAAAACTTTTCTTGAATCTCCTTTCCTGTTACCCTCCTGCACAATTAAAAACTTGCATCCATTTGATCCCATAGAATTTATGCTGTACTTACATGACAGGTACTTACATCTTTTATTTTAACTCATTTATATCACTTACAAGACTGTTTTTTTCTTTAGGACTTGGAATATGACCTTTTCATCTTTTTCACTGCAGTCTTTTTAGTGTCCAGCATGGAGAAAGTGCTCAAAAATATTTGTTGAGTGAATGACAGTAGAGAAAATAAAAATGTCCTGGATTGGAATCATGAAAACTGTCTACTTATCTCTAATATTAAAAAGCTCAGTGTAATCTTAGAAAAAATAATCTGAGAGCTCTGACACTTTCCAGAGGCCACTTCCACGGGAAAGGAGGAGCAAAGTCTCTGATCAGAAGTTGAGTAAATATCCTCTGAGGTCCCTGATTATCCAGACATTGACAAAAGAAAGGCTCTCCAAGGTTTGCCATTATTACTATAAGGAAGTCCCAGCTCAGATGATTCATAGTTAAATATTTGCATCTCCTCTGGCTAAGAAAAATAAAAGCCACGACATTCCAGAGCCTTTAGGCATGTAAGATCTTGGTACTTTCCCAGTTATTGCTCCTTAGAAACCGGTAACTGAAAAGGCCCTGTTTCAGAAAAGCAAGATATGTCAAATGGGAAGGAAGTAGAATAGCTATCTGGTTGGAATTCAGAAAGTATATCAAGGCCAACAATATAATTGTTGAAATTGGTTATTAATGTTTTGATACTGTGACATATCTGTTTTCTGTTCTCTACCACAAACAAGAAAGATGTTGAAATATGGCAAATGTTATGAATAACAAAGAGGAAAATACAAATAAGTTCTTTTGGCAAATCTCCGTAGCAGGTTGAACTCAGACTCCTTTAATGTCAATAAACAAGGCTCAGAGTCAATGCCACTTTCTTTGGTGGTCACTTTAAGTGTATTTCTCTTACAACAGCCCTGCACGTCCAGTGTTATTATTACTGCTTCACAGATAAGAAAGTGGAGGCTCAGAAAAATAATGATCCATAATTGATATAGTGGTATATATATAATTTATATATTATACCATAGGATTTAAACTGAAGTGGTAAAGCAGGTGGTAATTTGCAGAGAATGATTTTGGAAATGCTCCGTAGATACCTCTGGCTCTAGGCATATAAAACTATTTTCTTATTAACTGAAAATTTACAATTACAACTTGATTCTTGTGGTTTAAGACAATGGAGGCTTTCTACATGGTGCATGCGAATTTTCCCAAAATCTTTCCCAAATTCATTTATAATTCAGTGTGGGTGAGCTTACCAGTTCCTTTCCAGAAAACAATTGTGATTAAGGAGTTCACACAGACAATTATTCTGTTATTCTCCTCTGTCCTCAGGTAGGCAGTGCTCCTCGAGCTTTGGGTGGCAATCCTTCACCAATCCATTGTCAGTGTGGGTCCAGCTTTTCCTCCTTAGGCCACAAAGATAGAGTTGCTCATATTTTATTTCCAAAATATAGTGTTAGGGGCCTGAAGGCCACAAAGAAGACTATTCTGAAAGCTCCCACACTGACATCCTCCCCAGTACTGGAAAACAAGTAATAAAAGAGTAGGAAAAAAGACCTCAGGGCCTTGCACATAATAGGCCTTCCATAAGTTTATTTCATAAATGAGATTCTGCTTGACGGACTGGCAGATGGAGCCTGAGTTTATAGTCCTGTCTGTTATTACCTTGCTTTGGGCCCTGTCATAACACTTCCTCTCAAACACGTTTGAAAGAAATGCAGCCCAACATAGGCCGTCTCCTCGCTGTGCTGAGAGGGTCTTGGGTCTCACAAAGCAACACACACAGCCAGGTCATGTCTCTGAGCATCGGATCTAGAAAACTACAAAGCCAGGAAGACATGGACAATGCTAACATCCTCCCTTTGTCCACCACATACATGCATGAAAACACACCTACCCTCACTCTCCACCCACCCACACACACACACACTGGAAATTGTATCATACACACACCGGAAATTGTACCCAAAGGACGCTATTACTAACTATGAAGCAAGTGGCACCCATGGCTTGTCCAGAGAAGACACCCACAGGGTCAGACTTCACACAACAAGCCTATGAATGGGATAGCCCACATTTAGGAGTGGTCTTCTAATCCAGAATCTTCTCTTTATTTAGTTCAAGATAACATAAACTTCCTTTTTGTAAATTTGTCCATCATCCACTCCCTTGCTCTTATACTCTAGTGAGGGGGAGGTCAGATGATAAATGACAAGGAAGATCATTTCCAGCCGTGATGAGTGAGATGCGGAAAACAGGGCAGCCATGGAGCAGCGAGAGAACAACCAGGTGTGGTCAGGGGATTCCCTAGTGAGGTCGTTTCCAAAACCCTCATGGGTAGACCTGAGGCTGTGAGGAAAAGAGGAATCCAGGCAGAGAGAATCAAAAATGAAAAGTCCTCATGGCAGGAATGAGCCTATTTCAAAAAAAATTAAAAAACAAAAAAATCTGGGTGGCTTAATGAAAAAGAACAAAGAGACCCAAGAGGCTAGTCAGTTTCGACTGGTGCTTAGAGGCCATGGTAGAGTGGACATTTTTTTGTTTGTTTGTTTTTGAGACAAAGTCTTGCTCTGTCACCCAGGCTGAAGTGCAGTGGCACAATCTGGGCTCACTGCAACCTCCGCCTCCCAGGTTCCAGCGATTCTCCTGCTGCAGCCTCCTGAGTAGTTGCAATTACAAGTGCCCGCAGCTAAACCCAGCTAGTTTTTGTATTTTCAGTAGAGATGGGGTTTCACCATGTTGGCCAGGCTGGTCTCAAACTCCTGTGCTCAGGTGATCCACCCGCCTCAGCCTCCCAAAGTGCTGGGATTACAGGCATGAGCCACTGTGCCCGGCCTAGAGTGGACATTTTATTCTACATACAATGGGAAGCCATTTGAGGGATTTCAGCAAGGAGATTACATGATCTCAATGGACTTCTTATTTTTCTTTAATTTTATACTTTAAAAATTTTTGAAACAGGGGCTCACCCTGTCTCCCAGGTTGGAGTACAGTGGTATAATCATAGCCCACTATAATCTCAAACTCCTGTGCTCAAAGCTATCCTCCTGTCTCAGCCTCCCAAGTAGCTGTGACTACAGGAGTACACACCATGCCCAGCTAATGTTTTAATTTTTTTGTAGAGATGGGGTCTTGCTATGTTGCCCAAGCTGGTCTTGAACTCCTGAGCTCAAACAGTCCTCCTGCCTCAGCTTCTCAAAGTGCTGGGATTACATACATGAATGCACCTGGCCTGAATGTACTTTTTAAAGAATACTAAGGCTATTGAATGACCAGGTGGGGTAGCAGAGAGGAACACTGTGAGTCTGTGGCAGTGTCTGGATAAGGGATTATGTAAGTACCACTAAGATGGCTATGTTGAAGAGTGAGGGAGCATTTAGTTTGTCTGTTTTATAAGTAGAGGCCATCAGACTTCAGAGGAATTCAGACTTAAAATTCATGTGCCTTTGAATGGGGACCACATACATGTCACATCACACTAACACTAATGTTTCATTGATTCATTCTATCCCTTCCCAGGAATCAAATTCTGATTAAGAGAAAGACCCTAAGTGGCTGAAGGAACAAAAAGAGTTATTGCAAAAAAAAAAAAAAAAAAAAAAAAAAAAAGCTGATGCAGTTAGGAAAGGGAAGCCTGAGCTATTAAGAAAAACACATTGCTTCTTACATGGTAGTGCTAAAGGCCAAGCCTGCATATCCCTGCAATCTATAAAGTCTGTTTTCTCTGACAGTGTCAGAGTTGGAAAGATCAATAGGTGTCACTCACACCATTCATCATCTCAGAAATGAGAAGATTTAGGAAAGGAGATTGAAATGACTTATGTGGGGTCACAGAACTAGTTATTGTTGAGACCAAATTTAGAGTCTTGTCTCCTGGATCTCAGTATTATACTTTAATTATTTCTTTTTTAACATGTAACCCAATTTGCTCCTAATAGACTTGGAATACACAGTGCCTGAAATGTAAAGATGACTTACTCTTGGCCTTAAGGCATCAAATCTGCCACACGAAATTTTAAGATAAGCATAATACATCATTGGAATTACTCCTGCTTCTTGTACCTCTTTCACATGAGTTACCATGAAGTGAACTCTATCTTTTATGGAGGAGAGGATATGGAGGAGCATAGGAGAAAGGTACCATGTGAAAGAATAAATAACGTCTTTGCCTTGGACTAAGTTGCATTGCAGTTATCACCGGAAGTTGACAGCTTTGGATAATAAGCATGGATCTTTTTTGTCTTTGTTGGAGCCTGTTGCCCTTCACCTTTATGTAACATCTAAATTCTTTATTCTGGTTGACATGGGTTGCTTTACAATTTTAACTTGGCATGTGTCATACGATCATAGGTATAATATTCTACAGTTACAAAATATGTTTGATAAGTATGAGGCATTCATGCTCATTGTGAAAGCCTTCAAAATGTCTGTACGCTAGGAGAATGGTGAAAAACAAGCAGTCAAGTGAGTCTCAGTGGGTTGTTTTCTCAGACCACGTGGACTCTCTTCTCAAATCTGGTACTGGTTTTACGTGACTTTGGAGAATCTTCATTCTCAATGAGCCCCAAACTTTTCAGTAAAATAAAAAAAGGATTGATATTTTATGAAACATTTTTATACCCTAAAATGCAGAAGCATGTTAGAAATATATAGTTGCTATCAGTCTTCAATTAAATGTTTACCACTTGGCAAAAATGATACTTTGGTAAATCCAAACATGCCTAGGTATCCACTCTGTATACTCCGGAGAATGTTCCTATTTAAGCTTATTATTGTCTTGAGCATTAAGCATCTCACATCAGTTGTTACATCTGGCTTTAAGTCTCCAATGAGCCCTGGGGAACTCAATCCCATCAAAGGAATTTCGAGAGGAGTTCACAGCTCCTATCTACCATAGAAGGGAGAAACAGGATAAGGAATAGATCCCTGATAAAGCACATGAACAAATTAAATCCATTGTTAATTTGAGTGACTGGCATAGAGAGGTGGCCCCTACAAAATTGTCACTTTTTAGAGTCACGGTGGTTCACAGAAGAATAGAAATCATCTTTTCCTCTTAACATTATTTCCATGTACTACAGTTCCCTCTCCCTAAAGTGGTCTACTTGCATTTGTCAACACTGAAAGCAAAAACAAAGTTGAATATACACCCATGGTGCATATTGTTAATAAAGAAGATGGAGGCAATTCAGTGGTATTCTAATTGTAATGATAAAAACTTACCTATTTCATCAGTTCCTCTCCTTTGCCCCTAAACCCCAAATACTCACTTTGTCTCTTAGATATCTTGAAGTAGAGTTAATAACTAACGAGAATAAGCATCTCCATCCATGAAATATTTTAAATATAGTAGTGTGGACCTAAAAAGATAGTGAAATTGGATAGGCCATGAATAGAACAAGTCCTCATGTCATAGGCAAACATCCAGAAAGTTGTGTGTTTTGCATTTGTGTTTTGTTGTTTACATCTGTTGCATAGGAATGATCATAGTTACAACAGCTGACATTTAATGAGGACTTTTCATATGTTAGACACTGTGCTAAGAGCTTTATTTACATGCTTTATCTAATTTAATCTGTACAACCAATTTATGAAATGGGCATTTTCCAGACAAATAAAATGACGTTTAGTAATTTCATTTTGATTGCCTGTAGTCACCGCCAATAAGTATTAGAGGGAATATTGCAACCCAGTCAACTTTCTCCAGAGTTTATCTTTCTGTATTCCTCAGCTGGTTGTTGGAGGTTGATTGAAAAACCCTTTGTAAGCCTTGAAATGCTAAATAGTCTACATAGGAAAGGCTTCTACTATTGTTTCTACTTTTTTTTAATGGTTTGTAATCTCAGCAGGGATTGTGTTATCTAAAAATCTGCTTGATGAGGTCTGAGATACTGGCTTTTAGAGGTCAGACAGGAATGACTGCAAGATAACTTGACTTTCTCCTTCCCCTCTGCTGCTAAGGGGTAAGGTGGGAGTGGTTCTAGGACTTCTGCCATAGAACTAGATATGTGATGGATAGGAAATGAAAAAATGTGCCACTACTGCACAATGTCAAGAGATTAATTGGCATTTAATGAAATATCTGTGCCATATTATTTTATAGTGTGCAACATTTAAAACAATACACATGTAAAAAATAAAAAATAAAACAATATGCATGTATGCATACATACACACACACACTTTTAGCTCTGTCTTGAGCTGTCATCTCCTGGGGCAGGCTTAATGACAGGTGCAATTCTGGCCTAATTCAACCTCTTGAAATTGAAAAGGGTTAGCACCACTCAGTGGCTGCTAAATCCTAGAGGGCAAAACAGCCTCCTGTGTCTCATCCCTTCATGACTGTCTCATGGGAGCTCGATTTCTGTCTCTTTCCACCTGCTAACCAGATTCGATTTTGATGCTGTACCATTGGTAGTAAAATATACTTCTTTCTGGTAAAAGGAGACCTGAGAAAGTAGAAATGGCATTATTTAAAGGAATTTATACATACCATATAAGTTGGCTGGATGGACCAGCCAACAAGCTCAACACTTTGTATTCATTGTTTCTTTTAATACTCATTTCAAGCTCCTGGATTCAGTATCATTATCTCCATATCACAAAGAATGAGGGACTCTGAAAAACTCAAGAACTTTCAAGGTCACTCACAGAATACATGCCTGAGCTGGGATTCTAACTCAACCCCTTAAGCCCGATATCCTGTACTTTTTCTGCTATATCAGGGGTCAGCAAATGATAGCCAATGGGCCAAATCTTACATGCTGCCTGGTTTTGTGAATGTTTCATGGAACACAGCCATGCCCATTTTTTTATGCACTGCCTGTTGCTGCTTTTGCTTTACAACAGTCAAGATGAGTGCTTGAAACAGAGGCCACATGGCCTGCAAAGCTACAACATTGAGTGGCCCTGTATGAGAAACACTTGCTGAACCCAATAACAATACGTGAGAGATGTATTGTTATTGACAATAACGAAACATGAGAGATGTAGCTCAAATCATTTAACTCAGTGTGTCTACATCTTTTTCCTGTATCTTCAAAATCCAACAGGATAGGTCTATAGATATACTGTCTTAAGCCCAGCTTCTTGTATACATTTATTTTGTTCCAAGATAACGTGCAGAAACCCGAATTCCAGATAGGTCTCTTATAATGAGTCATGTTTAAGAGGGTTCTATTATTCCACTTTGCATTTCTAGAACATACTTCTTTCAGAATAATTACTTTCTAAACCTGTTCACTTAGCAGGCAGATGGAAATCCAACATCCTTTGGCAGAGAAGAGAGAGGAATTTTCCACTCGGGCAAAGTGAAGCACTGGTCAGCTCGTGGCTGAAATTTTTTATGTCATCCCCTGGTTCTACAGAAGACTGTAAGGACAGAGGAATGAGGCATTTCGCCTTGGGATCTTCAGACTCAGATTTCTGAGTCAGGTTTGAGGTTCCTGCTGTCCTGTGGGCAGTGAGGCCCAGGGATTACACCAAAGGAGCAGGAACCCAATGTCACAGGTCCCCTAACTCCTGCCTAGTTGCCCAGGCCACATAGGCACAGGCAGGGGAGCTGGCTGATCTCATTTGTTTGTTTTCCGTGTCCGTTCTCAGGCAGTGATAGGCATGCTATCATCTCAATTCTTAAATAAAACCAAGTTGTATCGTTGAAGAGCAGATAAAGCAAAGACAGAAGCATTTTAAAAGGAATTTTGTGGCTTCCAAAGTACAAGTATAGAGTATTTCTGAGTTAATGAAGAAATAATTACAAAATATTTTTGAAAAAGTGACATTTTATTCATAGTAATTCATGTAATTCCAACTGAAGTAATTGATACTTTGTAATAGTAAGGACCTATTCGAGTGAATGTTTAAGATACTAATTATATATCAATTTTAAATTATTTAATATCAAAAAGGCTTGAAAGCAGCATATTTTGTGTCATTATGTGAATTCTTGCTTTGCCATTTTTAAAACTATTTGTTTTCTCATACCCCCTCCTCTTTATTTTTTATGATGTCAAAGACTGTGTCAGTCAAGTCTGTCTCTATGTCATTTGAGTTTATGTTTATGTGTTAGTGCATTTTTACAAGTTAACTATCCAGAAACATGCACACTCTGGGCAGAATAAAAAATGTCTAAGTTAAGTGAAAACCACTTTAAAGCATGGCAGCCAAAATAGCTGTAGAAAAGTTTATGCTCTATTATGTACAATTTTAATAGACATGATATCTTGTTTCCCAGAATACAACAGATTGACTATCAGTCATTTTGTAAAAAATGAAAGCAAAACTAACAATCACAAGAGCTAAGATTTGCTGGCCCTTTGCACTGTCCCAGGCACTAGTCTAAGTCTTTTGCAAGTGTTTCATTTTTACAGCAACACAATACATTTCCTACTGTTGTTATCCATCTTAAGGAGGAAACTTTGTACAGAAGGTTTAAGTAGCTAATCAAGTTTTCACAGCTGATAAGGGATAGAGCCAGAGTCCACAAGCAGTCTAGATTCTTAATGCCAATGCTGTATTGTCTCTCCAGAAAAGACCACTCTCACCTTTCCCCTTGTTCTTGATAATACAGTTAAATTATTCATATTCATAGCATAAATTTTCTGTATCATATTTAAGAATACAGTTAAATATTGGTGCATATTAGAAAGATTTCACTTAAATATGACTACATGAAAGTAGATTTGTCTTTTCTAAAAAATAAACAAGCATTTGTTTTCTAAAAAATTTACTGGCGTGCACCATTTCATTTCCTAATAATTCAGAATAAATGAGGTGTCACCGTGGTCCACTTCAACAGTAGATGGGCTTATATTCAGGCAGGAAGCATGTCACCTATACAACACAGATGTGGGTGATTAATGAAAACTAAATCATGGGGATGAGATCTTTAAGAAGAAGAAAACCAAGTTGTCTTCCAGAAGTGTTTTCAGAACCCCCTGTTTTGAGGTTGTGGATAGACATGACGGTTTTACAATGCCAAAACAGTCTGTTCTAAAGAGAAAAAGTTCAATCAACCATTTCACCTGCATTATGCCGAAGAGCTAGTCTTTACAGTCATGGGGCTTTAAAACTATTTTGATAGCCTGTTTGGGCTGCCTCTAAATATATCCTCCAAATAAAAACCTCAGAAAATGTATCAGAGAAATGTACATAATTAATATTTGGCTTAATATATTGTCAACTTTGATTTTACATGTCCCATCCAACTTGTTAAGCCTTCTTTGTGGCCATTAGTGTTTACTAGAGAATAATATCATATTTAATTTTCTAATTATGTGCGAACCTTGGAGTCAGGATTAGTTGATATTTTTACACCTTCAAATTTATAAACCTAGTATGAAGTCCCATCTAGACTAACAAATGTTTTATAATAGAAATTTAAATAGTACTCCAGTTTTGTTTATGCATTTGCTGATGGTCTTTCTTGCTATGAACTTTAGAAACTTTAAATGTCCATTTACTCACAATACACACACAGCCTCAATGACCTAATAAGCAGATTTGCAGAGCCATAACCTTGCTGGCTTATGTCAGCTCGAAGTAAAAGGGGAGGTGGTAGTGGTGAATCTGTTTTTATTACTCAGTGTTTAATCATAATGAATCAGAGGCTTTTATGAGAAACCTTCTACATCCCATGAAAGATTTGCTGATCAAAGATGTAGAGATTTCTGTTTTATTAGAAAAAATTGTTTAGCACCTCATTGTGGATACAGAAGACATTGTTTGTTGAAAAGTTTAAGTCTTTTTACGCTACATTGGATGTCACACTGTTCTGAGTTTAGTGGTATCAGGTCATCAGATTCTGTAAGATGTGATTCTAAAAATTCAGTCCTAGTCCTACCGAGTCCATTAGAGAAGGTCTGCAGTATATAAAACTGTGACTTAAAAAATGCTCAATCTTCCATGCACATAACTGCCTGATGACTCTCAAGCTCAGGTGTGACCTTCATAGACAGGCTGTTGTAAAGTCTAGTAATTCCTTCAACACAAGGTAACTTAGTATTTAAACCTTGACCACACATCACTTCAGAATTACTAAAGGAACTTAAATATATGTCAGAGCTCCTCTTCGGAATATAGGACAATGGAGCTTATGCAGATAGCATTACTTTAATTTTAATTGTACCCATCTGGGTTCTTCGAAATGGCAAGTATTTCGTTTATGTGCCTTTCTCATCTTGGGTCAACTCAGTTCCATGCACTTTAAAATTATTTTAGGAAAGAGCCACATCTTTTTTTTTTCCTTCTTTCTCTTTCTTTCTTTCTTTCTTTCTTTCTTTCTTTCTTTCTTTCTTTCTTTCTTTCTTTCTCTTTCTTTCTTTTTTGTGCATGCATGCGTGCATGCATGTGTGTGTGTGTGTGTGTGTGTGTGTGTGTGTGTGTGTCTCACTCTGCTCGCCCAGGCTGGAGTGCACTGGTACAATCTTGGCTCACTGCAGCCCCGACTTCACAAGCTCAGGTGATCTTCCCACCTCACCTTAGCCTCCCAAGTAGCTGGAATTACAGGCACATGTCACTACACTCAGCTATTTTTTTTTTTTTTTTTTTTTTTTGTATTTTTAGTAGAGATGGGATTTTGCCACATTGCCCAGGCTGGTCTTGAACTCCTGGGCTGAAGTGATCCTCCTGCTTCAAAAGTGCTAGGATTACAGGTGTGAGCCACCATATTTGGCCAAGAACCACATCCCAGTGCTGTAGAAAACTCCAAAAATTTATTTTGCAATTCAAAATATAAAAGTTTGTTAGTAGACATTTAGTTTGTTAGATATTTAAATCTACTAGACAATCTATTATGTATTCTGCTCAGAAATGGTTAAGACCTACTGATCTAGAAGACGGATCTCTCTGAGCCATAATTTCTGCTCAAGGCTTGCTAGGGGAGATCCTTCTAACTTGGCTTTATACACAAGAAGCTAGCTCACAAAAATGTCGGTATTCTAGTAGCTATGCGTTTCATTGACCAGACCTGAGATTTGGCCTCTCCATCACTTCCTCTGCAGGTGATGTAGACATCATTTCTGCTGACATCTATGTTGATGCAGTTCTAGAGTCATCTGTGTCCCTATTATCCTGAAAATGAAAATTGATAGCAAAGGCAGATAATGTCCATTTAGTTCTGGGTGTAAATGTCTTCCTTGCTCTTCCATTGTGCAAGCACTTTATGATTTGAGGGAGTAATCAGGTTATATTCCTTCTGTTGGCCAGAAGTGCCTGTTGAAGAAAGACTTGGCTCTGTTGTCTGGAAGCTAACTATGTAGACTGATCCACAGAGGACTCCATATTCATCTTCTTGATACTGAGGGCTTCATCTGTGAGTTGTAAGCCTGTAAATCCTCTGTTTCAGTGGTTTCAAAGTTCCAAGAGCAGGAGGAAAATCCAGACTGCCTCTGCTGCTGTGCAGAGCAATTAGACAGTTTGAGTGCCTCAACTGTTCCTATACAGGCCAGTGGAGTCAGAGCCTTAAAAAGACCCTCTTCTCCCAGTGCTTTCTCAAGTAAGTACAGCAACCTCAATGTCTTATAGTATCACTACAGCACAATACATGAGTAGTTTTACATTTGAAGTAGGATTAAATTAAAAGTAATACATTCACATGGTAAACTCAAAAGTATATGGCCAGGTGCAGTGGCTCATACCTGTAATCCCAGCACTTAGCGAGACTGAGGCGGGTGGATCATTTGAGGTCAGGAGTTCGAGACCAGCCTGACTAACATAGTGACAAACCCTGTCTCTACTAAAAACCCTGCAGAGACGGCCAACCCCATCTCTACTAAAACTACAAAAATTAGCTGGGCATGGTGGCACGTGCCTGTAATCCCAGGTAGTTGAGAGGCTGAGGCAGGAGAATCACTTCAGCCTGGGAGGCAGAAGTTGCAGTGAGCCAAGATGGCACCACTGTACTCCAGTCTGGGTGACAGAGTGAAATCCTGTCTCAAAAATAATAACAATAAATGTATATATAGATATAAATTATATATTAATTCTATATTTTATATATAATATATACTATAATTTATATACTTATAAATTATATAATATACAAATATATATTTATATAAATTATATACCTATAAATTATATATATAATTATATATAGGTGAATATATACAGATGAATAGTTATATATGTAGATGAATAGATATATAGATGGATAATTATATATAGATGAAAATATATTCACATGTTATATGAATATATAAGTATATATTTATATATAAATTGTAGATACATAAATTATGTGTAAAATTCACATGAAAAACTCTCTCCACCTCATTTTACCCTTTATTCCTTCTCTTTAAATCTGTTGACCAAAACAAATCACTGTTAACATTTGTTATTTAGGGGTCCAGAAATGTTTTGTGTATAACCATAAGCATGCATATATATACATATCAACAGCTACATCTAGATGGTCCACTTACTACAGCCCCAGAATGGAAATTTCTTCCTCAAAGCAAACATTAGAGGCATCTTTTGGGAAAAAAAAAAAAATCTATATTTATCTCATTCTGTTCTTCATTTAATTAGCATAATCCCTGTTGGATATTTTCCTCACCAAATAAGGAACCTGTAATTAAGTGTTATATTACATGTGCTTATTTCTCTTCCTGGAAGTCCATTTTTTAAAAATATTTTTAATTGATATAGCATAGTTGGTACATATCTTTGGGGTACATGTGATATTTTGATACATGTATACAACATGTAATGGTCAAATCAAGGTGACTGGGATATGCATCACCTCAAGCATTTATCTTATCTTTTTTTTTTTTTGAGATGGAGTCTTGCTCTGTTGCCCAGGCTGGAGTGCAGTGGCGTGATCTCAGCTCACTGCAAGCTCCACCTTCCAGGTTCATGCCATTCTCCTGCCTCAGCCTCCCAAGCAGCTGGGACTACAGGCTCCTGCCACCACGCCTGGCTACTTTTTTATATTTTTAGTAGAGATGGGGTTTCACCATGTTAGCCCAGATGGTCTCGATCTCCTGACCTCGTGATCCGCCCGCCTCAGCCTTCTAAAGTGCTGGGATTACGGGCATGAGCCACCGTGCCCGGCCAAGCATTTATCTTTTCTTTGTGTCAGCAACATTATAATTCTTTTCTTCTAGCTAATTAGAAATATGTAATAAGTTATTGTTAACTATAATTTCCCCACTATAATATCAAATACTGTAAGTTATTCCTTATATCTAACTCTATTTTTGTACCCATTAACCAACTGTTATTTACCCCTGCTCTTCTCCTTCCCAGCATCTGATAACCATGATTTCACGCTCTATGGAGATCCTTGCTTTGATGATAAATTCATTAAGGACAAGAACCCTGCAGGGTGTTCAATATGCTTCCCAGGTGCCAAATAGTCTCAATACATATTAACAGAAAGTCAGTGTCAACTCACCTGCACCTCACACAGTAAATTGATTTAGGCATCTCAGATTCCTAAACTCTCTAGGTTAACACCTCATATAGTAATGAAAGTATAATCAGTTCACATGATTGAAATCCTCTCTAGTTTAATGTACTTGTTGCTTTTCCATGGACTTTGAAAACATGAAGGTCTGTAGCCGTGTTGTTGCTTTTCCATGGACTTGGAAAACATGAAGTTGTGTAGCCGTGTGTCTCCAGACTTTTAACAGCCCAGAAATGGTTTCAATGTTCTGCATTAAATAAATCGAGAAGGGTTAGACAAAACAGTGTCTGAAAGATTTCATGCTGTGAGGGTGATGAGGGTGATGGGTGACATTAATGAATCTGAAATGGTCGTGACTACAAACTTGTTTTTAAAATGTCACTTTCTCTAAGAGAACAAAAACTTGAAACTCAATGTTCATGAATACAAGAAGGCCTTTTCAAAGAAAGGCCACGGGCACTCTCACTAATACACACTTGGCATTTGGGTATATCCCTAAGCTGTGGACTGTGTTTACATATATTACTCTTTCTTCTCATCACTCTTTAACCAAATTGTTGAGTGTCCAAGATGCCACATGGTCAATGGATTATTACCCTGTGGATTCAAATCTGTTACCAATTACTCTAGGGGTTTATTGAGTGGTCCTGCACACCCACTTTCCTTTGTTTTTCTAATTATCGCTGCACAGCTAATCCTAGCTCAAAAAATCAATTCCTCTCTCATATCTACTTACATATCCTCTTTAAGCCCCTTCTGTGTTTTTTTGTTTTGTTTTGTTTTGTTTTTGTTTTATCTCACTTCCATCTATTTCCTGGTTATTTCAGGAAAAGTTCTTTTCACACCACTTTTTAGTGGATTCCATCCTGTCTCTCTTCTTGTGACCATAAAATAAAATTTGTCATAAACAAATGTAAGAGTCTGGATGTTTCTACAAACATTTAAGTGGCAGGAAGAAGCTAAAGCCATATTTTTCAGTCAAAATGTTAGCAGAGATTTTCCTGCACTGTGCATGATTTATTTTCTTTCTTTATATTTTTAGATACCTTATAAATTGTCTAAAATCTCAATGAACAACATTTATGGTCAAATAACATAAAGAAAAATCCTTTATAGCCACTTACTTACTCAATTGTATAGTGTTTTGACATTCTAACTACACTATCAGTATGGTTTTCTGTTATAACGTAGTATAGGTATAGATTTTAGCCACATAGTAGGTGAAATAGGCTATGTGTTAATCTAGACTAAGACACAGCCATTATCTATAACATATATTTTATGAGAATTTGCATTCCAAGGTAAAAACAACTGTTTGAAAAGTTACCTTTTAAACAAATCCAGTTCATATGGTGCATTACTTTCATTTTCTGAAGGTGATTCATATGGAAGTATTGAGAAGAGAAACATCATAGTTTAAAAAAGGCCAATCAGACTTTGAGGACAAGATCCAAACATTATGCAACTTTATATCTTAGCAGAGTGCACTTAGTAGGTGTTCAATAACTCTTTGTTGGATAAATGACTTTATGAGTAAATGAAGAAAACCTCAGAGCTATTGGCTTCCTGTGCCTTGAATTACACTTTTGAGTGGGACTGCCTTCTGCAAGCCAGTTGAAAAATAGCTATTGGCTCACAGAGTTCACCTTTATTTTGAGGACTCTGTCAAGACACCTTAGTGCATGTTCCTAGTTATGTGAAAGATATGCTGCCAATCAGAATCCCAATGGTCTCCTTGTATGTTTCATCTTTAAATGGGGCTGCGCTGTTAGGGACAGGATATATCTTGGCAGACTACATGGATATGAAAATTTCAAATCTTCCCATAGTCCTCTATCTTTAAGGAAAATCATGGCACTTGTTTTTGAATTTTTTTAATCCATCTTCCAGATTCCAAAACTAGGAATTCCAAATGTTGTTTGGACAGACTGAAAAGAGAACAACCAATAGGAGAAGTGGTACACTATGAGTAGTCAAGGTACCATACACATGGGAAGTGTGAAGGAGACTTACTTAGTATTTACTTATGTCTCTTTGCCAATATTTGGGAGTTTCACAGAGCATTTCTAGATAATGAGGGATGGAAGTGAAGAGTAGGACAAGGTATTCAAAGATCTAAGAAGAATGAGAAATCCTCGATTTCCCATATGACAGGATGACTTGGTTACACGAGTAAATTGCTTTTTGTATGTGAAACAGGCAGCAATTGGAGGTAGCAAAGGAATACACAGGTAAGCCCTGGAGTCCAATTCCCAAAATTAGTGGTGTTTTCTGATTCCCTAACTGACTCTATGGTAGGCTCCTGGTCAAAAGATCCATCAGGGCTGCTGGGCCCATGCTGACATTCCATATAGCCATCTTCTTTCTGATTCTCTGTCTTCCAGTGATGATCCAGCTCTTTGCAGCAGCAGGATTGTGGCTGGCCAGAAGCACACTTGATTTCAAAATGGATGTGACGGGCAGGTCACCTCCTTTTCTGCAGAAGTGTACTTGCATCAACAAATCTTTTTCCTCTCAGGTTTTGAGGAAATGGGATCAAACATTCCAACACAGAGAAATAGGAGGCGTGGGCAGCAGCTCTCCTGGATCTCTCTCTTTCCTTGAGGAGATCAACTTGTAAAAGATTACAAAATGTACCCTAAGTGGTCCTAGAGCACCCTCCTATCTTCTTTCCCAAGCTTGTCATGTGGTTGCAGTGGACATGGAAAGTAAACACTGCTATAAACAGAGAATAATAAATTGTAAGAAAGCACCAGAATATCCTTCTTGCTTGAACTTTGAATCATTAGATCCAAACATTCCCCCTCTCTCTTCTCAAAGTTCCAAAGTGTTAAAGAGTTTTGTTCTCCGGTATCAGGAGTTGGCCACAAATGCTTTCTCTATAAGTTCATAATTCCTGTTGGGAAACTTGGAAAAGAGCTCTCCCCTTCTCATCCAAAGAAGTGATGACTTCTCTTTGTTAGTTTACAACTAACAAAGTCCCATTTCTGGTTTGAAAGTCAGATGGACCTTGGCTTATATTTATTTAACAAAGACGTGGAATTTCTCTAACAGACTGAAAGTTTATTAGAATAACATCTAGCATTAGGCCTGGCAAATAGGAGGTCCTCGTTAAGAGATCTGATCAGATTTGACTTCTAATCCCAGATATAAGGTGTTTATTCTTTTTGAGCCACTATTTCCTCATCTATAAAATAAGAAATATTCATAACTATTCCATAATATGTATTCTTATATCCTGTATAATAAAATAACTAATATAGGAATATAATAAATAACTAGGAATTATAAATAATATAAGATTGTAATAAATATCCAAAATCAAGGGCCTCCTTGAATTTGTTATATATTGATTTGTTGATTTTTTGAGGGCAGTAATCACCACGTCTGTCCAGATCAGCGCGGTGTCCACGCCCCACTCAGCACTGTGCCTTGTCCATAGCAGATGCTCAGTCAATATTTATCTAATCAGTGCTGTTTGTATTCAAAGAGAATGTTTAACTTCTTACTCTTTCCATTCCCACCTCCCCTTTTTGATCTCATGTCCACTATCGGTGTACTGAGGTCTCCTGGGCTCTGTTTGCAGGAATCTAAAAGTAGTTTTTTTACTTTGGTACTGGGACATGTAACTCCACTTTTTAGAGAAAATATTTCATGCTAATTAAAACATCTCAGGGCTGGTCTCCCTGCACTTCTCACTTTCACACCTACATACTCATACCCCTTTTCTCTTTTTCCTTACTTTGTAATGCTATTAGAGTTGACAGAATACTTGCTGCTTCCCCAGAAAGTCTTAGCCAGGAGTTCATGAAACCCTGTCAGGCCTTGTGAAATGTACAGATGTGTTTCAAATGATCCATAAACCCTGATATTGTATAAAATGTGTGTGCCATTTTATGGAAAGAGGATGATATGTTTTCTTAACCAAAATCTTTCGGGGTACTTCGGTCCATAAAAGGCTAAGATCCACTCCACTAATGAGCAAGATCTAGTCATTTAGAAAATCCTGCACTCTCTCCTTTGTTACTGCCTCAATTTCCTTAAAAAGCTCTTATAAGATAATAAAGAAGCCCTCTTTACTTCCTACAGTTCCACTCCACAGCAATACCAGCTTAAGTGTGTGCCTTCCAGCGTCCATCCCATCTCTCCGTCTGAGGGGTCCCCACTCCTAGTCCACCCAGGCCAGGAAACCCATAACTCATATGTACCAGAAAACCTCCTTTTTAAATTTCCTCATGCTTCCTGGCACCCTGACCTGACAATGGACTAGTACCTCATATCCACTTCTACCATGACTTCTGAGAAAGTGGTATTTTTTACCACAGTGAACTTGGTATATGCAGTGTGTGTCAGGGGCACTGGCCTTACTAAAGTAGAGGCCCATTCTGGAGAATAGTAAGAAATAAGGAGCAATACATTGATGAAATAGAAGGGACATTAAGTGATGGTCACAGACCACTCTTAGGACTGCCATTAACTTCAGATGTTAAAGAAGTGCTTCAGCTCTCTGTGCTTTGTCTTCTTCTTGACAAGTGAGGATGTTAGGATTATCTGCCATGTCATCCAGCTTCAATCTCTATAATTGTATAAATCTGGTTGGCAGTGGACTCGTTAGTGCAAAGTCCTAAAGCCTTAAAGATCCGAAGTTTTCTCACTGGGCAAGCAATTTGCGGGATTACGACAGTGAACTTGGTGTATGCAGTGTGTGTCAGGGACACTGGCCTTACTGAAGTAGAGGCCCATTTTGGAGAATAGTAAGTAGTAAAGAGAAATACACTGATGAGACAGAAGGGACATTAACTGATGGTCACAGACCACTCTTAGGACTGCCATTAACTTCAGATGTTAAAGAAGTGCTTCAGCTCTTTGCACTTTGTCTTCTTCTTGACCAGTGAGAATGTTAGACGGGATTATCTACCATGTCTTCCAGCTTCAATCTCTATAATTGTATAAATCTGGTTGGCAATGGACTCTTTAGTGCAAAGTCCTAAAGCCTTCAAGACCCAAACTTTTCTCACTGGGCAAGCAATTTGCGGGAAATTAAACAAGTCCAAAATATTGAACAAATGAAGAAAGGGGCCATTTTAACAGACAGGAATACTTCATACTGTAAAGATGGCCAGGTGTAGTGGTTCACACCTGTACTCCCAGCACTTTGGGAAGTTGAGGCAGGAGGATTGCTTGAGGCTAGGAGTTTGAGACCAGCCTGAGCAATACAGGGAGACCTCATCTTTGCTAGAACTTTAACAATTAGCTGGGCATGGTGGCATGCACCTGTAGTCCCAGCTATGCCAGAAGAGAAGGGAGGATTGCTTGAGCACAGGAGTTTGCAACTGCAGTGAGCTATGATCTTGCAACTGTGCTCCATCTTGGGTGACAGAATGGGACCTTGTCTCAATTTTTTAAAATATATATATACATATATATATATATAGAGAGAGAGAGAGACTATATATATGTGTGTGTGTATATATATATATACAGAGAGAGAGAGACAGAGAGAGAGTAAAGATCTCATTTCCTCCACAAATGTTAAAAACATTATTCTGATTTTAAAAAAAGAATGAATTTTTAAAATTTACAAATTTCTGAAATGGACAAAAATATCCTAGGCCTTCTTCCTCAAAAAATAATAAATAAGAATAATAAGAAATTGCACTGGTATCTGAAAAAGCAACTTAAAGCTATAAAAATTAAAATAGCATGTTATGCCATGAAAGAGACAAATGAGATAGATTCAAGTTTCAAAATAACAATTGTTATTATTATGATACAATTATATTAATTTTGTACCTATAATTTAAATAAAATAATAATAAATAAGAAAAATCACTGAATAAAGGTAATAATTTAAATAATTTAAAATCTTAAAATAATGATTATATGTATAATAAAACTGTAAATTTACAATTATAGAGCTATAAACAATTTTATAGTTGTAATATTTTGTAACTAATGAAACATTATATTTTAATGATTTTATTATTGTTGTAATTAATATAAAGAAGATAAAGAAAAATGGGCAAGGTTTGAATAAGCACACTTTGTCGAAGATATATGGATAGCCAAAAAGCATATAAAATATGACCAAAAGCCTCTGGTGTTTAGAGAAATGCAAATTAAAGCTAAAATGAGATTCTTCTAAATACCTATCAGAATGTCTGAGATTAAAATGACTGACTGTAGCAACTAGTGGCAGGAATGTGGAGGAACTGAAGTTCTCATACACTGCTGGCAGAAATGTACGATGACACAACCCTTTTGAAAAACATTTTGGCAGCTTCTTAACAATTTAAATGTACATATCCCATGTAAGCCAGCCAGTCCACTCCTGGGTATTTACTCAAGAGAAATGAAAGCCTATGTCCATACAAAGACTTGTATGTAAATATTTATAACAGCTTTATCTGTAACAGCTAAAAGTTGGAAACCACCCAAATGTCTATCAGCAGGTGAGCGGATAAACAAATTGCGGCATATACAGTGTAGATAGTGGAATACTACTCAGTAATAAAAAGGAATGAACAATTGACACATGCTACAACATGGATGATGCAAAATAATTACACTAAGTGATAGATGCTAGACGAAAAAGAGTACATACTGGCTAGGTGTAGTGGCTCATGCCTGTAATCCCAGTACTTTGGGAGGCTGAGGTGGGCAGATCACCTGAGGTCAGGAGTTCGAGACCCCCCAGGCCCACATGGCAAAACCCCGTCTCTACTAAAAATACAAAAATTAGCCAGGCGTGGTGATGAGTGCCTGTAATCCCAGCTACTAGGGAGGCTGAGGCAGGAGAATCGCTAGAACCCGGGAGGCAGAGGTTGCAGTGAGCCGAGATCGTGCCACTGCACTCCAGTCTGGGAGACAGAGTGAGACTCCATCTCAAAAAACAACAACAACAAAAAGTGTACATACTGCATGATACAAAATTCTAAGAAAAGAAAACTAATCTATATAAAAATTTTTCTCTGTTATTCTCTACTGAGAGGGGATGAGGAGGATTACCAAGGGGCAAGGAGGACCTTTTGGAGGTGATAGATGTGTTTATTACTGGGATTGTGTTGATGGCTTACCAGGTATCTATGTAAGTCACAACTCATCATATGGTATACTGTAAATATGTGCAGGCTGGGCGTGGTGGCTCATGCCTGTAATACCAGCACTCTGGAAGGCCGAGGTGGGAGAATTAAGGCCAGGAGTTTGAGACATAGCAAGATCTTGTCTCTAGTAAATAAATAAATAAATAAATAAATAAATAAATAAATAAATGCACTTTTTTGTATATTGAGTTATATCTCAATGAAGCTGCTTTTTTTAAAAAAAAAAAAAACATATAACATAAAAGAGATTAACAGAAGAGATTCAAAAGTCTAGAACACCAAATATTAAAGGTAGCTTTTCAAATCAGTGAGAAAATAATGATATTACAGAAAATGGCAAATCATCTAGAATTAAATTTCTACTTCATACTATCAGCAATATAAATTGCAGACTAATCTAAATTAACAATTTAAAAGATAAAAGAAACTATAGAAAAATACACAATTATGTATCTGTTCTTGAATGGAAAAAGATTTTCCAAGCGTAAATACAAAGAAAAATTTATATAGTAAAACAATGATTGATTTAATTTGATAATTTTTTTAGAAAGTTTACATCAAAACAAATTACAAAATTGAAAGGCAAATAGCAGTCTGGTTGTGGTGGCTCACTTGTGTAATCCTAGCACTTTGGGTGGCCGAGATGGGCAGATTGCCTGAGCTCAGGAGTTCAAAACCAGCCTGGGCAACGTGATGAAACCCCATCTCTACTAAAATACAAAAAATTAGCCGGGCGTGGTGGTGTGCACCTGTAGTCCCAACTACTCGGGAGGCTGAGGTGGGAGACTCCCTTGAACCTGGGAGGTGGAGGTTGCACCGATCTGAGATTGCATCAGTGCACTCCAGCCTGGGTGACAGAGCAAGACTCCCGTCTCAAAAAAACAAAATGGCAAATAGCAAAGGGGATAATATTTGCCACAAATATAAAAGAAAAGGATATATCCTTGCTATATAAAAAGGTCCTATGAAACAGGGACTTAGTTGGATATTTCTATTTTTAAAAAGGCAAATCATATAAACAAGTGTTTTACCCACCCATCCCCCCTCAAATAAAGAAAAAAGACAGGGATGGAGAAAGAAGGGGGAAAAAAAAAACTGAGTAAAAAAATTCTTTGCAAAAGAGTAAAAAAGAGATTTGTTTCCTCACCTTGATGTTGTCTTTATAAGTTGTTTTATTTTAATCTTTTGTTTTTCCATATTTTCAGAGTTCCTACAATGGACTTGTAGTACGGTACCTGGGTGATCACAAACATAATCTAGGGAGTAGAAAAGAAGTTCAATGACTCAGCATAGTGTTAATGGTCTTCCAGATGAAGGAGGGGACATGAACATGTGTCTGTCCCAATAAAGGTTGAGACAAGGTTTGTTGTGCACGTGCGCGTGTGTGTGTGCGTGTGTATAACAGTGAGGAGACTGTAATTAGCAGGAAAAATTGGGGTTTTGAAAGTAGACCACAGTCTTGTCATTGTACCATGACTCACCAGGAGGACAGAGGACAAGTACCCTACTCCTGTGTAAATCCAGACTGCCAAGTAGAGCACTGAGATTTGATGAGTACTTAAGAAATGCTTGCTTGATTAATTGGTAAAAGATATTAAAGGGGAAGATTTTATATCACATTCAAACATATGAAGAGAAATGTTAAAAATGTTTAAAGTTCCATTTCCAGTCTCACTTTCCAATTCTTGGTTCAAAATACAAGGGGTAATTAGACATCGACTGTGTAGTCAACATTATGATCAGGCTATATAAAATCATGAAACATCATCCTAAACTTTAAAGAACTTTGAGTTTAGCTGGGAAAATATGCTCACAGGAAATAATTATGTAGGAAAAGAAGGCATCAAAAGGGCTTAAAGCAACCAATCACACAGAGTTTCCTTGTTGGGACCCCCCCCCCACCCGCCGGGCCCCACCCCGTTGATATCCTAAATGTTCTCTTGACATCTTGGATTTACCATAGAGCCTAGTACTGTCTGTAAGGTCCTGGGCCTGTTCTAATTAGTGCTGAGTATCTGTTGATCTGCTACGTGCAAATGGGAAGATAAAACTAAATGTTAGATTAGGGTCAATCTTTAAAACTCTTTCCTAGATTGTGATGGTATTCAGTGGTGGTTGACCATCATGGAATTGGGAGATATTTGTGAATGTGGCTGCAGGCTGCATGTCCTTTGTGTCTCTGACTCAAGACACACCCATTGATCTCATTTGTCTTCATTTCATCATTGGGCAGAATGCGTTCTAAAATGAAGAGACTAAAACCTTCACAGAAGCACACTCTTTCAACATCTAAGGAAAAATTGTTGATGAGAAAACTGTGAGAACATTAGGAGGTCTTTAAATTGCAAGGGGAAAGGTCTGTTGGTGAAAACAGCTGAAATCCTATGGATTAAATCAACTTGTAAATAATGTATTCTTAGAGTCTGCAGTGATCTCATAGGCATGTTTAAATGCTGTTTCTTATGACTACAGTTTAAAGTCATGGTATGGACTTTCAGTTTCATGAGGCTGGCCTGGGGGAAAAGAGCATGAGGTTGAGGTTGATGGTGTTAACTAGAGCAACTGAGCCCCCATACAGACCTTCTGAACTTGCTCATTAACGAAGCCACAGGATGGAAATTGTATAGTGTCCTTGACCAGAGCATTAGTTACAAGTTGTGAGAAGAGAAGAAATAAGTAAGAAAGAAAATAAATGACTTATAAAAATCCTCAGAAGATATAGTCCCCAACTGTTAGCACAAAGAAAGGATGTAAAATCATGGAGGACAGCAGTGGAGAAGATAACGTTAGCAGACAATAAAAGGCCAAAGTTTTAGAACAGTAGTAAGTGTTTAAGAATATACATAATATATCTTCCTCCATTTGCTTTTTGTCTTCACCATAAATAGACATGAGTTAACGTATGTTTAAAGATTTATTTCCCTTTTATTGAGCTCACCCAACAAAAGTTTTTTTCATCATGTCCTGCTTTTACAAACCAAGATCTAATTTGACATGATTACGTAATTGTGTGGCCATTTGTGCCCTTCCTTCTCCTCCTCCTTTCTCTAAAGTAGAAAGCCTCTCTTTCCTAGAGCCTATGTAAAATGTGTTAATTCGCTTAATAGCAATAATAATTTTCTTATGACAATTTATCTATTCACTAAAGTGTTATTAAGGACCTATTAGTTGGAAGCCTCTGTGCCAGCTGTTGGGAATAGAAAAATTTATAAGACACTGTCTTTGGAGCTTTCAATCTAGTGGGGGATTCAAACAATTAAAGAGATACTTTTAAAAGACAGTGTAATAAGTACTCTGGAAGATGTGGCAGACTGCCAGTTGCCTTCCCCAGCATAACATTTTCCCAATATTCATTAGGAAAAGAACCCTTTAATTGTACCCAATTAAAATACCGAATCTCCCAGCCTCTTCTGCAGCAGATGTGGCTGTGTGACTAAGTTCTGTCCAATAAGATATAAGTATACATGTTTGGTGAGATTTCCAGGAAGGATGCTCAAGTGGAGATGACTAAGTCAGAAGAAAGTTCCTTTTAGCTTTCCTGCATTCCTAGAATTCTGATGCAAAAGCTGGAGCTACAGCAGCAATCCTGGACTATGAGGTAACCTTGGGAGTACTAGGGAATTGGGATGCTAGTAACTTTCTAGAAGCACCAACTCAGCCCCAGAATGCCTCCTGCTGACTTCTTTTACGTGGGAGAGTAAGCATTTGTGCATTTAAGCCACTATAGTTGGATATTTGACCATTGCAGACAAAAATAAGATCAACCGATAGAATGCCATTTATGAAAAAAAAAAAAAAAAAAAAAAACCATGGGAGTGGTTCTCCTCTCTGTTATGATAGGGAGAGGTCAGAGATGCTGTCCCTGAAGAAGTGACATTCACACTGAGACTTAAGGGAGAAATGAGTGAGCAAGGTATAGGAAAGTATTTAAGGAATATCATCTGAAGCTCTGAATTAGAAGCTATCTACAAGATACTAAAAGAAGATCAGCATGACAGAAGTACAGGAATTAAGAAGAACATAGTAGGTGACAAGGCTGAAAAATCTCATAGATTCTCCATTTTGCAGAGACTTATAGATCATCTTCAAGATAGTAATAGCTGCAGAGCAGAAGGCTAGAGCAGAGAAAGAACTTTGAGAGATACCAATATAGACATGGTTTCTAAAGTCTTAGGAGACAATAAGATTACCCAGGAAGAGTATTTAAAGTCAGGAGAGGGCCAAAGACAGAACCTTGAGATCCAACACTTAAAGATCAAGAAGAAGAGAGTTTCCTATCTTCTGTTTCTTAAAAAATAAATAAATAAATAAAGCATATCAGCATAATTCAGAGTCACAAATTCTAAGAAATCATGGGGCAGAGGGCAGGGGTGAGGTAGGGTTTGTTTTGTTTTGTTTTGTTTTGTTTGTAGATAACCAAAGGAAGAAACGATTGATGCAAGATTTCAGGGAGGGTGAATAGCCCTCCTTGTAGCTTTGCCCTGCTAGAGAGATGGTGGGTGGACAATTACTATAATATTTACAAACAGGATAAGTCTACGTCAGCCCCTAACATTCTCAGTTTCGTTATTTGTAAAATGGCGTAATGATACTTATCTTTTAGAGTTGTTTGAAGAGTACATAAGAGACGGAAAAGGATTTTTAATTAGATAAGGAAAGCATAATCACCTATCTTTGATTCATTCACCCTTTTAAACTGATTAAAGCTTAGAAAATAATCACATATGCAGATTGATCTTAGTTTGTCCACCTCTTGACAATCAGTTAGTAGTATATATGTATTTTTTTATTTTTAAGAATTTTTATATCCCCATGCATTGACTAATCTTGCCCCATCATAGATAAGACTAGAACAAAATATTGCTTTGAGAAGTCCTTGAGTTCCAAAGATTTACCATGAAGCTAATGAAACCTGCATTGCAGAGTCCTTCACTAGTATGGCCTTTTCCAATGTCTTGAAAGGAGTCCTAGTCACATGTTCACATGCTTACACATTTATGTAAAATATGCAGGATAAGATAATTAAACTACAATTATCTAAGATGGCAGTCTTTTTTTCACTCTGATTTTCTGTCCAAAATATTCCTCTTGTGGAAGTAGGTTTGGAATGGCCCTGAACATTTTCGGAATCTGAACTGAGAGAAAGTTGAGTGAAAGATACATTGATTTAAGGCATAGTGAGATGTCTAGTAAAGTTATTGTAAGGTATTCCAGTGTTGAAAAGGCTTCCAGAAATATGCCAAAACCGACTGTGCTGACTCACATGATGTCATGCCAGAAAGATGAAGGGCCAGAGATTGTATGATGACCTGAGTTTGTCCTTGTGCAACAAGCACCAATGGCATATGAGTGTTGATGGGACAAGTTTTGAAATGTATGGAGCCAAAAGCTAGCCTGTGGAAAGTTCTACCAGGCATTCGACATGTGGTAAGGTAACCAGGAGACTAAGTTCCGTGGATGTCTAGTCAAATGGAAATTTTCTTCTCTCAAGAATAAACATGATAATTTCGTGTATGCAATTCTAAATTCACCAAATTGTGTTTTCTTTTTCAATGGCAATTTCAGGAAATTAAATGATCAGAATCCCCATGTTTCCAGGGGCCAAACCTGTAATAGTCCCACAGACAGTGAGTGTGTCTATAACAACTAATATAGGCAGAAAAATTCAAAGACGTTTTCTGAAATTTGCCAATACCTGTAAACATTTTTAGGACATTGTCAAAATAAGCTGTGAAGCTGAAAGAAGTTTATTTAAGTATTAATAATAAAAATTTAATAAGCTATGCTAAATACCAATTCTCTTTCTATTATCTCTATAGAAAAGATTTTACAAAATCATTCTCAGATGTAGAAGCAATTTTTAAAAATTCAGCCAAAAAATAGTAGGGTGAAAAGTATTATAATGATAGCAGGTAGTTAATTAATAGCATGTTCTTTTTCTGAATTTTATGATGCTTGTGGCTTTGACAACTTTAAACATTTTATAATTGTGGAATTTCTTTTGTCGTTTTACAGAAATATTCAGTTTTGTACCTCATAATTTGTATTTATAATTTTGTATTCTTCTTCATAAAAAGGGCCATTGAATTGTGTTTAACTCATGCCTCACCAAACCTGAACCAGCATTTTCCTCTGTTGAATTTCTATTGCCTGCCTACAGCAAGGCCCACGTCTTCCTGTAACAGTTGCCCCCAGTTCCCTTAACTATCACCAGGGAGTCAGCAGTTAATGACATGCTCAACCTTCCTCCAATTACAGATGGTTAGGAGAGAAAACAAAGCCATAAGGCCATTAAACTCATGAGGTTTTGACTGGTGGTTCGGAGGTAGAGCTGGCCCTGGCTATATCTGCCGTGTACACAAGAACCAAAAATACCACACTTCATTTCAGAAGATCCAGATTTGATCCCACCTCTGCCACTGGTGTATGATCTTCAGAAATGAACTTGGCTGTCCGAACTTCAATCCCCTTATTCATACGATAGACCTATTGTGATGGCCGGCAAGCTGAGGTATAGAAACACATATTATATAGTAAGGGGTTCTTCAAATGTAATATCTGTTCTCAATTCCTCTTCTCTATCATTACCAAGGAGCCAATGATGCACAGCTACCCATGTACCTTCATTGTAGAGACACACCCTGAACAAGCAGACAACATGGCGCCACATCAGAGTATTATATTAGAATGTGTGTTTGGCATTTCTTTAGCAGAGGGGCCAAGTGTAGGAAGGGAGCGGGTAGAAAAGGAGGACCACAGGTGACAAGAGTCTCCCCTGACCTTAAGCTTGCAGTTCCCACTGAACCAAACAGAAGCCCTGTATGCATCTGGAAGTCCTTGCTTAGTGGGCTGTGCAATGTGTGTTTTAGGGGTCTCAAGCCTTCATCCCATGTAGCCATGGACAACATGTTCCAGGAAAACATTACTTCCTCACTTCATTACATTCCAAGTGACATTTCTGCATCCCTTCTTGACGAATGTTGTCCAAAATTGGTTGTCCCTCTCTTTGATCCAGCTCTGACCACAGAGATCAGTTTTACATACTTGGGTACTTCCCCTTGGTGATTCAAGAGGAGGCACTTTCCTTAAATAGCCTTGGAAACCTTGAGACAGCTGCTGCATCCATCTATGTTCATTGCTCAAACTTCCTGTATGGTTTGCCACCAGGCTTAGGTTCAAATCCAAAATCAAAATCTTAACATGGCCACCCAGGCGCATGTGGCCTCAGTAATACACAGTTTTTGAGCTTCATCTCAAGCTTCTCTTCCCCTTACTTTGCTCTCCATGCCTGCTTCCAGCTCTTCTGCTTCACCCAGTCCTTCCCCATCCCTCATGTCACACAGGTTAGCTTCTGTGCCCAAGTAGGGTCCTGCTTCCTTTCACAAAGCTGACTCCCATGAGCTCTCCAGAGATGATCTCAAGTGTCACTTTTGTGGGGATAACTACCCCAGTGACACCCTCCTCCAGATTTGGTTAGCTTCTCCCATTCCAGCCTAGTTTAGATGGAATCATATTAAGTTGCTGGCATTAATTTATTATGACCTACAAAACCATCAATAGTGTACAGTTCTCACAACTCCCTTGTACATTGCAGCCCTCATCAAAATTGTTATGAAGTAATTGATTTGAATAATGATTAATATCTGACTCCCTGATGGTTTATAATCTTTGTGGAAGTAGACAACATATCTATCTTGTCTACTGCTATTTAGCACATACTAAATACCACCTAGTAAATATTTGTTTAATGTTACTTATTTAACTGCAGAGATATACTTTTTACATTTTCTACATTTAAGATGCACACGGAATATGCGATGTTGTGGAGAAAAGAGCTATTTGCCAAATGGTTACTTGTTACTTTATTTTTCTAAGGCTTTGGGCATAAAATGCCATTATGGAATTACTATTTTATTACAATGGTATCTGTAGTACTTTGGCCCTAATGTTCTTTTTTGGTTATGATGCTGCACTATGCCTGTGGAATACATTCTGGATGCATGATGAGACTACTGAGACAATCACAATCTTGTAAGTTTCCTTTTCTTCTAAGATAAATCTCAAGCAGAGATTCTCTTCTCAGGAAGAGTAGAACTTTTCACAATCTCGAGCCAAGTAAACACTCTCAAATTGCAATGCAAAAGATTTTGCAAAATACTTGAAAAAATGCAATTTATAAAGCAGAAGTTGTACAGATGCCATGGAAGATCTAATGAAAAATCAGAAAAGATTGCAGCACAGATTTAACTCTTCTCAAGACAGCAAAAGCACCCCACATGTGACAGATACTCATGAGAACATTGGGAGCCTGAAGCCCCGTTTTCCAGACAAGGAAGGAATTACGGGTCTCTGATCACAGCAGAGGGGCCCTCATTAGACCCATCAAGGATTGCACGTGCCCTGTGCAAGGCCACATGCGCATGGGGTGTGCAATTAACTCTGCCCATGCTGCTGAAGTTTCAGTCCATTAGTCTGAGTGAATCTTGGTCATTTGTATCCCTCTTGGTGCCTCATAAACATATGCCTCATAGTCTGCATCTTCAAACTTTTTCCATACTGTAAAACTGTCTTCGCAAAATCTCATCACAAGCTGAAAAGTGATCCCTGGTGATAAACAACTGAGATGGTTATTCACCTCCATGACTAGCCTTTCAGGGCCTCACTTTCTATATCCATCAAATGGGAAGAACAATAGATGCCTCATCCTCCTCACTATGTTGCTGTGAGCATCTGTTGAAGTAGTGGCTATTCGAGTGCATTGAAATGCATCAGTCAGTACACAGATACAAGGGCTTCTGATAACTCATACCTGAAGAATTTTTGTCAACCCTGAAGGGATTTGCTTCTTGGTATACGGGTATTAAAATACTAGTATAATTTCTCTAACGGGAGTATGATGTCACTAGTTCCAGAGTCTTTTCATAGATGGATGGGTTTTATGATAAATAACTCACCCTCAGTGTTAACTTGGCTTTCCAACTAGCCAAACAGGCCTTTGTGGAACAAGGTTAGCAAATAGCATTTGGGCAAACGATCAAAAGGGTCTCCCTCTCTTCTATCACTCTCTTTATCTCTCTTGGTACCTCTCTCTGACTTTCTCTCCCTCCTTTAAAAAGTTATCTCTGTTTTTTTTAATTTTTTTTACATTAAAAACAACAAATGGGCCCTTCAGAATAGTCGAAAACTTTAGAATGCAAAGATATCAAAAAATAAGAAATAACCTAGATCAGAAAACAGATAAATGATTGCCAGGGGTTGGGATTGGGAGGAGTTATTTACAAGGTGAATGAAGAAATTATGAGGGGTTGTGGAACTTTTCTATATTTTGATCTTGAAAATTATATAACTATATACTTGTGTTAATCTTGTAGAAGTGAACACTAAAAAGGGTGAATTTTATTATAAACAATTTTTTAAGAGAACAAAAAATGTACTATAATCCCACCAGCCAATAACACACTATTAACACTTTGGCGTACTTCTGACTAGTCTTTTTTTTTTTTTTTTTTTTTTTTGCTGGTGTTTCAAAATGTCATTATGATCATATAATACACAAATATACATATATGTGTGCATATAGATATCTACAGATGACTAAGATAGATGATTGATAGATGATAGATCAGTGAATAGATAACCAAACTCAAAACAAAATAGTTAATTCATGCAACTTGCACAAAAGGTACAAGAAATATACTATGAAAAGTCTCCCTCTCCCCTTTTTCCTTGGGCACCTAGCTAGTTTTGTTTTAGTTTTTACCTAGCTCTCCTGAGACAGTGTGCATATATAAGACAAAATATACATATACCTCTTTTGTAATACTAAGACACCAAATTCATACTTCTGCATCCTGCCTTTTTTCTTTACTTAACAATACATCTTGAAGATGGTTCAAATTACACATATATAGATAATTTTTCATGACTGATTTTTAATAGCTGCATAGTATTTCTATATTTTAATGCACTGTAATTTATGATATTGTATTGACAACCACCCGGGTTGTTTTTAATATTTCATTTTTACAAATAATAATGTGATAAACATCCTTGTACTTGTGAGATTTCTTTTCCTATATGGGTTATTTATCTTTAGTAGAGCTTCTTAGAATTGGAATTGTGAAGTCTAAGTCCACATTTTAAGTTTTGCTAGATAAAGCTACATTGCCCCCTTTAAAGTTGTGCCAATTTTTACTCCAACTACTGATATATCAAAGTGTCTGTTCTTGTATCATTATCAAAATTTTAATATTTAATTATCTGATGAGTGAAAAATGACATCTGATAGTCCTGTCAGTTAGTATTGCTTTTAATGTGACTAATTTTTAGCTTTTATTCATGTTTAAATGAATAAAATGTACTCCCTTTACTACTTTTTTTTTTTTTTTTTTTGAGACAGGGTCTCACCCTGTTGCCCAGGCTAGAGTGCAGTGGCGTGATCATGGCCCACTGCTGCCTTGACCTCCAGGGCTCAAGCAATCTGCCCACATCTGCCTCCTGCCTGTGTTGCTCAGACTGGTCTTGAACTCCTGAGCTCATGCAGTCTACCTGCCTTAGCTTCGTAAAGTGCTGGAATTACAGGCGAGAGCCAACTTGCCCAGCCCTGTATTTCCTTTACTTTGAACTGCATTTGTGTATCCTTGGTTCATGTTCTATTTGATAGCCATTTCTTCTTAATTAGAGGGATTTCTTTTTTTTAGATTAGAAAAACTAGCCCTTTTGGCTATGATAAGTGGTTTATATTTCCTTTTGTGTGCTACTTGCCTTTTGTCTTTATTTGGCTTTTTTTTGGACTTGCATTATTTATTTAAGATTTACGTAGTTGGATTTCTTTCTCCTTTCACATATGGCCTCTCTCACTTCAATATTATGTAGAAAAAAACCTCTGAAATAATGAATTCCTATACTTTTATGGGTTCTTTTTTTATTTTGATATTTGACCCATCTGGAATTTATTTTGGTATAAGAATGAGGTAGATTTTCAACAATTTATTCCACTAAATCATAAATTAGTACACCTTTTTTCCATAAATGGCTAAATAGTAAATATTTTAGACTTCATGGATGATACAGTCTTGGGGCAGCTACTCAACTCTGGCCTTGGGCGAAAAAGCAGCCACAGACAGCACAAAAACCAATGGGCATAACTGTGATCCGGTAAAGCTGGTGTAGACACACAGGCAGCAGGAGGATTTGACCCTCAGATTGTAGTTTGCTCACCCTTGGTGCAGAAGATTACTTAATTATTCTAACAAAATTGATTTAGTAAATAATTTTCCCCATTGATATGTCTTGGTTCCTTTATAATACACAACATTATTTTTTATAGGTAGGTCTTGTACAAAACTCTCCATTTGATTTTATTGTTCTGTCTTTCTATTCATAGGCTGGGTATGACACTAATTTGGTTACTATAGCTTTATGTATATTTTTAACATTGGATGAGGTCAGTTGCTCCTCAAAACTCTTATTTTTCAGAATTTTGTGCAGGAATATCTGAGTATTTCTAATTAGATTAGAATGTCAGAATACATTCATGGACATATGAGTTTGGGGTTTTTTAAAATTTTTTTTAGATATCCTTCACCTTGAACATTTATTATTTCTTTGTGTTGGGAACAATCCAAATCTCTCCTAGATGTTTTGAAATATACAATGTATTGTTAACTGTAGTCACCCTACTGTGCTATTGAATACTAGAGCTTGTTCCTTCTGTCTAACTGTATGATTATACTCATTAACCAACTTCTCTTCATCTGCCCCCCACCTCCACCCATCTCAGCCTCTAGTAACTACCATTTTACTCTCTACCTCCATGACATTAACTTTTTTAGCTCCCATATATGAGTGAGAACATGCAATATTTTGTCTTTCTGTGCCTGGCTTATTTCACTTAACATAATGACATCCAGTTCCATTCATGTTGATGCATATAACAGATTTCATTCTTTTTATGGCTGAATAGTAATCCATTGTATGTATATACACATATAACGTCTGTATATATAATGTGTATATAAAATGTATATCCATAATATATGTATATATACACATATATGTAATATATATTGTGTGTGTGTGTGTGTGTGTGTGTATATATATATATATATATATATATATATATATATATCTCACTTTTTTTTTTGAGACAGAGTCTTGCTGTGTTGCCCAGGCTGGAGTGCAGTGGTGCAATCTCAGCTAACTGCAACCTCCACCTCTCGGTTCAAGGGATTCTCATGCCTCAGTCTCCCAAAAAGCTGGGACTACAGTCATGTGCCACCATATCCGGCTAATTTTTGCATTTTTTAGTAGAGACAGGGTTTTGCCATGTTGGTCAGGCTGGTCTTGAACTCCTGACCTCAGGTGATCTGCCTGCCTTGGCCTCCCAAAGTGCTGGGATTACAGGTGTGAGCCACCGCATCTGGCCTCACATTTTCTTTATCCATTCATCCATTGATGGACATTTAGGTTGCTTCCATATCTTGGCTGTTGTGAATAGTGCTGCAGTAAACATGGGAGTACAGGTATCATTTTGATATACTGAATTCCTTTCCTTTGGGTAAATATGTCATGGTGGGTTTGCTACATGATATGATAGTTCTACTTTTAGTTTTTTGAGAAACCTCCGAACTATTTTCTACAGTGGTTGTACTAATTTACATTACCACCAGCAATGTATAAGAGTTCCTTTTTCCTTTTTCCACATCCTCACTGACATTTATTACTTTCTGTCTTTTTGATAATATCCATCCTTACTGAGGGAAAGAGGGTATCTCACTGTGGTTTCAATTTGCATTTCCCTGATGATTCGTGGTGTTGAACTTTTTTTTTTTTCAGATACCTGCTAGCCAATTGTATGTATTCTTTTAAGACATATCTGTTCATTCCTTTGCCCTCTTTTTAGTGCTTTTACATATTTGGCTTTTGTTTTTTTGTTTTCGTTTTCATTTTGCTGTTATGTTGTTCCTGGATATACAAGGAACTCAAACTATAGTCCTTTGTCAGATGAATAGTTTGTAAAGATTTTCTCCCATTCCTCAGATTGTCTCTTCACTATGTTGATTGTTTCCTTTGATGTGCTGTTAGTTTTTAGTTTAATATGGTCCCATTTGTCTAGTTTTGTTTTTTGTTGCTTTTGAGGTCTTAGCCACAAGATCTTCGCCCAGACCAACATCCTGAAGTGTTTTCCCTCTTTTCTTCTGTAGCTTTATAGTTTCAGGTCCTAAATTTAAGTCTTCAATCCATTTTGGTTTAATTTTTGTAGGTGGTGAGAGATTGGGGTCTAGCTTCATTCTTCTACATATGGATGTCCAGTTTTCTCAGCACCATTTATTGAAGAGACCATCCTTTCCTCAATGTATGTTTTCAGTGCCTTTGTCAAAAATCAATCAGCTGTAAATACATGCATTTATTTCTAGGTTCTCTATTCTGTTCCATTGGTCTATACGTCTGTTTAAACACCAATACCATGCTGTTTTAGTTAGTATAGCTTTGTAGTATATTTTGAAGACAGGTACTGTTATGCCTCCAGTTTTGTTTTTTGCTCAGTATTACTATGAGCTATTTTTAAAAAATACTTCCAAAGAAAAAAGTGCAAAAGTTTATATTAGCTTACTATAGTTTTAATAGGTTAAAATTAGTAGCTTCTGAGTAATGAAGAGAGACTGAGCTTAATTTCTCCTGCTTTGAAAGTACTTCTAGGGTCTGGGTGTGGTGGCTCATGCCTGTAATCCCATTGTTTTGGAAGGTCAAGACAGGAAGATTGCTTGAGCCCCAGAGTTCAAGACCAGCCTGGGCAAGATAGCAAGACCCTGTCTCTAAATTTTTTTTTTTAATTAGGCAAGAATAGTGGTGTGTACCTGTAGTCCCAGCTACTTGGGAAGCTTGAGCCCATGAGTTTGAGGCAGGAGCACGCTATGATCATGCCATTGCACTCTAATTTAAGCAACAGAGTAAGTCCTCATCTTTAAAAACAAACAAACAAAACAAAGCAAAACAAAAGAAAGTACTTCTATTTATTTCTTCACCTGCTAATTTAGCTTGTTCAAGTGTAGAAGCTGGAGGATGTTTCCCTGCAATGACAGAGTAGCCAATTTTGTATCTCCTGATTTTTTCCTTCTCTCATTCTTCTTTGCTCAACAGACACTAAATTGAGGTTTGTGTCCTTGTAAATAGTAGATTTCATTTACCCTCTGCCACCTTTGTCAAAAAATAATTTTAATTTAAAAAATGATGTAAACTTATTTTAGCAAAATTGAAGACTATAGAAAGCTATGAAAGTGAAAATTTAAATCACCGTAACACTGCACTCAGAGATAACCACTGTTAGGACTTTTATTTCTTTCTTTCTCTTCTCTATACACCTGTAACATGCATGTACACCTACTGCATGCATATGTGTATGATACATGTGCAAACAGTGCATGCTAACATTTTCTACCCTGCTTTTCCATGTGTTATTTTTATCCTGTGTTCCACTATTTTGGAAACCGTCAGGGTTGACAGAGGGAAATTGATCAAGCCCTTTGTCTTCATTGATGTCAAGAGTTTCAGTCAACTTGGAGGCCGTGGCCTCCTCCTTACAGGCTTCTTCAGCCTTTGGTTTGAGTTTGGGTTTTTTACTTTTCATTTTTGGAGGAGCCACGTTCTCTCTCCTTTCCTATTACTGGAGAGCCGCTTCCTCTCTTCACTCATTCATTGTGCAGTGTGGGGGAGTCAGGACCCAGATGGGAAAGAAAGCATCTTGCCACACTCAAATCTCATCTTTTTTGCCATGTTTGCCCCATGGCATTTCTCTCAGCATCTTCTTGTGCTTTTTCCAAAACATATAAAGGACAATTCTACTCTGGAAAGTCACTGGGATACTGTTCTCTGAGAACAGGTATTGAGAAGAAGATGGTTTCCTCTTGGAACTTGGCCAACTGGCTCACAGCGAACGTGGTGTGGACTCTTACCAGCTCTCTCTAGTATGCTAAGGGCCCCCAACCAGGGACCCTGAAGGCATCTCAAGAGAGCAGTGTCCAGGTCTGCCCTTGTTGGAAGGAGGATGATGTGAGGAGATCACCTTTATTAAAGCTGCAGGTTGTCTGCCAGATTTTCAAATTTCAATGTAACTTTTTATTTAACCAATGCTGATTAATAGTAGTGGCATTGTTGAAATCCATTCCCCTTCATTTCATTTTCTAATGAAATTTCGGATTTCTACACAGACATGGTTTTCTGGCATAAAAAGCTTGCATTTGCAACCTGTCATATTGGGACTGTGCAGAACTTTTCCATGTTTTAAAACTCAGGAGAAAGAAGTAAAGATGGTAAGAGTGCACTTGAGCAGAAACAAAGGGCTGTGATCCCAAAACAGGGGACAAATGAGCTGCAAAGGAGAGACACCAAGAGCGGAGAGCAAGAGGCAAAGTGATATGAAAGACTCCAAAGTGCTGGTTCAGAGAAAAGAAAAAAAAGGGACATAGGTCAGGAAAGGGGAGAAGGACTGACATGAACTGGCAAATGGCAACAGATATAAAAAGCCAGCTTTCTCTGGGGAGTGGAAATGTTTCTAAGCATTTTTGTTCATGTTAGTATGATTTGTTTTTTCCTAAGTAAGCTTGAAAATCATAGAGTGAATAGGAGAAACCAAAGATTAGGGAAAATATTTTTAGAACAAGCTCAGGGAAGTCATATAGGTTTAAAATATATAGTCTATGCAAATAATGGCACACATTTCAGAATGGAAACAAAAATAAGTGGCAGATAATGTGTCCAAGTAATATTGGTAGCAAATGGACTGTTACGAGAGCAAATGATATTTTGCAGAGCTGAGAGTGTGACCTGTCTTCAATTATTTGAATCCCTATCCTACAAAAGCATTGAAAAAGGAAGATCTGGAGCCAATGACTGTGTATTACATATATTTTCATTCAGTACAAGCAGACATCATCAGTGTGCTATATACTACTTTCATTATTATTATTATCTTAATTAAAGCTGTCTTACGAGCCAGGCGCAGTGGCTCACGCCTCTAATCCCAACACTTTGGGAGACCGAAGCAGGTGGATCACTTGAGGTCAGGAGTTTGAGACCAGCCTGGCCAACATGGTGAAACCCTGTCGCTACTGAAAATACAAAAATTAGCCAGGCATGGTGGCAGGTGCCTGTAATCCCAGCTACTTGGGAGGCTGAGACAGGAGAATTGCTTGAGACTGGGAAGTGGATGTTGCAGTGAGCCAAGATCTCACTGCTGCACTCCAGCCAGGATGACAGAGTGAGACTCTGTCTCAAAAAAAAAAAAAAAAAAAAAAAAAAGACAACAACAACGACAAAACTGTCTCATGATGAAATGGGATGCTTTCACTAGCCGTGGTTGCTCATGCCTGCAATCCTAGCACTTTAGGAGGCTGAGGCAGGTGAATCACCTGAGGTTAGGAGTTCAAGGCCAGCCTGGCCAACATGGTGAAACCCTGTCTCTACTGAAAATACAAAATTTAGCCGGGTGTGCTGGTGCATGCCTGTAATCCCAGCTACTCAGGAGGCTGAGACAGGAGAATTGCTTGAACCCGGGAGGCAGAATTTGCAGCGAGCCGAGATTGTGCCACTGCACTCCAGCCTGGACAACAGAGCAGAACACTGTCTCAAAACAAAACAGAACAAAAAAAGAAAAGGGATGCTTTGTGGAACAGGGAGATTACTTGCACTGGAATTGTTCAAGCCAAGTTCTATCAACATTTGACACAGAAACACATGACCATCGTAAGGTCTTTCCCAGCTCAGCATTCTGTGACTGCGTGGTCTTTGTACTGAGTTTTACATGATATGGATTTCTTACCTTAGAAGGATCAGTTTTTAAAAGATGGGCTGAATGAATCAAATCAGAGAACACTATTTGCCTACCCAATATCTAGTCTCCACAGCTAGCTGGGGACACTTTATAGCCACGTTAAAAAAACAACAGCAAAACCCCACTGCATTTCTCAACTTCTGTAGCAGATGGAGGTGGTCAAGTGACTAAGTTTTAGCCAAAGAGATATTAGTGAGAATTGGGAGAAACTTTGAGATTCCTTAAGAAGGGAGACAGAGGATGCTAACATGGAACTTGTCCTTTGCCTTCCCATTCTCCTTTCTGCCATCTGGATCAGGATATCTGGCCATGCTGAAATCATGAGACAACATGAAGGATAAAATCCTCAAACTAAGAATAGAAATCAGAACATTAGGACCTGGTCTGAGTTCATTGTGGAGCTTCCCCAGCCCGCTCAGGCTGCCCCCAGTCTTCCCATTTTTAGAAAAATTAAAACTATGGTTTGTTAAAGCTTCTATTCTGATGGTCTCTGTTACTTGTAGCTGAACGCAATGAATTGTGAGATACGATTTACCACAATTTTTTTCTTTCTTTCTTTCTTTTTTCTTCTTCTTCATTTTTTTTTTTTTTTTAAAAGGGTTGTGCCATGTCACCCAGGCTGGAGTGCAATTGTGCGATCATGACTGACTGTGGTGTCAACCTCCCAGGCTCAAGCAATCCTCCCACCTCAGTCTCCTAAGTAGCTGTGACTATAGGCATGTGCCACCATGCCAGGCTAATTTTTGTATTTTTTGTAGAGATGGGGTCTTGCTGTGTTGCACAGGCTGGTCTCAAACTCCTGGCCTCAAACAAATCCTCTCTCCTCAGCCTCCCAAAGTGCTGGGATTACGGGTGTGACCCAGTGTGCCCAGCGCTGTTTACTGAAATTTTTTTTTTTATGATTCTGACTATAGCTTTAAACCCAGGCTCTGCCATCTCCATGCTGTTTAACAAGTTCTCTGCCCTTCGTCTGCCTCACCAGATGTATTATGTATAAAAAAAAGTCACAACCTAGATTGCAGAATTTCATGTAAATCGCTTACAAAACAACACAGATAGAAGGCAGCAATTGGTGAGTTTGATCTTTGGTGCCCAAATACAGCTGTGCTATTTGGTGTATACAAATGTCACCAAATTCCTGCACAAATTTGCGGGCGGGATAGGGGAAGAAGGAAGGGATGATGAAGGCAATGGACACAACAGTCTAAAAAGTTTTAAAAAATTGAATGTAGGTAAAATAGAGCTCAGAATTCCTCCACCATCATCTGCATTTGAATCTGGGGAGAAGTCAGCCCTCCCAACTTTCACTTCCTACTAGAATAGCAAGACACACTCTGCCTCCAGACAGTGTGGATTATCTGCCACCCGAACTGAAGTTTCAATCACTCAAATCCTGGTGTCATTTACATTGTTTCTACTGGGAAAGGTCAGGTGTCTGCAGGGGCTATAAGCAAAGAAAAACCCATCCCCTGGAACCACCAGTGTAAAGGAGAGGGAAGGCGAGTGACAGCATGTGTCGATGCTGGATCATTTTCAGGGGTAACAGACCACTACATCCTGAGGCTTTTTAGCAAATAGGAAGCTGAAGGACAAACATCTGAAGGAGAAATTAATCTCCGTGAGTAGGTGACAAGCTGCGATAAGCCCTTGGGGTGTGTGTCAGTGTAGCACAGATGTTAGTGTGAGAACTATTACTTGATTCAAGGGAAAGGGGAGAAGGGCAGGGAGGGGGGAAATGACAATGAAAAACAAAACAGTGAAAACCACAATCATCTTCACCAGGCAGCTGATTTTTTTAAAAAGGCATATATCCATCAAAGGAACAAAACATTAAAATACACCCATATGGCAAAGACCTGGTGTAACTGGAATTTTCACCTCCTGATTTTGACAGTGTAAATTTGTTCAGCCCTTTTGAAGAGCAATTTGGCAATGTGATTTCAGAGCCATAGAAATATGCACATCCATCTTTCAAATGTCCCAGCTCTTATAAATGTATCTTTAAAAAGACTCAAAAATAATTTTTTTAATTTATATGCCTGAGGTGTTTATTTCAGCATCTCTACAACGAGAAAAATGAAAACCGAAGGTTTGACATTTGAGACAATATTAAGTAAATCAATACATGCTAATTTAATGGGATGGTATTAAGTAAATCTAAGACCAGCCTGGCCAACATGGTGAAACCCTATCTCTACTAAAAATACAAAAAATTAGCCAGGAGTGGTGGCAGGCACCTGTAATCCCAGCTACTGGGGAGGATGAAGCAGGAGAATCGCTTGATCCTGGGAGGTTGAGGTTGCAGTGAGCCAAGATTGCACCACTGCACTCCAGCCTGGGTGACAGAGCGAGATCCTGTCTCAAAAAAATTAAATAAATCAATATATGGTAATCTAATGGGATGCTATGCAGCACTAAAAGTATATTTTAAAAAAAACTTGAGAAATGCTTCTAAGATGAATAATACACAATTAAGTCAATTACCTGACTTCAAATATTATTATAACTGCATGTGGACAAGAAGACAAAACCTTCAAGGAAAAAAAGTTTTGATATTATGAGATTATGGGTAACATTGTATTCCCAGCCTTGAATTTCTGTTATTGTTACTATAATATGTGTACAATTTTTTTTTAGTGAAGTAAAACAAACAAGTAAAAGAAAGGTTGAAACTTCACAATGTAGAGATCAACCAGCCTGAACCTCTCATTTTACGGGTGACAAGTTGAATACAAAACTTCGGTGGAATTGAACGGGCTTATTTCAGTGGAAATAGTGAGAAATACTCATTTTCCCAAGTGCCTATTAGAGGTGCTGTCATTTTCCAGGAGCCAATAGAAAAACACATAAAAGCAGTGCATTGGTGTGATCTGGGCTGTTTCTCTGAAATCACTCAGCTCGCTTTCAACTGCTGCGTTCCACAACACAATGTGGTTCTACATTAACCACATTACATCATAAAGAGATCATTAAATGACTCCTTATGGAAAGGGAGGGAAGAAATGATGTTTAGAGAACCTGGTAGTATCGGAGGCATCATCCTCCTTCTCTGCTGCCTATCTGTGTCGCACTCACTCTTGAGGTTATGCAAAGAAAATGTTGACAATTTAGGTGCCAGCTGTTGTTTGACGAATAGCAAATAAATGACTGTGAAGTCCTTTGGAAAACAGAGCAAAACCAAATTAGTGATTCCCCTCTTCTGCCTCCCAACATCTTCACCTCCAGGGCCTTCTTTACACTGACTATATTTCCTCTGATTTCATTGTCCCAATGAGACAGTAATCCTACTGAGAGAACAGATAGGGTTCTTGGAGACTAGAAATTATGTTTATTGAATGGTTAAGGCATTGTTTTTTTATCATAAGCTATAATTTAAAGTTACTAAGAAAACAGGCCAGGTCTCTGTAATGTAGGGAAGCAGAGATCAGATTATCTTCTGGGGGATAGTGGAGGAGGGTTGTAACCACCCCAAGTCCTTGAGTGAGGATGGAACCTAGGGCTCAACAGCAGAACCCTAAGAACGGATATTTTTGCCTAGGCCTAAGAATGTCATCAGCATTTTATTTATTTGTTTGTTTGTTTATTGAGACAAGGTCTGCCTCTGTCACCCAGGCTGGAGTGCAGTGGCGAAGTCTTGGATCACTGCAACCTCCACTTCCCTGGCTCAAGTGATCCTCCCACCTCAGCCTCCTGAGTAGCTGGGACTACAGGCACACACCACCACACCTGGATATAGTTTTTTTTTTAGAGATGAGGCCTTCTACATTGCCCAGTTTGGTCTCAAATTCCTGAGATCAAGCAATCCCCCCACCTTGGCTCCTCAAAGTGCTGGGATTACAGGTGCGAGCCACCGTGCCCAGCCTCATCAGCATTTTTAGACAGCTACCCCTCTGTGGTACTCTGTGGTGAGAAATAAGTTTAAGAGATAAGTATGCAGTTATGAGGAAAGGTGATAGAACCACACCATTTTTATGAATAATATACTAAAATATATTCTTAAAAAACTTGTCAGTTGTATATTTGATAATAGCATATTTTTACTTAGTCCTTATTAAAGATCTCGGGAAATTCAAATCTGTTTCATCTTTGATCAGGAGAGAAGATGTTGCCCATCCTTAGCCCAGAGTTAGAAAGGAGAAATCATGTGATTGGCCAAGGTGGTGATGAGAGTCTCTTCAGAAGGGAAGACTTCCAGTTGCAAGGTCAGGTGACCCAATCAACTGCCTTTGAACATCTGGAAAAATCTTCTAAAACTCTTCCTTCTCAAGAAGTCCTGCAACTGGAGCTACTAATGAAAGCTCTTTCCAGTAGCCCTTACAGCTAATTTTCTGTTCACATATTTGTCTTCTGCTGTAAAGAGCTGTGCCTCATAGTGTATTAAGGGCTGGCTTTTCCTTTCATTGTAAGGGACTTTCCACCACAAACACAAGGCCACCATGGCCAGCAATGCACAAAACAGCAGAGTATGGTCGGCCCTTAAAGACAAGGTTTGACTTACTCCTCTCTTCTCTTTTTTACAGACATGTTTCTCTACTATAAACTTCACTCTTAGCTTTATTTTCAAGAATAAAATATTTCTGTTTTCAAATTGGCATCTTACGATTCAGCAGACTAACCCAAGAAATAATTTTATGGAATAATCATATTTCAATATCTTATTTCTTTTCAAAGGAACATTTAAAAGCTTATAAAACTAGGTATAACAATGAAGCTGTAAAAGAAAGTAAGAAAACACAATCAAAGTTAAAATGAACCAAGCTAAAAGGTAAATATAATTATTGGTGTTAGGCTCCATATTTGCCTACAGGCTTCCTAATATTCAGAGCAAAATGGAAAACAAACTGTTATCCTAGCTCAGGTCACAGATCGCTCTGGCCATTCCCTTTTATCTGCCCTGTGTGCTTTCTTGGGCTCTTCTTCTGTTAACAGGACTCTTTTTTTCTTTGGGGAGGTTCTTCTCCACCCTCTGCCTAGGGCTGTCAATCAATGTGCCCCATCTTCTACCCTTCTGCATAGGACCCCCATTCCCTTGACATGGTGATTTTCCAGAGGATGGGTACCTAGGTACCTGGCCAATAAGAGTTCGAGATCAATAAGAGTCTTCCCAGAGGTTAATACATATGCTTTGGAATGGAGTTTATTGCCCACTAAAGATGCTAAGCTGGAAAAATATAAATTGGGGCTATCCATTGGCTAAATTCCCTGCCCTGAGGAGCAGGCCTGTCTCCAGTGGGAGGAAGAAAACTGAACAGAGGAGAATTGCAAATGGAGAGAGAGCAAGCCCTGTGTACTGAGTTCTGGCTTCTGTCCCTGAGGCCCTGAAACCTGGCTGCTGCAGCTTTTGATTCTGACCATGATCCAAGAGTCCTTCCAAGCAGTGAGAGCAAGTAAATTCCATTCTTTGATTAGCAAGTCTGAGTAGAACTCTGCCACTTAAAACAAAAAAAGTCCAAATTAATACATCTTTCATTATTGGAAAGGAATCAGAATATCAGTTTAACAAGGAGCCCATTTTATTTTCTAAAATTAATTTTGAAAGAATTTTCTCACATGGGACTTAATAGCGCATATTGACTGATGTAATGGACAATGCCCTCAACCACATTTTTACAGTAAATGCAGAAGCGAATTTCATCTGATGGTTTCTAGTATAAACCTTGAATAAAAGCCAAGGGCATAACATTAAAGCAAAATTGAGTTAAAGCCATTTTGGAAGAATTAGCCCAGTGCACATAGAGTGTTCAACATTTGAGTGGCTCAATTCACCCAAGAAAGCTTCAAGAAGTTGAAGGACACTTTTTAACTTTGACAGCTTTCTTCATGTGTTCCTTTGTTTCCCCATTTACCCAAACTTCTGATAAAGGTTGAATAACAAGTATTTTGAGATTCTAATTTTCAACCAGAGCTAACATTTTCCACTACTAAGTGAGAAAGGGATCTAAATGCTTCAGAGACTGGGGGAAATTAGAGGAGAGCAAAGTTATGCTACTTGTATCTAAATATAAGACCACTTGTCTCTGCACAGAATTGACCCCTGTGGGACCTTTGGGGATACCTGCAAGATATGCAGGCTGTTTTTTTCTATCAATAAACCTTGGATTTTCAACAACACAAAAACACATCATCAATTAGATCCCCAGAGTCATGAACCAAAACAGTTTTCACATGAAATTTATTCAAAGTAAGGATTTGTAGTTACCTGTTGTGATATGGGAAAACCACACAGCAGCTTGGCTTCCAGTGTGCTTTCCAGAGTGAATTAGTTTTAAAGTGTTTATTTTCTTTATTCCCTCCTCCCCAATTTCACCCAGTATCTGAACCAATGTATCCATCAAAGTAGTGTAATCAGAGAGTCTGCCTAGAAATGTATTTTAGTTAATCATGGCTAATACCAAGCCCTTCTTTCTCCCAGAAATCAGGATGATGTCCCTCTTGGAATTACTTTTGATTTGTGACTGGTTTTGATCATGATTACACTTCCAGTACCTGGCGTAATACCTAGAACAAACTCCCAGTAAATATTTGCCAAACTAATGATAGAATCAGATTTATATTTTGAAATGAGCACTCTGAATATATTCTAGAAATTGTATTGGATGAACACAAAAGTAGAGTGGGAATGCAGATGAAAGGCTCTGTGCCCACCCAGAGGAGGGCCGCTTGTGGCTTAATTCAGGCAGCAATAATGGGAACTGAGAGAATTGAGCTGGTTTGAGAGATATTTAGGAGGTCAGTTGGTGTTATGAAAAGATAAGGGAGAAAGAAGGAACAAGGCCAGCTAGACATGTTGTGGGGCCCAGTGGGAAATGAAAATGCTGAGTCTCTCATTAAAAAATCATTAGGAATTTCAAGAGGGTAATAGTAGAGCACCAAACTGTGCATTGTACAGGACTTTTACTCATAAAGCCAGCTCTAAGAATAAAACATCCTATATTCATTATGCCCGGGGCGCTTCCATTTACTCACTGAGTGCCTACCATGACAGCCACTGTGGTAGGTACTTAATTCTACCTAAAAGCAATAATACAGGATTAGGATAGAAGCCCAAATGAAGAAGAAACCAAACATAGCTCCAATTTATAGCACCTAAGAGCATTTTCACCTGTAAGGAATTTTTTCTATTTTTACAGGAAAGATCAAGGGATTTGCCCTGATTCTTGGAGTACTTAAGTGCAAATTTTGAAGCATTTCAATTGTTGAAAACATATCTTTTTTTTATATACTTTAAGTTTTAGGGTACATGTGCACAACGTGCAGGTTAGTTACATATTTATACATGTGCCATGTTGGTGTGCTTCACCCAGTAACTCGTCATTTAATATTAGGTATATCTCCAAATGCTATCCCTCCCCCGTCCCCCAACCCCACAACAGGCCCCAGAGTGTGTTGTTCCCCTTCCTGTATCCATGTGTTCTCATTGTTCAATTCCCACCTATGAGTGAGAAAATGCGGTGTTTGGCTTTTTGTCCTTGTGATAGTTTGCTGAGAATGATGGTTTCCAGTTTCATCCATGTCCCTACAAAGGACATGAACTCATCATTTTTTTTGGCTGCATAGTATTCCATGGTGTATATGTGCCACATTTTCTTAATCCGGTCTATCATTGTTGGACATTTGGGTTGGTTCCAAGTCTTTGCTATTGTGAATAGTGCCGCAATAAACATATCTTTTTTTAAAACTTAGCATATATCTATTTGCCATCTCCTGGGTCAAAAAGCCAATGGAAAGCTCAATGAAATCTCCAAATATTCTTAGGTTCACCTTGACAGATTTTTTTCTGAAGAGCAAAAGAGACTATAAAAAAACACTTATCAAACATGAGAGATTATGCCTTAAAACCACTTAACTCTTATTTAAGATACTACTCTGAAATATGTAGATCTGAAAACAGGGAAGATTAAAACTCATTTTGCTAATGAGGGCTTAGCCCTTGAGGACTCCCTGGGTAAAATTGTATTATGGGCATTATCTGGGTCCACACTCTGCCCTCAATAACAAGAGAATAAAACTCTCCTCTGGTCATAGGTGGAGAATTAGCAGCACCTTGACATTTTGAAAGAACTAGTCTATCAAAATATATAACAGGGTTGTGACAAAAGAATGAATGGAAAAATCCTCTGGTAGGGGTAATTGCATATGATTGATATAACAAATTATGATTCAGCATTTACTGAGCTCCTACAGGATGCCATCCATTGTGTCAGATCCTTCTGCATGTGCACTGAGTTAAATTCTCACTGTAAGATTGACATAGACCTTATCACTGAAGATATTAACAAATCCTATCAGTTGAGGGAAATTCAGGTTATGAGAGGTAAAGTGGTTTATCCAGGGTTGTGTAGCTGGTTATTGGCAGAGCCAGAACTTGAAGCTCGATCAACTCCACCTATAGGTCAATACTGTCCTAAGATTTCTGGATACAAGTTTCTGTATTTTCAAGGACTTCGTTCATGGGATTTCCCCGTATCATGAATACCTCTCTCTTCTGAATCATCCCTAATGCTTGTAGACATGTTCCAATATCCCTCACCTTCAAAAACAAAAAGAAGATGAAACAAAACCTTCTTCCTTACTGCACTGCTGTTCTCATTTGCTCTGCTCCCTTTCACAGACCTACTTCTTAAAAAGGCATTTGTCATCACCATCTCCACTTTCTCACCCAAATTTATTTATTACCTTTTTGCTTCTATCTCCACATTGCCAAATTCAGTCACTTTTCTGTTCTTATTTTATTATGTCTCTGGCAGTATCCAACAAAGTTGGCCATTCTCTCCTGCTTGAAATACTTTTTTTAATAATATATTTTGTCATCTATAACACCATATATCCTCGGTCTTCCTCTTACAATCCTTTTCGGTTTTCCTCTTACCATCTCCTCGTAGATTCTTCTTCTGGAATACTTTTGCCAGTTCTTCTGTCTTTGCTTAACGAATAAATGTAGAGTGTTTCTGGAAATCTTTTTCTATATGCTCTTTTTAGGTGACCCCTCCAGTTGCTTGGCCACCTGTGTGAGCCATGTATCTATGACTCTCAAGCATAGTCTCTCCCCTGGACTTCAGACTTGACCACCCAACACCCAACCACCACCTTGAAATCCCCACTTGGATGTCCAGAAGATTTCTCAAACTTCACACTAATAAAACAGAGTCCTAGATTTCTCTCCTCCAATCCTGGTCCACCTCCCCTGTGCTTCTACATCTCAGTAAACATTACCACTCTCCACTTAAGAACCTTAAGACAGAAATCTGAATTATTCCTTTTTACTTCCTCATCACCATACTAACTCAATCAGTATGCCCTATTGCCTCTACCTGTGAAACATCTAAGTCCGTTCACTTTTTAAAACATTTTTTAAGTTTTTTGTTAATGCATAATAAATGTCCATAGTTTTGGGGTACATGTGATAATTTAAGACATTCATCTAATTTGTAAAGATAAAGTCAGTGTACTTGGGATATCCATCACCTTTTAAAAGTATTTGTCTTTTTATAAGCTAGAAACATTCAAATTATTCTTTTCCAGCTATGTTGAAATGTACAATAGATTATTGTAAACTATAGTCACCCTACTGATCCATGTAACGCTAGATCTTATTTCTTCTATCAAACTGTATATTTGTACCCGTTAGTCAACTTCTCTTCATGGTCACTTTTATACATATCCATTTCTTTCACCCAAGTTAAAGTTACTATCCTATCCTGCCCGGGCTACACATGGTCTCCTAACTTCAACCTCATTGGTCTCTTTCGATTTCTTAAATATACCAAGCAGATTCTTTCCAGCTTGGTGCCTCCAAGGTAACTGTTTCCTCTACCTGGAACACTCTTCCCTTGATCCTTGCATGATTTGCTTTGTCTTGTCATTCCATGAAAATAACTTTTACTCTGAAAAGCCTTAGCCAAGCCCCTAAAGTAGCCCCACAGTCACATCCACTCTCCTGAGCACTTGTTACCATCTGATTATGTTTGTTGGCTTGTTCGTTTGCTGACTGTTTGGAATATAAGCTTCACGAGGGCAGCTGTGTACCCTGTTCAATGGGACATCCTCAACACGGAGGCAGGGCCTGGTACAGCACAGTCCTCAATAAATACTTGATAACAAAATAAATAATTTATGTTGCATTTTGGAATAATAATTATATTCTTAGTTACACATTAGCTGTATCTAGAAGACTGATAATACTGGGGGACCAAATTACCTTTTAAAATTATATTTAAGCCTACTAAACAACAACTTCTGAGTTAACAATATTAAGACAAATAAAGAATGACATGGCTCACAATTATAAATCAGCTATGGTTAAAGATACTCTTAAATAGTAAAAAATAATCAAGAAAATGTTATGGATTTGGCCTCTCAAATTATGACCCTGTTGAACTATACAAAATATAAACAAAGAACAATATCTGAAACATTATTGAAATTTACTTTATAACTGAAAGTTAGTATAAGCAGTTAAAACTGAAAGTAAATATAGACAAAATAATTGAACATATTTGACAAAATATAGACATCTAAAAGTGAAAAGCATTTTAAAAGTGAGAAAACTCCTAGAGAGTTTGAACTATTATATGGTATTTTCACCTTTAGATTATGAATAGCATGAATGAGATGATAACAATGGTAATAACAATAAATTCACTATAAGTTCTTAGAATTTAGAAGATACCATTCTAGAAGCTTTCCATGAATTATCTCATTAACTATTACTGCAGTCTTATGAAGTGAGTATTATGATCATTTCTAATCTTATGCATGACAATTGAGATTTAAAGAGTATAACTTTCCAAGGTGACAAATTTAGCAGGTGTCAGAATCCAGTTCTGTCAGAAGAAATAAGTAGAAAATAAAGGTGGGTTTGTTGGCGACTAGATAATCATAATAAACATTGATATAATCGTTTATAATTTTTCATAACCGTAGAAATTATACAACCTGTGTAAAGCCAAAATACTTTGGTGATTTCTGGGTTCAGAAGATAATGCCTTTTGTAGCTATGGAGCTTAGATCTTGTAGCTATATGTGTTTGACTGAGGGAAGTGGAAATTCTCTAACTGGGATATCATACCAGGATGATGAATTACCTGTGCAAACTCTCACTATTGCAAGGTCCTATCTACCTGGAAATATAAGATTAAGGTTTGCAAATCCACTTGGGTAAGTGTGTCTCAAGATTTTAACCTATTTACTTATAATAATTTTCGTATTTGCCACCTAAGTTTTATACACAAGACTACCAAGGAATAGACATAAGTTGCAAGTGGTCACAGCTTGACCTGAAAACCTATATCAGTAAACCAGTGGAGCTCTCCTTAGAACAGTAAGGAAAAGAAGTGTAAGATATGACTTCAGCTGATACAGTCAGCAAATACTTCTTGGATCTATCTGTCCCATACACTGGTCCAGGCCCTGGAAATTGAGCAGAGGTCAAATAACCCACTTCCCTCATGAAACTTACATTGATGGAATGAACTACTTTTTATATATTTAAAATAAAAATAATATGAAAACTTGAGGTAATGAATGCTGGGCACAGTGGCTCACACCTGTAATCTCAGCACTTTGGAAGACTGAGGCAGGAGGATCATTTGAGGCCGGGAGTTTGAGATCAGCCTGGGCAATGTAGCAAGATTTCGTCCCTACTAAAAAAAAAAAAAAAAATTAGATGGGCATGGTGGCACATGCCTGTAGTCACAGCTACTCAGGAGGCTGAGGTGGAAGGATTCCTTGAGCCCAGGATTGGAGGCTGCAGTGAGCTATGATGGCATTACTGCATTCCAGCCTTGGTGATAGAGCAAGACCCTGTCTCTAAAAGACAACAACAAAAACTTCAGGTAAAAGTAAACCTTTCTTTCCTTTCATGTCAGAGACCACATATTGCAATGAGAGTGAAATCACATGAAACTTATAAATAAAACTGCCCTTCTATCAGAATGAAAGAAAGGACAGGAACAGGTCAACTTGGTTATTTTCTCTCTAGACCCGTCATTGAGGGTAGCCACCAGAGGGCTACCTAGCCATACCTAGGTCACATACCTAAGTAACCTGATACAAAACTTTCTCCTACCTCCTCCTTTTTCCCACCTGTGAACCTAACACCCTGAAATTTAGCATCTAGAAGTATCTAAATGAAGACAGACATATAATTTTTGCCCCTGAGCTCCCACCCTTTTGGACTGGAATTGGACATATCTCTGGAGCCACAAATCAGAGTCACATAGATGTGACTGCCAGCTTTTGTGACTTGGACTCAGTATCTTTTTACTGCGCCACCTTACGTTTCACTCAGACACCATCTGGTGATGGATTGGTCCGTCATGCGGTATCAGTCTGCAGAATCATCTTCAGTACTTTAAGGACAGTGCAGACTAGAGGAAAGATTCCAGGTTAGATGTCAGCTATTTGCCAATTAGATGACCTGGGTATGTAATGAGAATGCATAGCCCCACTTCGTCTGGTAAATTGGGACTGTAATTCTTACTTTGTCTTAGCCCACAGGATGATATGTATAGAAAGTGAGTTATAAACTGTAAATGAAGCTGGGCACAGTGGCTCACACTTGTAATCCCAGCATTTTGGGAGGCCAAGGAGGGAGGATCACTTGAGCCCAGGAGTTTAAGATCAGACTAGGCAACATAGGGAGAACTTGTCTCTAGAATAAAATAGAAAAACATAGCCAGGAGTGGTGGTATGTACCTATAGTCTCAGCAACTTGGGAAGCTGAGCTGGGAAGATAGCTTGAGGGGAGGAGTTCAAGGCTGCAGTGAGTTGTGATTGCACCACTACACTCCAGCCCGGGTGACAGAGCAAGACCCTGTCTCAAAAGACAATAATATTATAAATAAATAAATAAACAAACTGTAAATGGTACAAATATAAAAGAGCAATACTAACGACAAATAATAATACATATAATGAATGCATTGATAATGACAGTGAAAGTTAGAAGTGATTCTTTTAGCACAGAGATAAGAGATTAGCTCATGGCTCAGGCCAGGCCTCACAGATTATCTGTCTCCTGGTGGGACTAATGCAAGATCTGAAGTTTGGTCTGTAACTTTGTCATTTTGGTTTGTTCTATGGACCAAACTCTGGAGTACTGATTAACATCATTGTCTAGCAGTTGAAAGCTCTCTGATAACCTTGGGGAGTGCTAGATAGAATAGATACAATTTTGCCTTTTGATTTTCCTTTGCCCAAACAAGTGGTTCACATATGAAGATGTCTTTTGGAAGGGAAAAATAAAAATTACAGATTCCCATGTAATAGGGAAACTGAGTCTTAAAATCCAACACCACCATCTTATTTCTAAGTCGTTTTTACATTAGGGCTTGTTATAAACCTAGGTTATTTTGTTTTGCCTACGTGTAAATCTTGATGGATTCAAAAATTCCCCAAGTAACTTAGTGAGATTTCAAAAAGATCCTTGATTTTAGCAGCGTTTTTATAAAACTGTCAGTTACAGTAGATAACAATAGCAATTCTATTCTCCTCCATTTTAAACTGGAATTTACTGATTCAAATTTTTAAGAGAAAAAGTTCCTGAACTTGTCCCCTTATTCTAGGGGAAACCATTTTGGTGCCTGTCTATAGCTACTTATGGCCTCTCTCTCTTGTTTTTTGAGACGGAGTCTCGCTCTGTCACCCAGGCTGGAGTGCGGTGGCAAGATCTCTGCTCACTGCAAGCTCCGCCTCCCAGGTGCATGCCATTCTCCTGCCTCAGCCTCCCGAGTAGCTGGGACTACAGGCGCCCGTCACCATGCCCGGCTAATTTTTTTTTTTCTCTATTTTTAGTAGAGACAGGGTTTCACCATGTTAGCCAGGATCGTCTCGGTCTCCTGACTCGTGATCCACCCGCCTTGGCCTCCCAAAGTGCTGGGATTACAGGCGTGAGCCACCGCGCCTGGCTGGCCTCTCTTTTTTGAATGAGGTAAAAAAGAAGCTTGAGAGGCAAAACAACCAACAGCAAATAACCCTAGTGTATTCATTCATTCTCACACTGCCATAAAGAAATCCTGGAGACTGGGTAATTTATAAATAAAAGAGGTTTAAATGGCTCATGGTTCTGCAGGCTGTATAGGAAGTACAGTGGCGTCTGCTTGGTTTCTGGGGAGGCCTAGGGAAATTTACAATCATGGCGGAAGGCAAAGGAGGAGAAGGCACGTCTTACATGGTAGGAACAGAAGCAAGAAAGAGAGCCAGGAGGTGCTACACACTTTTACAAGAATTTACTCACCGTCACAACAGTACCAAGGGGGATGGTGTTAAACCAGTCAAGAGAAACCACCCCTATGATCCATCACCTCCCACCAGGCCCCATCTTCAACACTGGGAATTACAATAGAACATGGGATTTCGGTGGGGACACAGATCCAAGCCATATCACCTAGTAATCATCCTCACCTTCAGTTAAAGCAGCCTGTGTGTTTACTGAAGAAATTAGCTACTTGACACCAATCTTTTCAGCAATACTGCTGTCAGATAAGAGAATCATTGAGTAAAATGCCATTAATTGCAAATAATAAAACGTCATTCATTCAAATCACGTAATGAGAAGTTTGAATTCTGTCTCCAAAACCAACCCTTACTTTTGTTTATTTATTTTTACCTAGTACCCAGGGCATGATTCTGTCTATGCTGTCATAGGTCTTTAGATTTTAGTTGCCATTAGCAGGCATTTTCATTCAATTTATTTATTTATTTAGAGACAGAGTCTCACTCTGTTGCTCAGGCTGGAATGCCGTGGTGCAGTCATGGCTCACTGCAGCCTCAAACTACTGGCCTCAAGCAATCCTCCTGCCTCAGCCTCCCAAATCTGTGGAACTGCATGCATGTGCCACCACATCTGGCCCTGGAATATGATTTTATAAGAAAGCTGTCTCTCTATTAAAGTTTTATGCAAAGAGGAAAACTAAATCAGTGGACAGAGCTAAGAGTTAGACGACCCAGACTTTCCTCCCTCCGTTGCCTCTGTTTCTGTCTTTGCAAAATAAGGAAATTTGACTAGCTTATCTTTAAAACCTCTACTTGCTCATTCTATGATGGTGCCTTGAGATGGAGATTCAGTGAGAGATTCTTGTTTCAGTGCTTTTATATATTTAACAAATTTTCACCGAGTACCTATTACGTGTCAGGACCTGCTCTAGGAAATGTGGATACAACAATGGACAAAACGGACAAACCTATGTCCTCATGTAGTTTACATTCTAAGGCCTATAAAGTATTGTCTATTTGAACACATAAAATGTATTCTCCCAGTTTGGGCAGAAACAGGACTTCTGCAAGGCCTGGAGAAGTAAGGAAGACTGAAGCAAATGGAATCCATGGCACTTTCCAATTTTGTACTTTCTCTTTCTGTCTCTCCTTACTTTCATTTCTTGACCTACTCCTAGACCCATGCAGATACCAAATTTTACAAATTTTACTACCAGCAAATAGTTATCTATTATGCAGTTAAACTGTGCTATGTGTAGGGATGCAGAGCAAATCAAGACATAGCATATGCCTTCAAGAAGCCAATGATGTCCTTGTGAGAACAAAACTCACATATGTAAAAAAAAATTGCTAGTTCAAAATGTCAGAGGCTGAGAACCAGGAATATGGCCTGAACAGTTGTGTGCTCTATCAGGAGAGATTCACTAAAAGTTAGTAGACTTCAGGAATAATTTTCAGTGCACATAAAGCTTGAACTTAAGTAACATAGGTAGTTTTCAGATTTTAAAAGCAATTTTCAGTAAATACAAGTAGAGATATGGCCTGCAAAATAAGAGTAGGATATAGCAAGACACATTTCTTATTCTTCTGACAAGGTAGTACACAGTTCATCACTTTATTGACAAGATTTATTGATGTGACTATTGTGATGTCATCAACAATGGCTTTGAAGTTCAGAACATGAGAAAGAGCTAATGGTAGGGACTGACTTGAAAGCCTTTGCATTCTAAGAATGATGATTAGGTTTCTAATGTATTATTAAATAATGTCCAGCCCACAAAAAAGATGAAGTCTGCAAAGGTATACACAATAACTCTGTGCCTTGCTATGGTCCTATCTGATCTCAAACAAGAAGCTCTTTGGGTTGTGTTGCTGGTGGTTGGATGTGTTCTGAGCCATAGCTAGGCTTATGCACATAACAAAGTCTGATTCCCAGGAATCTTTTTAGGAAACACCTCCCAGATTAAGTAATATTTACCTACTTGTCCTCTTTGAACAGTGCTCCTACTGATTCTTTACCCTAATGAAGTTCATGTCCCAACCCACACCCTTTTCCTAAAACAATTAAGCTTTTAGTGGTGACATGATGAAAAAGAAAAAAAAAAAATAGATGCAATGGCTGACTTTTGGAAAGTTCCCAGCAAAAAAAAATCCCGGTGGCTTTCTGAGTCTCAGCATGTTTCTTCTTAGTTCTGTGTACACTGAGATAAAAGTAGAGTGGGAGACTGAGTTTACCACCTGTGCTAAAGCAGCAGCTGTTAGCATTGGTGACATTCATTGTTACATGGATATCAATTGAGCTGGGATTAGGAAGCCGCCTGTCTCCTCAAGCTTGTTACGATTCAGTCACTTGGAAAAAAACAAAAACAGACTTTCGGATGAGGATTCTAATGCCCAGGTGACCTGAAAGCCAGGTTCAGCGTAGTCAATGAGCAACATGAAATGAAATTTCCAATCAGAATTCTCATTAGCCTTATTCAGCACTACCCAGATGGATGTTCCTTTTGATGTCTTTGTCATAGCAGCCTCACCTATGCAAATATTGCCAGTATTACCCCTTATAGTAAGTTGAAGAACTTTTAAGGGTTGTGAACTTTACATAGGTAAGTGAATCAAGTATACTTGAAGAGCCTCTCTGTTGACATAAGTAATTAGATTATTGGACAAAGATCTGATCTAGTAATTTTCTTAGTATGTATGTGTGCCAAAGCCAAGAGAGGATATGTTATTAATTAGCAAGCAAAATTTCTAACGTAGGGGTTTTCCCACATCTTAAGTAAAATTCTCGAAACCTGGAACTATGGCTGGCTCTCTGGAGGTGTTTCATAAATGCTTGCTGAATTAATGAATGTATCCACAGGCATCTTTTAAGTGGCTACAATGACATTAAGAAGAAATAAGGTCACAGAGTGTAGTTGCCGCCTCAGGCTCTGGGAAGGATGGGTCTGGAAACAACCCCACAGTAGACCATACACATTGTTTTTGAGACTTTCAGCTCATCCATTTGGTTACTGATTACAAGACGGTTTTTTTTTTTCGTCTCAAAAAATGCTTTATTTCTCAGAATCCCATTTCAGCATTATTGGTTTTTCCCTCACCAATTCTATTTTCAGCTTTCTGCCTTTTCTCATAATGACCTGTAGGTGATAAATTAGTAATAATAAAAATCAATAAAAAATGATAAAGTTTTTTTTGGGGGGGAAATAGGAATGAGTTTCATGTTAAGAAAAGAAGGAACGTTCCAGATGGAATTTTCTGTAATGTTAAATGTACCCATATGGCTTCTGGGAAATTTAGGGGCATCCTTTTGTATTAGGGTAACCTAATGCCACCTGCTTTAAAAATTCATATTAGGAAATAGCCACATTTTGACCTTCTTGAACGATGTTCCTTTATCAATCAAAAATATAAAGGGTGTTTTATTTATTAGTCATTGTTGAAATCCGTAATCTCTTTCTATCGCCAAATTGTCTTAAAACGTCTGTCCAGCACATCATTGCAACCTTGACTGTCCCTTCCACTGTGTGTTGAAGAGTCACAGGTCCCAGGGGGAGCTGCGAAGAAACGTAAACCAAATACCATTTCAGTAACTGTTAAGGGACAATTGTGACGATTTTGTAATGCTTGGCATGTTTTGCTTATAATCTTGTCCTACAAAGAAGCCTATCAGCAGAGATGAGAGATTTTTGCTATGCAAAGATTAGATTAATATTGATATTTGCAGAACTGGGTTCAACCTGTGGGAGACCTAGTCGCAGGTCTTGTAGAATTTATAGCATATTAAGAAGATATTTAAATATTTGGCTTCAGTGTGATGGCCTCATTTCTACATACCTTTCTAATATGTGCCAACTCTCTCTTCTTCATTTCACTTGTCCGCTGAAAGATGAGTCATCAAGTCTGGTTGAACCTATCTAATATCTCTTGAATCAGTATGTCTCTGCATCTGTATTGCCATCACCCTAGTTCTGGCCATCCTCACTGACCACCTGACTTTCTGCCTAAATGGTCTCCTACTTTCTGGTCTTGTATACTTTCAACCCTTTCTCTGCAATCAGAGTGATATTGCTTCCAATGTTGTACAGACAATTCTTACAAGGTCCTGCAGCTTTTCTTTCAGTCTTTCTTTCTTTTTTTTTTTTTTTTTTTGAAATGGAGTCTCACTCTGTCACCCAGGTTGGAGTGCAGTGGCGCGATCTCAGCTCACTGCAACCTCTGCCTCCCAGGTTTAAACGATTTTCGTTCCTCAGCCTTCCAATAACTGGGGTTACAGGTGCATGCCACCATGCCCAGCCAATTTTTGTATTTTTAGTAGAAAGAGGGTTTCACCATGTTGGCCAAACTGGTCTCAAACTCCTGACTTCAAGTGATCTGTCCACCTTGGCCTCCCAAAGTGCTGGGATTACAGGCGTGAGCCACTACACCCAGCTCTTTCAGTCTTACTGTTCGTCATTTTTTTCCCTCCCCTTTCTGCACCCTCTTCACTCTGCTTTCCCATTCTCTATGCCTGGGCTACATCTTAAAAGACGCCATGTTCTCCTGGGGTCTCTGGTGTCCCTGATTCTGGAAATGCTTTCCTGTCTCTTCTCTCTAACCCATTTCACTTAGATAAGTCCTATTTATCCTTGAGATTTCTCATAGGTGGCAGTCTTTTTCCCATAAGACTTTTCCTGTTCTAGACCTGGTGGCTCACACCTGTGATCCTAGCACTTTGGGAGGCACAGCCAGGGCGAATGAACCCAGGTGTTTGATACCAACCTGGGCAACATAGTGAGACTCCATCTCTACAAAAAATAAACAACCAGGCGTGGTGATGAGCACCTGTAGTCCAGGCATGGTGGTGAGCACCTTTAGTCCCAGCTACTCAGGAGCCTGAGGTGGGAGGATTGCTTGAGCCTGGGAGGTCAAGACTTCAGTGAGCCGTGATCATGCCACTGCATTCCAGCCTGGGCAACAGAGCGAGACCCTGTCTTAAAAAAAAAAAAAAAAAGAAGAAGAAGAAGAAAAGAAAAACTTTCCCTGATATATTTAGGTTGAGACTAGACACCCTCTTATCTGCTCCCACAATGCCCACGTCCTCCATCACTGTACTGACCATACTCTGGTAATTGGCTGTTTATCTGTCCAATGCCTTCCCTAGACCAGAAGCTCCTAAAGGACAGAGCCTGTATTCCCATTCGTAGTACCAGCGTTCAGCACAGTAGCTGGACCTGACTAAGCACCAAGTAAATATTTGTTGAATTAAGAAAATTAAAAAAAAAGTGAGAAGTCAACAGTCTCTTAATCAATTGTAAAGAAACACTTTACTAGGATGTTCTGACAGCTACTCCAAAGTATCAAATATTTTAAGTGAAATTGTGATGTCTGGTGACATTTTTTCAATATTTTAGATTTCTTACACACAACTTATTTTATTTTCATCCACTGAAGCTCTCAAGCATCTTGTTAAAATAAAATAAATTAGCTTGGTTTCTGTATGTGTGTGTGTGTCCTTTTTTGGGGGGAGGGGGGCTGGTGGCAGGACAGGGTCTCACTTTGTTGCCCAGGCTGGAGTGCAGTGGCAGGATCATGGCTCACTGCAGCCTCTACCTCCTGGGCTCAAGTAATCCTCCCACCTCAGCCTCCCTAATAGCTGGGATTACAGGCATGCACCACCATGCTCAGGTAGGGTTTTTTAAATTTTTCATAGAGACAGGTTCTTGTCATGTTGCCCAGTCTGGAATATATATATTTTTTTGACTTTTATTTTAGGTTCAGTGATACAAGTGCTGGTTTGTTATATAGATAAACTCATGTCACGGGGATCTGTTGTGCAGATTGTTTTGTCACTCAGGTACTAAGCCCAGTACCCAATACTTACTTTTTCTTTTCCTCTCTCCACCCTGACCCTCCACGCCCAGATAGACACCAGGGTCTGCTGTTCTTGTCCTTGTGTCCATGTGTTCTCATCATGTAGCTCCCACTTAAAAGTGAGAATATGTGGTATTTGGTTTTCCATTCCTGTGCTAGTTCACTGAGAATGATGGCCTCTAACTCCATCCATGTTCCTAGAAAGGACATGATCTCGTTCTTTTTTATGGCTGCATAGTATTCCATGCTGTATATGTACCATATTTTCTTTATCCAGTCCACCACTGATGGGCATTTAGGTTGATTCCTATATATTTTTTAATTGACAAAAATAATAACCCACAGAATCACTAAGTAGGGGAAAGATCAGCTGCTGATATTTTGGATGTACTTTTCTCGAGTCCAAAGGATAATTCAGTCAACTTAAAATAGTTATTTAAAAATGTGAACAGAATTTGTGGATGTTGAGACAGATTCACAGATCCTTAGGAAATATTAAAACTTTTGAAAAATGGCCACAGGCTCTGAAGGAAAAGAGCAGTTGGGCACTTAATGCCACAAGTTACTCTTATAAATCATTATGCTAATGATAGAACTGAGGTGGTTCATTTGGGAAAAAAATTGAAATAACATTTAGGAAAAGCTGAGAGGCTGGCGATCACCATTATGAAGAGAGCAGCCTGCACTATGATTAGATGCCACCAATAAGGGGACCATATATAACTGAAGGATGACTTTAGGAGTCATTGTAAACCTGTCTTCTGACAGCAGCTTGAGACAGGAATTGCATTCTTCCTCTAAATCCTTTTAATTTAGTAAAGCCCTTTATTGAAACATTTACAAGCAAATGTAAACTTTTAAGGATTCTTACATCCCATAAAAGCAGTAATTTTGGCATATAGCTCATCAACATGAAATGAGTAAAAACATGGGAAGGCAGTACTTTTTGAATGTTGTATGCCATTTGGCAAATCTACATGTTCCTCCCTTTTTTCGCATCTCCATGTTCCTCCTAAATGAAGGAGTTGTTGTTGATGTTGGTTTACTTTAATATGTCCAATTATACCATTATCATCTATTTATCAAAATAGTGCCATTTAATTGCCTTTTGCTTTAAGCTGTATTTTATATGAAAGATTCCTAGTGTTATTTCTGTCCTTTGGAATATTATCCAGCAGAGGGAATTTTAGGATCTACTTGATAATACAGATTTGCTAATTTCCACGTTAGTACTTCAGTGTTGTTTAGTTACACAGTTTCGGGCCTCATGATGTGTTTGATGATTTGGGAGTGATAAAATGAGTCTTAAGTAAAAATCTTTTAATTAAAACAAACAAAGGATCAGTTTTTATGGGAAACCAGTCAGTCAGCAAGTACATGTGTTTTAAGTCCAGAAGGATGCTCAAGTGGAGGGGTAGAGAGAGAGAGCCCTTGGGATCCAGGGATTGTAGAGTAACTGCTCCCATTATGCCAGGCCTAGCAGGGCTGTCCCACTGTCTCTGCCCTCACACTGACCACTTCATTACTGGTTGTTTTTACTGAGCATCTTTTCAGAGATTTCTGAGAACATGGTAATTTTCCCAGACCATACACCTGAGAGATCAGGTACTATGTTGCCTTTAAAAACAACAACAACAACAACAAAAACCTTTATATTTTTCCTCTTTTTATGGTGAAATATGGCATACTTTATTATTTGGAGAAAGACAGAAAACATGGTTTTTTTCTCCCACAGGCCACAAAATACCATCTTCCTCTTACAGGGAATGAGACTTTTGTATAAAGAGGCACAATTTCCTGTCCCACTAGGAGAAAATTATTCTCTTGTCTGAGTCTCAACAGAAGCTTGTGTTAGTTGCTGTTATAAATTAAACTACTACTCAACCCAGCAGTCCCATTACTGGGTATATATCCAAAGGAATATAACTGTTCTACCATAAAAACACACGCATGCTTATGTTCATTGCAGCACTGTTCACAATCTAAAAGACATGAAATCAACCTAAATGCCCATCAACAGTAAACAGGATAAAGAAAATGTGGTACATATATACCATGGAATACTATGCAGCCATAAAAAGAACAAATTTATGTCCTTTACAGGAACATGGATGGAGCTGGAGGCCATTATCCTTAGCAAACTAATGCAGGAACAGAAAACCAAATACTGCATGTTCTCACTTACAAATGGGAGCTAAATGACGAGAATACATGGACACATAGAGGCAAACAAGAGACACTGGGGCCTATTGAGGGTGGAGGGTGGGAGGAGGGAGAGGATCAGAAAAAATAACTGTTGGGTACTAGGCTTAGTACCTGGATGATGAAGTGGTCTGTACAACAAACCCCCATGGCACAAGTTTACCTATATAACAAACCTGCACATGTACCCATGAACCTAAAATAAAAGTTTAAATAAATAAATAAACTTGGTCTCCAGTGTTAAATATGATATGTCATCATCCTCATTTCCTTCATCCAGCTATTTTATATTCCTCCCATCTGCTCTGTCCTAATATTTATATTCTGTAGGCCTTATCGTGCATCTCTTATTCCTTCTAAATATGTTTTACTCTGCCTGGTTCCTCCACTCTTTTGGCTCTTGTTTTCCTACTTCCTTTAATGTAACAGTAACACAGTGAGCACTTAATAGCAGTCTAGAATAAACTCTGTGTTCCTGCTTTAATCTATATCTGGTCTTTATCTCTCACCTTTATCTTTACCTCTGTCACTGTGTGGACTTACACTGAAAACAGAACTATACCATGCCCCCATCTCCATGCTGAGTAGCTGGTTTATAAATCAGGAGAGACAATGCTCTTTAGATATTCTTAAATTTGTTATAATTCTTTCCTGTTATCCAGCTCCTCAACCTCCCTTCCCAGCTCTGTCTACCACTTTGTATCACTTAAGCCACGTTTTATCTACGTCTTCTCTGTCACTAACCTTTAGTCCCTTGAAACAGGCACAACCAAACAGGACTGACATTTTGCAAGTCCCTTGAGATTTTGCCTAATCCTTCACAGCAACCTACAAAGTCAATCTGGGGCTGGTGGAAATTCTCCTCTTTCAGCCTTTTCCTTCTTTTGGAATTTGGGGGTGTTTTCACAGAGTGATTTACCAAGAAAACATTCTAAATCCTCAAGGATCACTTATCCCTTACCTCGTGGTTGTTTGCTCGAGACCAAGCACAACTGGACATTTTTGAACTTACGTCTTTCTCCCTACCCTCTTTGTTCTCCTTCTCCCCCTTCATAAAATCTGACTTCAGTTTGGCCTTCAAGTGAGATTGACTTTTAGCCCCTTCCATTTGGCAAATCCTTCAACAAAAAAACAGAAGTGTCATTTTTACGGGGTGACAAAGCATTAAGAAGATCGCTTTTTCAGCCTTGCTGTGCTTCATTATAGGTAAGTCCTCATGTGGCACCTTTTACAAGAGGAAGTATTGTCATGCTAACAAAATGGTTTCAGATAGTATGAAATCAGTGGTGAGAAGAATGGCTATAAGGAATGGGCTCTACAATTACTGTCACTCTCAGCAAAAGAGAACGCAAGGAATGCATATTTCATCTCATGGCGACCTGAGGATCGTCCTCAATTCCATATGTAATACTTTCTAAATAATGGTGACCTTTTTCACGTCCCCTTCCTGTATATACAAAGTACTATGTGGATAATGCAGCCTGAGTGAGCTTATGAGCTAATGCAGGGATTTTTATTATTAACAATAATCATAGTGAACAACAGTTTATTCATGTAAGATCAAGCAACTAGTAAGTGGTAGAACCAGGACTGGGTCATAGGGTAGGTACATGTGTACCACTTTTAAATATTGCCAAACTACTTTGCAAAGTATTGAATTATTTTACATTCCCAACAGCAGTGTCTGGGAATTACAATAATCCTTATCATGCAATGACTGGCGTATTCATTCTTTTTAATTTTTGACATTCTAATCTGTGTGTAGTGCCATCTCATTGTAGTTTGAATTTGCATTTCGCTAGTGACTAATGATATTGAGCATCTTTTCATGAGCTTATTTGCATATGTATGTCTTCTTTGCTAAAGTGTCTATGCAAATCTTTTGCCCATTTATTAGGTTGTTTGTTTTCTTATATTGAGTTATAACTTTTTTTTTTTTTACATATTCTGCAAACATTTTTAACCAGATATGTAGTTTACAAGTGTGTTTTCCCAGTCTGTTTCTTACCTTTACATTCCCTTACCAGTATCTTTTGCAGGAAAGATGTTAAATCTGTTGAAGTGTAGTTTATCAAGTTTTTTCTTTGGATTGTGCTTTTGGTCTTGTAGCTAAGAAAACTTTGCCCAAACAAGATAACAAGGATTTTCTCCTATTTTTTTCTAGGCATGTTATGGTTTTAGGTTTTACCTTTATGTCTATGATCCATTTTACATTAATTTTTATATATGGTGCAAGTTATGGATCAAAGTTTAGTTACATGTGGATATCCAAGCATCCTAAGCATCTTTTGCCCAAAAGATAATCTTTTTTATACTGAGTTACCTTTGCTGCTTTGTTAAAAATAAATTGACTATGTGTAAGTCTATTTCTGGTATCTCTATTCTGTTCTATTGATCTATATATACTTATCCTTAAACCAGTAACACGCTGTCATCATGACTTTAGCTTTATAATAAATCTTGAAGTCTGGTAAATTAAGTCCCCCAATGTTTTTCTTTTTAGACATTTTTTTTGGCTACTGCAGGTTCTGTGTATTTTCAGAGGACTTTTAAAATCAACCTGTCAATTTCTAATACCAAAATAAAGTTCTTTAGAATTTTGATTGGGATTCTCACGAATGTGAAGATCAACTTGGAGAAAGCTAACAACTTAATATTGAGTCTTATCTCTCAACTTATTTTGGTTCTTTAAAACTTCTTTCAACAATTGTTTTTCACATAGAGATCTTGTATATATTTTGTCAGAGTTCGCCCAAATGGTACATTTATTTATCTATTTATTTAGAGATGGAGTTTTGTTCTTGTTGCCCAGGCTGGAATGCAATAGCACAATCTCAGCTCACTGCAACCTCCACCTCCCAGGCTGAAGCGATTCTCCTGCCTCAGCCTCCCAAGTAGCTGGGATTACAGGTGCCAGCCACCACACCCGGTTCATTTTGTATTTTTAATAGCAATGGGGTTTCACTATGTTGGTTAGGCTAGTGTTGAACTCCTGACCTCAGGTGGTCCACCTCCCTCGGCCTCCCAAAGTACTGGGATTACAGGCATGAGCCACTGTGCCTGGCCCAAATAGTACATATTTTTGATGCTATTATTAATGACATTGTTTTATTAATTTATATTTCAAGTTGTTTATTTCTATTACAGAGCTTTCTCTACTATGCTGACATCCATCTGAGGTCTCTTCTCAACAGAATTGCCTTTAATGTCCACATTTCTACCAAGCTTCTCTTCAAGGAAATCTATATTTTTTCTATTACTCACCTTAAAATTCTTGTAGCCTCTATCCATTTCCCAATTCCGAAGCCATTTCTACATCTTTAGGTGTTTGTTAGAGGAGTACCCCACTTTCTCGCATCAAAGTCTGTATCAGTCAGTGTTTGACAGAGAACAGAACCAATAGGAGATGGATAAATAGGTAGGTAGGCAGATTAGTAGGTAGATAGATAGATAGGTAGATAGATACATAGATAGATAATCTATAGATATCTAATGCCTGGAAAGCTAATTTTTCTATATATTTTCTCTATTATTTTAGTTGTTTCAGATAGAAGGACAAATTGGATCCCTGTTACTCTATCTTGACCAGAGTGAAAATCTGATTAACTTTTAATCCTCAGTCTCCTCATTTGTAAAATGAAAATAATAATAAAATCTATTTCATGAGGTTATTGGGATGTTAGTTTTGTTAATATGTATAAAAACTTGGTGCCTTGTACATAATAAATACTCAATAAATGTATTTAAATTTTGAACAACATATTTGACATATTGTGATTTCCAAGTATCTATACTCTTTTATGTTTGTTAATGTTATATATGGAGGCAATCTGACTTAACATCAAAAAAAAAAAAAAGACCATTCATAAGATGTAGTCAGTACCAGTAAATGAGAGCACATTTTCCTCTAATTGGGTGTGTGGATATTGGTTTTCACCCTACTTGGAGTTTCTGACTATTTGTCCTAGTGACCATCACTATATTCATTTATAATATTATTAAAATCAATGGATGAGTCATTGGTTACCATGTGTATTCCGGTTCTGAAACACACCCTCCTCTTCCCCAGCCAGCACTCACCTCAGTGATACCCAGTCTATTGCAGGTTTTTTATGCATTTTCTAAATTACATGAAAGCAAGTTGACATTCTTTCTTTGTCTTAGTCTTCCATACCATTATTTTGGCATGTTTAAAGTATCATCCATCTGATTATGTTTGGAAATAAAAGCATGAATTTGTTAAAGACATGTACCTTCCAAACTGCACACTTATTGTGTTTTCACTTTCTTATCATTGTCCCTTCATTAGAGAAAAAAATCTATTCTGTGAAGTATTTGGTTTTTTATGCAGTCTGCTCTGCTCTAATATACACAAACACCTGATTCTGCAATGAGAATTAGTTGGTATGTGATTGTTGAGCAGGGAAATAGTACTATTTCACAGAATTTCCTTTAGTTTATATATGGATTTTTCTTGGCTGAAGAAGCCAGATTACTGGAGTAAAATTATAATCTCCAGCAAAAATAAAAAAAGAAAAGTCCACAGCTCAGCCCCTCCTCTAAAGAGTTGTACAGCGCAGCCTTCCACGGCTCATAGCTTACAGCAGGTCTCCCTTCCCTGCCACCACCCTCACAGCAACCCCACTGGCTGAGCACTCTGTTTTTATTTATTGTCTGAGCACTCATCAGTGCAGCTCTGTTTAACATGTTACCTGTATTTCCACCCAAATTTTTTTTTTTTTTTTTTAAGACCAGGTCTCACTCTGTTACCCAGGCTGGAGTGCAATGGTGCAATCTTGGCTCACTGCAACCCCTGCCTCCCAGGTTCGAGCGATTTTCCTGCCTCAGCCTCCCGAGTAGCTGGGATTACAAGTGCCCGCCATTATGCCCATCTGATCTTTGTATTTTTGGTAGAGACAGGGTTTTGCCATGTTGGTCAGGCTGGTCTTGAACCCCTGACCTCAGATGGTCCACCCACCTCAGCCTTCCAAAGTGCTGGGATTAATTACAGGTGTGAGACACTGCACCCAGCCTCTAATATTTTTTAGAACATCCATTGTGGTAGCCTCCTGCCATGCTGAACAGTTGGCCTGGGTGGTGCAAGTTATCTCCCAATTATTGGGAGGTATCAATTATCATTTTTGTTTGGACTTTACAAAGTTTTATAGGTTCTAAGTGATATATCCCTTCTGCAGTTTTTCTCATAAGTTCTGTTTATACAGTATGTGATTTTGCAGAATATGAGTTTTTTGAGATTATATATATTGCAATATCATAGAAACCTTTTTGTTTGATAATCTTTGCTTAAAATAACCTCATTTATTTTGTACGAATGTACAAAAATAAAACAATGTAGTACTTATTGGCTGTTTTTGTGGACTGAGGTAGAGATGTCAAGAAGTTCAAGCCAAAAAAACTGAAAATAGTTAACAGAAACAGGCAAATCTCATATATCTTGCCCTGATTATTTTTTCATTAGAGTCCCTCCTATTGAGGAAGGTTCATTAGCATGTGATGAAACACATTGAGGGGGATTAATTAGGAAATATAAAAGAGTCTCAAACTTCTGATATAAGGTAAAACACGTTAATTTTATGTGTCTTTAAAAATGTAATTAGAACCTTCTGTTTGTCTTTTCTGAGACACGTATTTAAAATTTCCCTCGACTCAACTGATAATCTGTGATTTTGATTTTCATCCCAAAGTGACTTTTAAAAAAGTTTTGGGGTTAGGGGGATGTGGTGGCTCACGCCTGTAATCCTAGGACTTTGGGAGGCCAAGGCGGGGCAGAGGGCGGCAGATCACCTGAGGTCAGGAGTTCGAGGCCAGCGTGGCCAATATTACAAAACCCCTTCTCTACTAAAAATACAAAAACTAGCCAGGTGTGGTGGCAAGTGCCTGTAATCCCAGCTACTTGGGAGGCTGAGGTAGGAGAATCACTTGAACCCCAGGGCAAAGGTATTAGTCAGCAGAGATTGCTCCACTGCACTCCAGCCTGTGCAACAGAGAGAGACTTTGTCTCAAAAGAAAAGTTTTGGGTGAAAAGTAGAAAAAAAGTCATAACTTTGTGTAGAGACTTTTCCCTCCTGTAATTCTTTTTATTATCAAATATCAGGTATTATAGGGTATAAGCCAGTGTTCTTTTTTATGATTTCCAGAAGTGTTAAATTTTCCATGTCTTCTGCATTTGAAAGTAATAGGTTTGGAAAGAGAAAAGCTGTTCATTCTTCAAGTACATGTAAGTTTAAGTACCTTGCAGACTTTGTTTTGCAGGAAGCTTCCTTGCCTTCTCCCCATATCACCTCTCTGCACCTCTTCACACCCATGAGGGTCTTTATAGCAGTGCAGTCCATAAATTGTTTTGAGGTACCAATACCAGTTTCTTGGATATTTTCTTACTTAGGAACATAAATACTTAGGCTGCCATTGCGTTAATAAGGAAATGCTGGATAGTCAGAATCCTACATTAACCCGAGCCTAAAATCTGTAGTATCGCTTCAAATATCTATGTAGAAAGCATAGTTTATTAAACTAAACATCTCCTGTAATCCCAGCACTTTGGGAGGCCAATGTGGGTGAATCACTTGAGGTCAGGAGTTTGAGACCAGCCTGGCCAACGTGGCAAACTCTGTCTCTACCAAAAATACAAAAATTAGCCAGGTGTGGTGGTGCAACCCTATAGTCTGAGCTACTTGGGAGGCTGATCACTTAATTTAAAACTTAAAAGACCTAATATCCAGAATCTATAAGGCACTTAAACAGATTCACAAGCAACAAACAAACCCATTACAAACTGGGCAAACGACACGAACAGACACTTTTCAAGAGAAGATATACACATGGCCAATAAGCATATGGAAAATTACCCAATATCACTGATCATCAGAGAGATGCAAATCAAATCCACAATGAGATACCATTTCACGCCAGTCAGAATGGTTATTATTAAAAGGTCAAAAAATAACAGATGCTGACAGAGTAAAGGGAACGCTCATACACTGCTGGTGGGACTGTAAATCAGTTCAGCCGTTCTGGAAAGCAGCATGGCGATTCCTCAAAGAACTTAAAATAGAATTATCATCCAATCCAGCAATCCCATTACTGGGTATGTACACAAAGGAATACAAATTGTTCTATCATGAAGACACCTGTACACATATGTTCATCATAGATAGCACTGTCCGCAATAGCAAAGATATGGAATCAGCCTAAATGCCCATCAACAGTAGATTGAATAAAGAAAATGTGGTACATATACACCATGGAATACTATGCAGCCATAAAAATGAATGGGATCATGTCCTTTGCAGGAACATGGATGGAGCTGGAGGCCATTATCCTAAGCGGACTAACACAGGAACAGAAGAGTAAATACTGCATATTCTCACTCATAAGTGGGAACTAAACAATGAGAACCTATGGATACATGGAGGGGAACGACAGACACTGGGGCCTACTTGAGGGTGGAGGGTGGGAGGAGGGAGAAGATCAGAAAATATACCTATAGGGTACTATGCTTATTACCTGGGCGATGAAATAACCTGTACACCAAAGCCCCATGACACGCAGCTTACCAATATAACAAACCAGCACATGTACCCCTGAACCTAAAATACAAGTTAAAAAATAAATACATAAAAATTTAAAAATAAAAAATAAAACTGCAAACGTGCCCTGCTTTCTGGCAGTACCCCATTCCCTGTTCCTTAGTTTTCTCTCTGGCACTTATCATTTATCTATTTTATTCATTGTCTGTCTCCCTTCACTAGAGGTTCATGAGGGCAAGGATTTTCATGTTCTGTCCACTGCTATGTCCCTAACACTTAAAAAAAGGCTTTGCATTCTATAGTCATTCGATGAAATAGGCTGAATTTAGCTAAAAGGGAGTTCATGTCCTTTGAAGAAACATGGATGGAGCTGGAGGCCATTATCCTTAGCAAATGAACACAGGAACAGAAAACAAAATACCACATGCCCTCACTTATCAGTGGGAGCTAAACAAAGAAAACACATGGACACAAAGAGAAGAACAACAGACACTGGGGTCTGCTGAGGGCAGAAGGTGGGAGGAGGGAGAAGATCAGAAAAACTACCTATCAGGTACTATGCTTCATACCTGGGTTACAAAATAATCTGTACGTCAAATGCCTGTGACACAAGGGTACCTGTATAACAAACCTGCATATGTACCCCTGAACCTAAAATAAAAGTTGTTTGTTTGGTTTTTTTGTTTGTTTGTTTGTTTTGAGACAGAGTCTTGTTCTTGTTGCCCAGGCTGGAGTGCAGTGGCGCGATCTTGGTTCACTGCAACCTCTGCCTCCTTGGTTCAAGCAATTCTCCCTGCCTCAGTCACCCGAGTACCTGGGACAACAGGCGCCTACCACAACGCCAGGCTAATTTTTGTATTTTTTAGTACAGATGGGGTTTTGCCATGTTGGCCAGGCTTGTCTCAAACTCCTAACCTGAGGTGATCTGCCCACCTCGGCCTCCCGAAGTGCTGGGATTACAGTTGTGAGCCACCACGCCTGGCCTAAAAGTTTTTTTAAAAAGAGAAAACACTTTCCTTACCCTTTGTAGCTCATTGTCTATCTAACACACCCTGTCACTCTCATCAGCCTTGAACTTCTTACAAAGCCATTCAATAAAATGAAAGGAAATAGGTGCAGTGGGCCCCCTCTGATTCGTGGCTTTGATTTCTTTGGTTTCATTTATCCACAGTCTAAAAATATTAAATGGAAAATTTAAAAAAAAAACAATTCATAAGTGTTAAATTGCATGCCATTCTGAGTAGCGTGATGAAATCTTGCCCTGTCCCACTCTGTCCCATGCGGGACATGAATTCTTCCCCTTTGTCCAGCAGTTCCTCACTGTCTATGCCTCCGACCTGTTAGTCACTCAGTAGCCCTCTCAGTTATTAGATCGACCATGGCAGTATGGGGGTGCTTGTGTTGAAGTCACCCTTATTTTACTTCCTAATGGCCTCAAAGCACAGGAGTAGCAATGCTGGAGATTTGGAGCTGCCAAAGAGAAGCCCTAAAGTGCTTCCTTTGAGTGAAAACTCTTAATAAGGAAAGAAAAACATTGAATGCTGAAGTTGTTAGATCTTCTATCTGTTGAACTGTGAAGAAGAAAAAAGATATTTGTGCATAGTATATAAAGGGTTTCGTACTACCCACGGTTTCAGGCATCCACTGGGTGTCATGGAATGTATCCCCTGAGGATAAGGGGGGATTACTCTATGTATTTTCGTATCCTTACATCACTTACATTATTTTTCCTCAGCCTTGTTGAGGAAAATAAAAACACAGAAGCCAAGAAAGAAATGAGCAAGCACTGGCCGGGCACAGTGGCTCACACCTGTAATCCCAGCACTTTGGGAGGCCAAGACGGGTGGATCACCCAAGGTCAGGAGTTCAAGACCAGCCTGGGCAAGATGGTGAAACGCCGTCTCTACTAAAAATATAAAAATTAGCCAGGCACAGTGGCAGGTGCCTGTAATCGCAGCTACTTGGGAAGCTGAGGCAGAGAATTGCTTGAACCTGGAAGGCAGAAAAGTTGCAGTGAGCCGAGATCATGCCACTGCACTCCAGCCTGGGCGACAGAGCGACACTCTGTCTCAAAAAAAAAAAAAAAAAAAAGAAAGAAAAAAGAAATGAGCAAGCACTGAACACCTACTGTGTGCAAGGCACTTGATAGCCTTCCTGTTATTTCTTCCTCACTACAATCCCATGAAGTAGTTCTTATCCCCATTTTACAAGATACAAAAATTGACTCTCAAAAAGCTTAAGAAATTTGCTTCTAGTTGCACAGTCTTATAGATTTTCACTTTTATAAGATAAAAGAGCTTATTCAAATCCAAGTCTGTTTGAACCTGACAAGGAAAGCCTTCTCTAAATAGAGTATCTGAATCCCTCCCTGCTCGAAAGTCTCCTTTATACGCTCATGTTTCAAAAATTTCACATTTTTTGAGATATAGATAGTACCCACCCACATCACCTCTGTTTTTATGGAAAATTTACACTTAAGTGGCAATTATTTTAATCAGATCGACATCCTAGAGAGTGAGAGTTCATTGAGGAAAGAAGGAAGGTACATTTTTGGATCATAATGAGGAGAGATCTTGATATTTTTGAAATTTGTTTTGTCTTCCCATGGTACAAAGTTTTAAAAGTACAAAAATATGAACAGTAAATTCTCCCTTCTCTCCCATCCCTGTCTCTAGCCACCCACTCCTCTTCTGAGGCAAGAGCAGATTCTGTTGCCACCTTCCCAAGCAGGTAGTGCCTTTAAAAAACAAAAAACAAATGTTCACCTACTATATGCATTACCATGCACCTTACACTTTTCATTTAATAAATATACCCCAGCAATGGTGATAGCAGATTTTGGACCAGCAGTGGGGATAAAGAAGGTCCTGGTCACCTAGGTGCCTAAAGAGAAGCAGATGAAGAGAGAAGACCCTGGAGAAATGTTTTCCTGTTTTGCACCTGCAGGTGCTTGACATGCCTCTGAAAATGATCTCAGTGCTGTGCAGTTCCACAGCTGCAGTGGTACCCACAATGCCAAAACTTGGGATGCAAAGGGGCGGGGGTAATGACAAAAATCAGGGAAGGAGGAACCATAGCAACCACCTGATCTGCACACTCATGTATTTTATATACCTCTCTTCAATGCCTAGTGTCCTTAGACAGTAAGCTCCCTGAAGACACAGGCTATGCCTACTTTATTCATCATCGTGTCTTCAGTGCCTAGCACCCTGCTTGGTATGCATTCGGTTCATGAATATATGAGGGAACCTGCTGCTGCTGTTCAGCATTCACACCTCCATTTCAACCCCATCAGAACCTTTTTCATGCTTCCTCTTTTGTAGTGTCTCAGAAACTCATTCTGTTTTCTTCTTCATCTTTTTTTTTTTTTTTTTTTAATGGAGTCTTGCTCTGTGGCCTAGGCTGGGGTGCAGTGGCATGATCTCAGCTCAGTGCAACCTCCACCTCCTGAGTTCAAGCAATTCTCCTGCCTCAGCCTCCCTAGTAACTGGGGCTACAGGCTTGCACCACCACACCCAGCTAATTTTTATACTTTTAGTAGAGACAGGGTTTCACCATGGTGGCCAGGCTTGTCTTGAACTCCTAATGTCAAGTGATCCACCTGCCTTGGCCTTCCAAAGTGCTGGGATTACAGATGTGAGCCACTGTGCCCAGCCTTCATCTTCATCTTAAAACTTCTTCCATGTTCGCTGTGGCTGGGGACATGATATTCCTCTTTCCCTCCCAGTTGCTCCTAAGGATGAGCAAAAAGCTCTTTTCACGTCAGGGGTTGTACCGCCAATCACTAAAAGGAACAGTTGAAATATCAAACATGGAGAAATTGCAGTGATTACAAAGGAATGCAATGGGGCACCATACAGATCTGAATTTGCCAGTTTGCCATATCCAGGCTGTCCCTGTTGCCTCTGGTCCACCTTAAGCTAGGTGCAAACCCAGTTGGAGGAAAGAAAGGAAGTTATGTGTTCTCTCTTCAAGGAAGAAACCAGATACCAGCCTCAAACTCTTGTTCTTAGGTCACTTCTTTCCTTGGTCCATTTCACTCCTCACTCTCCATTCAATTAAAGGACTTGCAGATTAGGTTATTTGCAAGTATTTCTGTAATTTATTCTCCTACTCCCATTTGAAGCCACCAAGCCTGTTTAATATTAAATAAGCAAATGCTTCAAGTACTATGGTGACTTCTTCTGTGCCTTTGCAACTAAAGCCTTCCAACAGCAGAGGGGAGAAATTTATATCTGTTATATACATAGATGAGTAATTTGGGAATATAAAACAAATATCCTTCTTAGAAATATTTAAACACAGATGCTTGATTTTGTCTGATCTTTCTCTCTCTTTTTTTTCTCTCCAAACAACTGGTTACCCACACTTGTACAGTCATGTAGAGACAAAATGCTCATTTATAATTCCAGATACCCCATGTAATTATTGCCTATGATAATCAGGTAATCTTTATGAAACTATTCCTATACAATTTTCAAATCTCAGTTTACAATCATGAGTATTTTACCATAATCTTCATAATGCCCTCTTGAATATATTTGCTTAATATCATTTTGAATTTAGTGATATTTAAGTTAACATATTTTATATGTTTTCATTTCATTAGTAGGCTTTTAAAAATTTACTTTTTTGTGAGAATCTGATTTTTGTGAGACTCTGTGAACAAATATCCTCACTAATTCTTTCTAATGGTATAATGTGAATTTGTCATTGACAAGTGTTACAAAAAAGACGCATAGAAAATAAAATATTTTAGGTAATCCTAAGATAGCTCTTCCGCAGCCAGGGCAATTGGGCTATGTGTCTTTGGGTTGATTGTTAGCTCTGTCCTAAATCTCTGAATTTGGAGAAGGAAACCCTGGATTTGAATTCCAGTTCCTCAACTTACTGGCTCCATGTTCATTCCTTCTTTGTCAAGCCCCCTAACTTCCCTAAACTTCAGTGCCCTCATCTTAAATATAATGACATAATAGTGTCTCTCATAAGATTGGTAGAATTACATGGGATAATTCATCTTGCATGGTCAGGGGCACGGTCTCGGGAACCAGACTGTGTGGGTTTGAGCTGCTCAGTCTTGGACAAAAGATTAAATATATCTATGCCTTTGTTTTATCATCTATAAAATGGGAATAACCATAGTACCTTATTCAAAGGTTGTTGTGAAGATTAAAATAAATTAATCCTGTAAAAATGCTTAGGTTTCTGGCACATAGTAAGGGCTTAGTAAAAACTAGGTATTTTTACCTGGTATGTGCAAGCACTGTATATATCCTGATATACTTTCTCATCTATAATTCTGTTTCTGTGCACTAGTTTATATATTTATTTAATGGAATTATTTTTACAGATTTAGTCAGATTTTAGAACACAAAGCAAGTGGATACTTAGTAGCCATAGGGGAATCTGATTTTGATGTCTCCTACCCAAAGTTTATTCATATTTAATATTATATATACATAAGTCTTATTCTTTCTCTTCGTCCTTTTTTTTTAAAGGCAAGATCTGCCTTCATCTTCGGTTTTCTTTAGTGCTTAGAAGATTGCCTTGCTAGTGATAAGTATTTTTGCTTAATAAGTATATCTTGACTGTGAAATTTGTCACCAGTTTTGAAAGGAACTCTGGCAGCAAATGAACAAACTTAAATCCTTGTGGCCAGGGATCAAAGGCAATCTCAAACCGAATTCTATAATAAAGAGAAGTTTGGAGAGAGAAAGGGAGTTTAGTGTAAACTCAACTTTTGAAATCCAAAGGTATCAGGCTATCATGGGAAGAGTGTGGGATTCAGCTTTAGCCCTGGGGTCACAAAGTCATGGGTATGCTCTTATATAAGTAACTTAATCAGATCTCTGTTTCCTCATCTGTAATATTAATTCCCTTCTCCTATTTCATAGAAATGCTTAAAATTTTTAACAGAGGTAATATATGGGAAAATGCTTTGTAAGCTATAAAATTAGTGTACAAATATTAGGGTCACTGATACTCTGTGACGCAATTCAATGATTTGGTAGAAGACTATATATATATGTGTGTGTGTATATATATATTATATATATATATATATATTATATATATATATATATATATATATTATATATATATATGGCCAACCATATATCTATTAGTAGCTCTCTCTATATATGTTTTAAAGCCAGGCTGGTCTTAATCTTGTCTATTGAATTCATTTTGACAAGAACAGTGTAGGATCCATTAGTCCTTTACAATGAAGAACATATTAGGTGAGTCAATACTTAATTCCAAAATTTTACTTTAGAATAAGAGGGATGTCTAACATCAATTGATTGAAGGCTGGAGGAAAGAGCGTGGAGAGAAAGAAGTAACACACTGCTCTGTGTTTTTGTGCCTCTGTCTCCAGAATAAAAGTGGACATGCCCTTCTTCCTCCTTACCTCTCTCTCTCTGTATCCCTTTCAGTACATATGTCCAACACTGCCATACACAGCCTCGCTGAAAGTATCAGGCAAAGGGAGAAACAGTGAGCATTCCTACCTCCAGCCTTGACAACAACTATGAAGTGTGTTGCTCTAAGCTCTGATCATAAGGGAATTAGAAGCACTATGATTTTTTAAAATCAAAATATGCCTGTAGCTCCAAAAAAGAAGAATTTGACTATAGGGTCTCAGCTCACTGCTAGGAGAGGTGTAACTGATTAAACTCTGGTGCAGAATGTATCAGGATGGAAGGAATCTGAGAAGTCACCAAGTTCAAATCCTTACTTTCAGTCCACAGAGTCATCCTGCTGCATTTCCTTTTTATGCCTGCAAACAAAATGTTTCTGGAACTCATTTATTGTCAGTGAGTGCTCCCTGGGCTCTGAAGCCCAGAGATGTTCCTCCATAACTCATCAGAGGCTTGGGTCATTTCTGAGACAATAAGTTACTGCTAGGTCACTGAACATACTTGGGGTAGGCAGTGGGGAAGGGGATTCTGTGATAAGAAGGTGATCATGTGTTCTCTATTTATAGGAAAATGAATCATTCTCAGGGTGATGAGCATGTGTCATTAAACTGTTTTCCTGATCATGACCTTGCACCAAGCTGTTTGCCCTCTTTGCCCTGTTCCCTCAGGCTCAGTGGTCAGGGAGGGTGGGCCAGCTGGCCGAGATGTGCAGTCCAGTCCAGAGTTCAAGAACAGTTTGAACTGTGAGACTGAGAGCCAAGCTGACTAGGTCAGAGTGAGAAGCCATTCCTCAGCATATGGGAGCTGTTAGTTAGTGCCCTGAAGCTCTCTAGTTATTTGGGGAAGGAATGGGAGAAAGCACTTAGATCCCTGCTGGGCTCATTACCTTTAATTAGCTTGCTTGGTCTGGTGGCTACTGCAGAGGGGGAAATCTCCAAAAACTGCAAAAAGATTGTGCATGATGGTGGGGGAAGATACTTTAAGAAGGGAAGAAGACTCTGTTGAGCTTCCACAAAGAACAGGTTGTTCATACCTGAATGCACACAGGGAATGCACAAATTTTATAAACAAGAAGGCTGGGTTTGTTTTTTTTAAGTTTTTCTGTTTTTAAATTTCTGTTTATTTAGCGGGTACAAGTGCAGTTTTGTTACATGGATATAACTCTGGTCTTTCAGTGTAACCATCACTCAAATAGTGTACCTTGTACCTATTACGTAACTTGTCATTCCTCACCCTCCTCCCACCCTCCCATCTTTCTGAGTCTCCAATGTCTATTATTCCACCCTCTATGTCCATGTGTACTCATTATTTAGTTCTTACTTATAAGTAAGAACATGCAATATTTGACTTTCTGTTTCTGAGTTATTTCACTTAAGATAATAGCCTTCAGGTCCATCCATGTTGCTGCAAAAGACATGAATTGATTCTTTTGTATGGCTGAGTAGTATTCCATGGTGTATATACGTTACATTTTCTTGATTCAATCATCCATTGATTGAATGGTGTCCTTTGACTTATCAAATAAATGGTGCTAGGAAAATTGGCTAGCCATATGCAGAACAATGAAACTCGTTCCCCTATCTCTCACCATATGCAAAAATTCACTCAAGATGAATTAAAGATTTAAATGTAATACCTGACACTATAAAAATCCTACAAGAAAATTTAGAAAAAACTCTTCTGGGCATTGCCTAGGGAAGGAATTCATTACTAAGACCCCAAAAGCAAGCAAATGCAACAAAAGCAAAAATAGGCAAATGGGACTTCATTAAACTAAAAGGCTTTGGCACAGCAAAAGATATAATCAACAAAGTTAACACTCAACATACAGGATGGGTGAAAATACTTGCAAAGTACACATCCAATGAAGGGCTGATATCTAGATATCTAGAACCTATGAAGCTGTTTTTAAGAACAGAATGAGGACATGAGCCAACACCCAGGATTCCAGTGGAAAGTGAACAGAGCAGGCACAGTTAATGGAAAATGAACAGAGCAGGTACAGTTAATGGAAAGTGAACAGAGCAGGTACAGTTAACGTCATACTTTACCTTTTTCCATTTGCACTTCACGAAGAGATGAGCTTTGATAGTTAACTTCTCTCTCTTTTTCTCTCTGTTTTCTTCTTGTGCAAACTGGGTGATGACATTGACTCTCTTCACAGGAAAGCACTAAGTGAGGATTAACTAGGTAATGAGAGCAAATTGGAAGGGTGATGGAGATGCTCCGCAACCTTGCTGATGGATTTCTCCCAGCGAGAGAATCTCTTCAATGCATCTTTCATCTGTGTCTTACAGGCAGGGTGTACCATCGTTATCTCTGCATTCTGCTTAAGCCATCCCCTCCAAACCCTGCCTCTAAGGAGCTTTGGCCTATTCCTTGAAAGGATTCTTCAGTTATCCCACCAACAATCAGAGGCAGCAGGACTCAATATCCCCCTGTATGGAGAAAAACTGAGACAGGAGATTGGGCTAAGTTGTCAGTGATTCACCCCCATTCCTGCCCTAAGGAAAGGATCTTTTTCTTTCCTTTTTTTTTTTTTTTTTTTTTTGAGACATGGTCTCCTTCTGTCACCTAGACTGGAGTGCAGTGGCATCATCATATCTCACTGCAGCCTCTACCTCCCAGGCTCAGGCAGTCCTCCCACCTTGGCCTCCTGAGTAGCTGGGACTACAGGTACATGCCACCATGCCCAGCTAATTTTTGCATTTTTTGTAGAGACAGGGTCTCAGCATGTTCCCCAGGCTGGGCTCAAGCGATCTACCCTGCTCAGCCTCCCAAAGTGATGGGATTACAGGTGTGAGTCACCATGGCAGGCCAAAAGCATCTTCTCAAAAATCTTTCTTCCAAAATGTATATTATACAAACTTTCTGGAGAACAATTTAGGAAAATAAGTATTCAAAATTCTTAGAAAGGTGCATGATTCTTGCCCACTGAATTCCACTTTCAGCACATGACCATTAGTCTTTCATTTCTTCTTCTCTTCTTCACACCAGAGTGTATTGCCTTCAACAAAGAAACTAACCACTTTTAGACTTGTAATTAACCTGTCCCTTCCCCTCATCTGCCCACCTGACTACTGAAAGTCCCCAGAGTCTGCTTCTTAGTGGGACACCAGCCTTCTGCAAGGCACTTATTCTCTGGTTATGAACCTGTTTAAGGAAATCTATATATTTGCACAGAACCATGGAAATATAGATGTGAACAGGCTTAAGTGATCACAACCCACATTTTTTTTTTTTTTTTGAGATGGAGCCTTGCTCTGTTGCCAGGCTGGAGTGCAGTGGCGCAATCTCGGTTCACTGCAACCTCCACCTCCTGGGTTCAAGCGATTCTCCTGCCTCAGCCTCCCAAGCAGCTAGGACTACAGGCACGCACCACCATGCCCAGCTAATTTTTGTGTTTGTAGTAGAGACAGGGTTTCACCAAGTTGACCAGGATGGTCTCGATCTGGTGACCTCTTGATCTGCCCACCTCAGCCCCCCAAAGTGCTGAGATTACTGGCATGAGCCACCACGCCCAGCCAGCCCACACTTTTTATCAGATGAGGAACTAGAGACTCTGAGAAGACAGGTGGCTTATCCAAGAGTTCATACTTATTCAAGGCTACAGAATAAACCAGAATCTGGGGCCTGTAACTCCCATATGGGCCCTTCTCGAGTTATGGAGACTTAACGGTGTGGGACACAAAATAGGAAGAAGTAGAGTAAAACTTTATAAAGTAGGAAAAGAAATAATGTTTGTACTATGTATAATGGCACTTCAAAATCCACCATTAGGAGTGTCTACAGTTTCCTCTGCATAATTTAGAGGCTGAGGCCATGTACCTCAATTCAGTCCAGTTTTCTATCCAAGAGGTGCAAGCTCTAAAATAAAGGAAAGGAATATTCTTTATCAGTCATCAGCTTAATCTCAAAATATTGTGTGCTCCATAATTGACCTTCATTAGGGCATTATGGACAGGGGCTTACTATATGCTAAGCTATGTAAATACAGATGCTCCTCAGCTTATAATGGGGTTGTCTGGATAAATCCATTGTAAGTTGATCCACACATAACCCTATTAAAAGTCAAAGAGCATACTGAATGTGTATTGCATTTGCACCATTCTAAAATCAATGTGTCCCTTGTGTAAAATCAGTTGCATCCGAAAAGCCTGAAACGTGTACATATTCTTTGATCTAGCCATCTTATTCTAAAAATCAAAATAAAATCAAAATAAAATCAAAATATAGGTAAGTTGAACTGTCATAAGTTGGGGACCATGCGTACTCTGATAGTCAGTGTTATGTATGAACTTGACCAAGCCGCAGGGTCCCAGACATTTGTCCAGCCATTAATCAGGTGTGTCTGTGGGAATGTTTCTGGATGAGATGAACATTTGAACTGGTAGATTGAGAAAAGCAGATTCGTCTCCCCTATGTCAGTGGACCTCATCCAATCAAGACCGGAATAGAACAAAAAGGCTGAGTAAGAGGGAACTACTCCTGTCTGACTGCTTTGAGCTGGGACATCAATCTTCTGGCCTTCAAGCTCAAATGCAAATATCAGCTCTTCTTGAGTCTTGAGGCTACTGGTTTTCAGACTAGAATTTATACCATTGGCTCTCCTGGTTCTCAGGCCTTCAGATTTAGACTGAAACTACACTATCAGCATTCCTGAGTCTCCAAATTGCTGACTGCAGATCTTATGACTTTCCAGTCATTCCATTCCTTGTCATAACTCTCTTTCTCTTTCTTTCTCTCTCTCTCCTCTCTCTCTCTCTCTCTCTCTACATATATATATATATATATATATATATATACATATATATATATATATATATATGAACAGATACATCCTATTGGTTCTGTTTCTCTGGAGAACCCTGACTAATATACAGTTATGTGTCACTTAACAATAGGATATATTCCAAAAATGTGTCATTAGGCAATTTCATGATTTGTGAATATCATAGAATATTCTTACACAAACCTGGATGGTTTGCTGCACACCTAACCTGATGCACACTGAGGCTTTATGGGATAGCTTGTTGCTCCCAGACTAGAAACCTGTACAGCATATTACTGTACTGAATACTGGAGGCAATTTCTAACACAATGACAAGTATTTGTGTCTCTAAACATAGAAAAACACAGTAAAAATATGGTATTATAATCTTATGGGACCAGTTGTATATGTGGTGTGTCAGTAACCAAAATGTCATTATGCAGCATATGACTGTATATATACATTTACACTTAATCCTCACAAAAACCCTCTGAAATAGGTACTATTGTTTTGATTATCAACCTAACTTTAAAACTGGGAAATTATACATAGACTGGTTAAGTTCCTCGCCCAAAGCTACACACTGCATCTGGAAGGAGTCTGAATTCACCCAGATACCGCGTGCTCCATCTGTTTGATTCACATTCTCCTAATTGTGTCCCAAAAGCCTGAAACATGTGCATATTCTTTGATCTAGCCATCTTATCCTAAGAATTTACCCTAAGTAATAATCATGGATGTATTCAAATATATCGCAAAACATTTATAACAGTAAAAATATCTAAACAACTTAAATGCTAAACAATAATAGGCGATTGGTTAAATGTTCTATGATGTAGTTACTCAGTGAAATACTACCTTCATTACAAACCATGCCCTCAAGGACTATTTATTTACTTGGGTAATCATTCAAGCTATATAGATGAGAGTAAAAGGCCTGTTACAAGCCTGAGGAGAGATGGTAACTAAATATACTGTATGCTCGATGAGACCCTGAAATTACATTTTACCATGTTTCCTTAGGCTTGTAGCATTCCATTTTTACTTCTATTCTGAAGCAGAAAAAGGAGATTAGATAAAAACTAAGAAAACCTTAATAAAGGCCGGGCGCAGTGGCTCACGCCTGTAATCTCAGCGCTGGGATTACACACATCCCTGTTTTTAAAAGTGAAATCTGCCTTCTATAGAACACATTCCCCCACAGAAATATACTACAGAAAACAGACCTAATAAAGTGGAGTTTTGTTCAAATGCTTCCCTCACAATGATGCTTTAATTTGCTGAGGAACATATGATTGATCCTAGTTCACCTGCTGAACATGCATAGGCAGTGTGCATCTCTAGCACACTGATTAAAATGAATACCCAGAGGCTCAACATGATTTCTTATTAATCAGAACATACACAACTTTGTGAAAGGGACCTTAGAGCCATTCTCTGCCCCAGGGTGAACTGGGACACAGGTATAGAAACCTCCAGGACTCTGTTGGAAGAGTTTTTCTTCTAGGTTTTTTTTTTTTTTCTGTTATAACTGTCCTTTCCAAGATTAAATGATGCCTAGGATATCACATCGTTCAGAAGAGGTTGAAAGAGGGAGTTATTTATAAATCCTGAAGGTTCTAGGAGGTTTGGGCTTAGACCACTTTGGACTCAGAGAAGGCTGTGAGGTAAGGCATGTTCTAATCTTGTTGATGGAAGTCCTAATGTGTCTTAGAAGATTTCTGGTCATCACTGTCTTTAGGGACTCAGAGTCTTCCTCTAAGTTAGTTTCAGGACCCTTTGAAGTATTGGCATTGCTGGCTCAGTCCACTGGCTCTTTGGCCTTCACCTGTCTGCATTATGGTTATAGCTGAGATGCCAGGAAAAACACAAGATGAGTCTGTTCAGCTCGAAGCTGACTCAACTGGTTTCTACCACCTCAATTCAAACTAGGAATGAGATATTTTTCTTCCTTTGCTTTTTAGGGCAATTAATGTTCCCACATATCTCCCTTTTTCTTGCCATTTCTTAGCATCCTAAACACTAATTTTGCAAAATAATGTTGTAAATGCTTTGCATAGTCACTATCTTATGTTGCCCTTCCTGTTCACAAGACAGCCGTCCGTGTCAGTTGAAGATTTCTATAGATATGCATCATCTCTGATAGATAAAGGCATGTTTCAGAGACTATCCTGGTGGGAGTATTTTACTTTTGAAACCAACTAAATCTGGTTTTGCTCCTGTTTGTGGTACTTTATTTCTCCCTGTAGCAGGAGAGTAGTGCCAACGTGCCTGGAAAATCAAGTTTCAAACCTCTATTGCATTTTAAGCCATGTTTTAGAATCTTAGGGTCAATTAATATTAGAGTTCGACAAAATCTCTGCTCTCAAACAAAATTATATACAAAAGCTCAGTAAGTAAACCAGGTAAATGTTAAGGTGCTTCGGTTGAATCTAGGTTTAGGAGTCCAGAGAATCTAACTCAAACCTGGCAGCTGGAGGATACCCAAGAAACTCCCTGGGCTTAGTAGTGTACAGTGCGAAAAACAGCGATCTCATCCATGTCCTTCATTTTAGGGAGATGATACCTAAACTTTGTGGGTTTTATTTCAAAGTCACATGTTAATTAGTGGCATTGTGAGGGAAGCATTTGAACAAAACTCCACTTTATTAGATCTATTTTCTGTAGTGTATTTCTGTGGGGGAATGTGTTCTATAGAAGGCAGGTTTCACTTTTAAAAACAGGGATGTGTATAATCCCAGCACTTTGGGAGGCCGAGGCAGGTGGATCACCTGAGGTCAGGAGTTCAAGAACAGCCTGGCCAACATGATGAAACCCCGTCTCTATTAAAAATACAAAAATTAGCCAGGTGTGGTGGCACGTGCCTGTAGTCCCAGCTACTTGGGAGGCTGAGGCAGGAGAATTGCTTGAACCCGGAGGTGGAGGTTTCAGAGCAAGACTCTGTCTCAAAAAAAAAAAAAAAGAAAGAAAGAAAAAGAAAAAGGATGTGAAAGGAAAGAGTTTGCAAAAAAAAAAAATGCGGCAATCACAATACATTTATGTCTATTCATATTATTTGAATTTGTCATTTTCTTCAGTGATTTTTTTTCCTTGGGTTGTTCTTATTTCTACATCATTATGTTTATTATATGAAGGAAGCAGTCAGCCTCATGTTTATTCTCTGGTAGAGAAGAGGAAAACAGTAATTTTTGAGCATGAATGCATAAGACCATACAGTTTATGGAAATGGCTGTAGCTTCTCTAACCTTTCCCCTTTCATACATACTTGTTTCCATGTACACTTCATTCCCCCTTTTTCCCCCTTTAACTCTCTTTGTATTTGTATCCCTCCTTCCCTATGCCCTTTTTACTCAATTCATTCCCTACATCACAACCTGTGGTTTTTGTATCTGATCATAGTTTTCACCCTATTGAAAATCATGGCTGGCCAAGTACATGTTAACAGGAAAATTCTGGACAGTCCCTTTGTACACAAACCTTACTGCTTAGTTTCATCTGTGCAGATTGCTGTATACTCAGCCCTGCAGCAGAGAGACCACACTGCAGCCTTTAGTAGGAAAAGGATAGGAATGACAATACACTGCAGACACTTTCGTGAGTAAGTTGCTAAAGCGTCAGTAAAACATCATGGTGAGGCCTCTGCAATCAGCCTGCTTAGATTTAAATGACAATTCTGTCACTTACAAATATATAACCATTTGGATAGTTATGTTTGCACTTTAAGCCTCATGTTAGTTATCTGGAATAGTATATAATATTACCTACCTTTAGTGTCATCATAAGAATTAAATGATTTTTGTGATATAAAGTGTTAAGTGTGGTGCCAGACCCTGGCAAAGTTGGTAATTGTCCCCTTCCTTCCTTCCCCGCTTTCACCTTCCTTCCTCCCTCCCTCCCTCCCTTCCTTCCTTAATTCCTTCTGTCCTTCCCTCCCTTCCTCCTTTCACCTCCTTCCCTTCCTTCCTTCTTTCCTTCTGTCTCTTTCACATGCCTTCTTTCTCTCTTCCCTTCCTTCCTTCCCCTCACCATTCTATGAGGGCATAACTGGGAGGGTTAATAGAATGGATATCTAAAGCAGCGATTCTCGAATATAGGCTTTTAACCAGCAGAATCAGCATTACTTGACCCGAAAACTTGTTAGAAATGCAAACACTTAAGTCTCACCCCTAAGCTCCTGATTCAGAAAATCTAGGGTTAGGGTTTAACTGTCTGTGTTTTCCTTGTTTTTGTTTGTTTGTTTGTTTTGTCGTTGTTGTTTGTTTTTTGTGGTTGTTTTGTTTTGTTTTTGAGACAGGGTCTGGCTGTGTTGCCCAGGCTAGAGTTCAGTGGCACAATCTCAGCTCACTGCAGCCTCAACCTCCTGGGCTCAAGCGATCCTCCTACAACAGCCTCTGAAGTCGTTGGGACCACAGGTGCACCACCACGCTTGGCTAATTTTTGTATTTTTGGTAGAGACAGGGTTTTTCCATGTTGCCCAGGCTGGTCTTGAACTCCTGAGCTCAAGCAATCCTCCCACCTTGGCCTCCCAAAGTGCTGAGATACAGGCATGAAGTCACTGTGCTTGGCGTTTTAACCAGCCTGCCAGATGATTCTGAATTTGAATATCCTGGTGAGAGGTTTTAAATCATGCAAGTGGCTGTCTGCCTCCAGTTAAGGTAAAAAGGGAAAGGCCTCAGCTTACACTGTGGTTGAGCCATATGACAGGACATACAAACACTATTAATATTACTAGAGAAGCAACCAGCACCGTTTTGAATAGCTCAGTCTATTGGGGGTGTGCCTTCTACTCAAGATGTAAATAAGGATAGGAAAAATAGCACTAGTATCAACTGCCATACAATTATTTAGTCACCCTTGGGTAACTAAACAGCATAGGTATGTTGATCAAAATGCCCTTGAGTAATTGTCAGTGGAATTTTGAACTCTCCCCAATTCAATAAGATACTGCTGCAGGTATTGGTGAGGTACAGGGAGCATCTAAATGGACTGTCTTTCATTGTCTTTCTTGAGGGTTCTAATTCTTTGGTTTTCTGGAGAATATTATAGGATAGAATGTATATCAGAAGTGAGACTTGGGAGACCTGTGTGACCTCCCAAGCATGACAATATTCACAGATATTCAGATCCATAGAACACTTCAGGAAATTGTCTTTATGTTCAAAGATCTCATAGAACATTTAGTTGGATACACTTCCCACACACATCTCTCCATTTGATATAGAGTCATTATCTTTTCAAACTTTCTTTTTGGTCTTTTACAGAAGAACCTGTTAGGATATTCTCAAGATTTGTTCTAGTCACACGGGGGTGGAGGGGGAGGGGGGGTGTGTTATAGAAGTAGCTCTAGATCATTTAGCTTAAGAGTTAAATTTTTTGCAAAAATACTTTGTGGTGGATTTCTGATGCCAGTCCGCATAGGACTTTTATTATTGTAATAGTGTTTTGTCTTTCTTTTTTAAGATTAGGAAAGTATATTCACCATAATATTTGTTGTTAATCACTTATTTTTTATGCACCTTTTCCAAAGCAACTATATTGTCCTTATCTTGAAAAATGAAAATAATAGCTTCCAGATAAATCCTTATGATAGTTTTGCTATCACTAGATAGTGGCAGAGGGAAACAGAGGAAAAGGAGATCTATGCATTGTCTTTGAAAGTCAAGATTATTATACTAAATGTTTTTGAAGCATTTTGAAAATACAGCGATATTTACTTATAATTCTCAACTATATTACAGTTACTGGATCTAAATGAGAAGTTTGTTCATCTGTAAAGTATTTGAATGCTAATGGTATTCTTCTAGTCTAGTGCATTCAATTAAAATATAACGTGTGTTACATATGAAGTTAAAAATGTTTAGTAACCAAATTAAAAAGGTAAAGAGAAATAAGTGAAGTTAATTTTAATAATATATTATCTTTAACCTCTTTTAATAATATACTCTCTTTAACTCTTTAATATATTTAATAATATATTCTCTTTTATATACATAGAACATTGTCATTTCAACATGTAATCAATATAAAAAATATCAATTAGATATTTTACATTCTTTTTTTCACATTAAGTCTTTGAAATTTAGCACGTATTTTACACTTACAGTACATCTTAATTTGGACTAGATGCATTTCAGGTTCCCAATAGCCATATGTGTCTATTGGCGTTCGTATCATATTTATCATGGCAGTTTTAAATGTATTAAAATGATAAGTCTATAAGGTATCTTCTTAAGTAAATTCTCCCAAGTATAACAGATATCAGAGGTAATATACACCTACAAATAATTATTGCTAAAGTAAAATTTGTAAAGCTATTGACTGTCAGTAAATATGTTTAAGAAACAGTTTTTCGTATTACTCTAAGATTGTTCTTAAAACCAGCATTGCAGTTCAGTAGACAAGTGCAGATATTTGAAATAAGATGTTTTTATACTACCTATGTTTAAATTTCATGAGCTTCATCCAGCACTGGATTTTCTGGATTCTGAGATATGCTATTCACATTTCAACATTTATGAAAACAGAATACATCTTACAATTAATGTGTTCATTTAATGTAATCATACTTCTTGTTTTCCTGAAACTGAGTTGGAAATCATCATGGAAAATAGGTTCTTCTCAACACAGGAAGAGTTCTCAGCTATTGTATAGTTGTGTTTTTGAGAACATGCTTCAGCACTTGAGAGATGGATTTCCTAGAGTTTTTCTTAAGGATCAAAATTAAAAGGTGGAAATATACAAACGCTAAATAATGGAATTAAGCATTGGCCTTGGATAACAGAAGGTGAAGGAGATAAGAGACAACTTTCTGTTCCAGCTCCACTTTAACCACAGGGGACATAAATATATGGGACCTTGTAGTATTTAACCTTGTTAATATCTCCATACTGTTTTGCAGTAGGCGTTGGAACAGAGCTTCACATTTTTCTGGTGGAGGAGCCAGTGATCTCTGGATGGTGAAAATATTCTCTAAAACAGACTCCACAACTACAATGACCAGTACAATGTGTTTTCTATGCCGCTGTCCTCTGTCAAGGGGCATCACAAGTGGCTGGCCTATATTCATGTAAAGGTAGAACTAGACCCCAATCAATGTGCCCTATAAATACCCAAGTCTTTAAATACCCTTAGATAATAAAGGTAAAAGATGCAAGAAAAAGAGGACTGGGAGAGTGGGCCAAGTTTATAGTTCTTTCAAAGTCTATTTGAATTATTTAAAACCATTCTTTTTTTGTTAATAGATTTTAATTCTCATACATGTCACATGTTTCTTTTGCAGAATTCAAAACATTTTTAAAAACACCCATTTCAATAATATTGCATGCAAGGTAAACAAGAGGTTAGAATAACTAGTACAACATAACGCAGCTTGACTAGAATACCTCGTCATAACACAAGTACATCTTCTTTTACATTTATGCAAAGTGAAACATTGTCTGTCTCTCTCCATAGTCCAGAAAAATCTGTGGGGTAATTGCTCATTGTCCCTTCACACCCTGTTTATATTGCGCGTCTTCTATTTTAATAGTCCCAATAAACAGATGGAACCACAAAAACACAGCCGGGATGGCTCAGTTGGTCAATGGCATCAGAGAACTTAAAGTGCCTGATGCTGATGACTCTTCCAGAAGGCAATCCTCTTATGAGGGTCAGGGTCTAGAGAGTCCACGTTGCTGCTCGTACTCTCTGTGTTTAATTCCAGCTAACATGACAAAGTGCAAGCGTATGACAAGGACTTTCAGTGTGACCATCAGCTGGAAGAAGCCAAGTGCGTACAGCTCCCGGTGGGGTGGCACATGCTCCTCTTGTGACTTAATGGTGGCTTGTGGCTCCACTTCCCTTGGGGGTTGTTTTTGTTGTTCTTCTCTCAGGACCACATTTATTTTGATGTTTTAAAAGAGAAAGAAAAGTTCCAAAAACTTCCTTTCTCGTATTTCCTCTTTGAGATCCAGCAAAATTTCTACAACTGGCCTTTTCCAGATGGCTTGCCCAGAATTGCTGAGAGTTTGAGGCACCTCAAGCTCTGGGCTCAACATCGAAGGTTCTTTAAATGTGCCTTTTATCCTTTAGTTTCTGTCACTTGATGATGGGTGACCACCCTCATCTCTCTCTCTCTCTCTCTCTTTTTTTTTTTTCCTACTAAACATGAGATTACTGGAAATATTTCATGATTGGATACATGCTATTGGTTAATCCATTTAACCAAACTCCCATCAATGGATGTGGAGTGTTTACAACATTTTTGCTCTCATAACAGTGCTTGACAATGTAGGGATTTGTCAGGTTTTAATCCAAATAGGGCTTTATGATACTTGCCATTATACTATCAGATACTTTTTCCCACTGATATGGTTTGGCTGTATGTCTCCACCCAAATCTCACCTTGAGTTGTAGTCCTCATAATCCCCATGTGTCAAGGGCGGGACCAGGTTGAGGTAATTGAATCATGGGAGCAGTTTTCCCTCATGCTGTTCCTATGATAGTGAGTGAGTTCTCAGGAGATCTGATGGTTTTATAAGGGGCTTCCCCCTTCACTTGGCACTCACTCTGTCCTGCCCCTTGTGAAGAGGGTGCCTGCTTCTCCTTTGCCTTCTGCCATGATTGCAAGTTTCCTAAGGCCTCCCCAGCAGTGTGAAACTGTGAGTCAATTAAACCTCTTTTCTTTATAAATTACCCAGTCTCAGGTATTTCTTCATAGCAGTGTGAGAACAGACTAATACACTCATCTTTTGAATACATTATGTGAAGTACAACAATTTTTTCCAAACCAAACCAGACCTGGCTAAATCCTTTACTATAGACCCCAAGATTGAGAGAGAGGGAAAAAGGAATTGATCTGAATCAAATTTGCTGTTATCAAGAAGTAGGGTAGGGAAGGGACCAATATGAGATGTACGAAAATTGGCTCCCAAAGTACAGAAAAATAAAGATTTGACTTGCCTACTCCTGGCATACCATTTGTAGGTTCTGGCCAACATCTGCCCTTCTCTGAGCCTGGAGCTTCTCTCTTTCAAATGGGAGATAATTGCTGGGCAGCTAGAGCTCACAGGCACGCCGCATGATGAGTGAGGTCATGTTAATAAAGCCCTGGGAAAGAAAAGCAATGTGAAACAGCAGGGCTATTACCGTTCCAAGACGATTTTATACAAGTGAAGCTTAAGTTCAGTGTGATGATTAACAAGCTATTAGAGCCAAGTTATTGATTCCTCTATCTTTAGAGTAGCTAATGCAGTGTGCACCAATAGGCCACAGACCCCAAGCTTTCCTTCTTCCTGTGCTCCTGTTCTTTGTAATGATGCTTTCCTTAGGAAAATGAAAATCACTTCGCATACACAGTGCAACATCTTTAAGGCAGGTGCCAGCAGAGAGGAAAAACACCTAAGCTGATTTTGTGTGTTTTTATTATTTTTTCTGATAATAAAGATTAATGCAGATACATGAAAAAAACAAAACATAAAAAGTAGGAACAGAAAGTCAAATACTGCATCTTCTCACTTATAAATAGGAGCTAAATAATGTGTACAGACAGGCATAACAGAACGGAACAATAGACACTGGAGACTTGGAAGGGTGGGTGAGTGAGCAGGGTTGAGGGATGAAAAATTACCTTAGAGGTACAGTGTACATTATGTGGATGATGATTTCACTAAAACCCCAGACCTCATCACTATGCAATATATCCACATAACAGAACTGCACTTATACCCATAAACTTATATTTAAGAAAAGAAATAGAAAAAAGATAATTTTTTTAAAGTAGAAAGAGGGAAAAAAGTAAAGCATCATCCCAATTTCTTTCACCCTGAAGCAGCTAGTTTTGCTAATATGATCATATACCTATCCACACATATGTATATGATCATATTAAACATATTAGTTTATAACTTGTTCTTTGTTCCTTTTCTAACATACTCCTCACAAAATAATATCATTGATAGTTTCCCATTTCAATTAAAACAGATATCAATATAATTTATCAGCAAAATATTTTATGGATGTGTGTACAGTTTTGGTTAATCCATTTAACCAAAATCCTCTTGATGAACACAGAGTATTTACAACATTTTTGCTCTCATAACAATGCTCTGATGAACCTCATGCATTCATCTTTGAGCTTTTGACCAATTTTCCTTCTGTGGTAAATTCCTGAAAGTAGAATTGTTGGGACAAAAGATTTAGAGATTTTGTATCTTTAAACATATTACCAGTTTGCCAACCCAAAGGGTCATATGAGATTACTTTCTGCCTACAGTGTAGTAAAGTGCCAGCTTCTCCCAACAACCTTGCCAACGTTGGGTATTGTCAATTTTTTGGCTCTTTGCCAAGCTGATAGGAGAATGGAATGTCTAATGGTTTTTGAATTACATTCTGACTGTGCTGCATCAGACTGTAACTGAATGCAGTTGTGATGTATCAGGGGACCTGGTTTAACTCAGCACACTGTTTGAATCTGTGTAATAACTAACTATGATATAATCAGGCTTTCTTGCAGTTTTGAAAAAGAAGCCAAACTTTCACATGGTTTAAATTACTCTCTCATTTACACTCTCCATGTGTGAGATCACCTGGGAAGCCCTTTGGAGATGCCCCCAGTGACCCAGTACAAGTTGTCAACTGCACTCCCCATGAAAGAGAGATTGTTCTGGTCCAAACCCTATGCTCTAGAGGAGCATCTTGGAAACAGCACTGCCCTATAATTGATATTGCTCCATTGGGTGGCCTGTGGTATTCAATTCACTGGAAAGTATCAATCCCTTTGCCTTCAGCAATAATATTTTCACAGTTTTGATGTGTTTTAAAGGTTATTGTCTCCAGGACAGGTAATTGAGGAGGCCTCACACTTCATCAGAGGCCATTTCATCTTTATTACACAGCCACACACAAGGCAGCATTTTCTCCTTTCACTGATGGATTATTTCAAGATTTATAAGGTCTGGTCTACATGAAAGCAAACACATGTTTGGGTACACAGTCAAATAATTCAAAGATATAGGGTCAGCAGGATCCTAATATTAAAGTCAGGACTTCCAGCCTGGGCAACAAAGTGAAATCTTGTCTCTACAAAAAATACAAAAAATTAGCCGGGCATGGTGGCTCTCGCCAGTGGTCCCAGCTACCCGAGAAGCTAAGGTGGGAGGATTGCTTGAGCCCCAGGAAGTGGAGGCTGCAGTGAGCCATGTTCATGCCAGTGCACTCCAGTCTGGGCCACAAAGCAAGACCTTGTCTCAAAAAATGATAATAATAAATAATAAAAGTCACAACTTTTTCCTCTTCTACCTGTGCCAGAGACCCACTACCTAACCCACATACACACAGACACACACAAACACACCATACACTTATTCCTTTCTTAAAATGTGGCTTTCAAATATTTGCTTTGCATGCAGTTTTCTCTGAAGATATGACCAGTTTCAAGATTATCTACTCTAAGTTTTCTGACTGGTTGTCAGTCAGTCAGTTTGGAACCCTGCCATAACATATTTTCCTCAAATTCCTTGCAGATACTGGAATAATAATGAATGGGAATGTTATTTTGAGCCGATATTTGGAAAGTCCTTATTTGGAATTCTACAAGTTTATGTCTCCTGCCCAGTTCCTAAGCCCTCTTTCTAGATAACCATCCAGAAGATAATCATCCAGCAGCTATCCGGGTACATTCGGCTGACTTGGTTAGTTGGGTCTAAGCAGTATATCCATGAGTTCTAACTCGGGTTTCTCAAACTCTTTTTCCTTTGGGTTTCTCAGACTCTTCTCTCAAACTCAAACTGCCTTCTCCAGTCCATTGCTAAAGCTTGTATGACCTTTGCTTTCCCTCCATTTCTTGACTTGTGGCATCCACTAGTCCTACATTGTAGGACTAGTGTGAGCAGGTCACTCAGCCTGAAAGCACTCACCCTGGGCCTCTAGAGCTAAGTTGCCTCAACACACTTCACTATGGCTTCTCAGAGCACACTCACCTTGAATGTTTAGAAAAGGTAATCTTTTTGGGGTTCAATGAGATCAAAAGCACGGATACCAATTTTGGGATCAGGAATCAGGAAAATCTGGGAAATGAAGAACGAAATGAGGCCTTACCATTTTGATACAAAGTTCATATTCAAGTGAGTCAGGAGATCTGGTTTAAGTTCCAGATCTGCCTCTTACTAGTTTTAGAATCTTGGGCAATTCTAGGCTGGACGTGGTGGCTCACACCCATAATCCCAGCAATTTGGGAGGCCAAGGCAGGTGAATGCTTGAGCCCAGAAGTTCAAGACATGCCTTGGCAACATAGGAAGGCCCCATTTCTACAAAAATAAAAATTAGCCAGGCATGGTGGTGCATTCCTGTAATCCCAGCAATATGGAAGGTGGGAAGATCACTTGAGTCCAAGAGGTCAAGGCTGCGGTGAGCTATGATCTGCCACTGCACTCCAGCCTGGGTGAGAGTGAGATCCTCTGTTAAAACAAAACAGAACAAAACAAACAACAAACAAACAAACAAAAAAACAAAAAAAATTGGAGGGAATTTAGTTCATATATTTGAGTCTTTGTTTCCTCATCTAGAAGATGTAGTAAAGATAAATGAGGTCATATATGATTGTCCCTGGCATAATATTTTGGTACTTATTGAAAAGCAGCTATTGTTTTAAGTCCTTTGCATATACATTTCTATGATTTACTATATATCAGTAGCATTTCTCCAACCCATCTTGGCTAGGCAAGCACCACTGAATATGAAGGAGGCCAAATAGAATGATACTATCCAAGCTGCAAAGAAACAAACAAAAGAAAACATCTAAATGCATGCCTCTTTGGAATGGCATTTGCATCCGTTGCCAATATCCATAGAACAAATGCCTTCAGGCAGGAGAAGTTGGGATAATGTCAATGTTTTTAATAGCTGTAGTAGAGTCCTATTTAGAAAGCAGTAATTATCTCTCCATATTGATTTTTTACATCCCCTCAATAAATCCAGAAGAAATGTGAAGACCATCTGTAAGTGTGATTTTTACCAGGATCAGACTCTAATTTGCAATGGCTATGTGTCTGTTTGATTTAGATCAGGGGTTAGCAAACTGCAGCCCACAAGCCAAAACTACCTCCCCCATCTATTTTTATAAATAAAGTTTTATTGGAACACACCCATCACACCCATTTCTTTATATCTGTGGCTGCTTTCATGCTACCATGGTTGTTTTATTTAATTGTAACAGAGATCTAAGAGATCTAGAGCCCATATTGCCCACAGAGCTGAAAACATATGTACATCTAACCCTTTGCAGGAAAAAACTTGTTAAATCATGATTGAGATTATAGTAGTATTATTTCTGATTGACTAGGTAGTAATTGGTCCCAGCATGTAAAGTTTCTAATATTAAAGTCACACGATAGAGGAGCTAGAGGCTTAAGAAAAGTATACATGAATTTATTTATTTGGAATAGGAAGGGAAACATCCCTGGTATCATCATGATGGCATATAGAGGCAGGGCTGAGAGCTAGAATACAGAATACGTCCTTTGCTAGAAACAGTTTCTCGGGCTGGGTTAGAGTGGGTAGAAACTATGGATCATCCTGCCGCAGGTCCAAGTAAACAGGATTTGGCGCTCTACATAATGGCTATAAAGAAACATAAAGGTGATTTCTCCAAGTGTTATGCTAGGTGAGAAATATTTAATAAGTAAGAGCAATCAGAATTGGTCCCATATTGAGAAAGTCTGTTTTGGAGCCCAGACTAAATAGACTGTGCAGTGAGAAATGAAAGGTCAATTTAGGTAACTTCATTTAGGGCAAAATCATGACTTAGGAAATCATGACTAGATAAATATCCAGTGAAGAGCAGGGAGAGAAGATTCATCAATGGCCGTAGGTTGCTGTGAACTACAGAACTGAAACATCAATGTATGAATAAAGTGCTGTATTGATGGACAGATGTGTGCATTTTTATGTATATGCCATAAAAAATCTGAATCAATTTCTATTTGAAATAGAGAAAAGCTAGTTCAGATGTTAGAAACTTTTCTGACGCAAAATATTGTGTAATTCATAAACAATTCCTTGTGTTTTAGTTTACAGTATGTCCAGAATATAGGACTTGCCTACTGTAATGTATAAAACAAAAGAACTTCAGGTTGATTTATTTGTTAAGTAGTAGACATTCTCCTAGGATGTTTATGTTTGTGAAGATGATAAATGGAAGAATACATCCACAGAAAATGTAGACACAGGCCCTTCTCTCCCAGTCTCAACACCACACCCTACACACACACAATGCCTTCCTTCTAACCTTGTCTATACTGTCTCTGCAACACACAAAGCATATGCCCAGGATAAGCTTCTCTTTCAACCACCTATCAGGCTTTCAACATGTGGTTTGAAAAGATAGTGACATTGCTATGCTCTGACATACACCGTAATGTCAGTACAGCAGAAGCAAGTGGAAGATTCTACTTTTCCGATAAAGATCAGTTGCTGTTTCCTGTCTTGAAGACGAAAGTTGAGCAAAAGCAAAGGTCATCTGTGTTTATATTAACAATGTAAGAGTTATACTACATTTTCGCAACAACATCAGGTCATTATTTATCCACTTGTCCTTTTTTTTTTTATCATTCCTTTGAACTGCCTGCATTTGCTTATCGTGATATTTCTCAGTCTGTAAACAGCCCGAGTAGCTGTTCTATTTCTCTAAATAGAGTCTTAGGTCATTTTATTATCCAGAATTGTAAGTCATCAGAATGCACCCATCTGTTGTCCTTCCACATCTGGGCTAACTTTAACTCTTTAAGCCCATAGAAAAAGTAGAAAAGCCATTGTGATATGAGTTTGATACTTTTTTCCTACCATACTGCTTTCCAGCATATGGTTTTCCCTGAAAAATCACAAGGAAATATTTACAAATATCTTATTTTTCTTTGGACATGGCATTAAACGTGGTAGATCCTCCATCTCCACTTGGCTCTTTCTGATTTTCTGTTACCCTAATTATCCTTCCTGCGATCACAGCTGCTCAGAGCCTCTTCTTACCAATTTAAAAAACCTCTAAAGATGTGACGGCTGCCTTTCCAGTGGCCAACAAGCAGATTTCCATAGCAGAGGAGCTGCGACTGGGGCAGAGAGCCAAAGACAGCTTGTGCCAACAGCCTTGTCAATATGCCAATCATCTTGTTACAGTTTATTACATGCGTGACTTGATTTTCTTGCATGTGCGTTTTAGAGGTAACAACATATTGGTAAACCTGTTTTCAATCCTTTTGATTACCTTCAATTTGATAGCTCCTTCAGTAATGAAGAAAAAAATGGGCTATTGTGTTTGAATTACATTTATCAAATGATTCTAAGATTGTTCTAACGTGTGCGACAGGATAAGCTCTCTTTTAGTCACCAATTGGAGAAATATGCTCAGTGTCAAGGAAATGGAGAAATGCCTCATTATTTATGTTGACTAATGTATAAATACAATATGAACAGGGGCGGTTTCAACCCTGCAAACGTTTTCTTCCAAGTTGCTCTGTATTTTAGCTAGACTAGACTAGATTGTTCAGTGGTCACAAACTACCCCAAAATCTTAACAGTTTACAACAACGGAAGTTTATTTTCTAAATATATAACATCCACTGAGTGTTGGCCAGCGTTGACTGGGGGTTGTTCTCCACATCACGTCCCTAAGGGACCAACAGTGTTGGAGGAGTCTCTCTTCTCATATTGATGTTCACCATGGCAAAGGCAATGATCACAGTGAACCACATGCTACATTTTAAGCTTCTACCTGGACACCACACAAGTCACTTCCACTCCCATTTCGGTGGTAAAGCAAGTCAATTCAAGTCTGACTTCAGCATCTTTGGGAAATATAATTCCACCCCAGGAGGGGAAGCAGATATGGGTGAAATGTAATAAAATTCACCTCTCCATAAAGTCCTAGTAGCATTGTTTTATTTGAGTGAATTCTTTTTTTTTTTTTCTTCCTTACAGATCCTCTTTAAAACATCAGCCTGGAAACAGTATCTGTAGAAATCAGTTTTGTTAGTTCTAAAGCAGGGCTTCATTGTTGGGATGTGTTGTCTGCCTTCGTTAGCAGATTTCAATCATAGCCCTAAATGGAAGACACATTTTAGGGCTGTTGCTGCTATAGAACTCCAGGTCTTTCTGCTTAACGGTTTCACACTTACGTGTGAAGGGAGGACACCCTTGGCCAAAAGAACCAAGGCTGCTCAGTTAGCTGCTGGTTGTCCTCCAGCAAATTCCTAGAACTAAATACCTGGTGCTGAGGTGTCACGACTCAGCAAGTCCTAGAACCTGTGCTTATGACAGCACTCTGATAATTCCCGGTTATTGCATCACTCCCTGATGGAAACCCAGCTTTTATTTCAGCAAAAGTAATGGATTGTTCCAGACCCCTGACCTCCCTTGAAGATGTCTTTTTGTTGGATCTGGCCCTGTATATTTTCCAGTTGGTTCAAGACCTAGAGAAATTTCTACAGACTCTCTCATACCAGGTAGGTTTTTGTTTGTTTGTTTGTTTGTTTTGCTTTTGGGATAGGACCTAGTCATATTCAGTCCACATTGGAAAGCATAAATTAGTGTAACATACATAAGCTTGTTCATTCCACTCCATGTGTTAGGTTTTTGTTAGTGAACACTGACTGCAAAAATACCAAGGTATAGCCTTATGCAAGCCAACATAGTCACGTTGGACATTAGTGATCTGAGGGTGGAAGTGAAATGAAGTACGGTTTTTTTTTTCCAAGTCAACTAAACGAACAGGCTGTATGTTTTACAATATGAATTGGGTTGTGATATACAAAGTGTTTATCCAAAGTTACCCTCCTCTTTGTTTTTTAGAATGACAAGACCCAAATGGGAGAATTAGGCCAGAAGCAACAATGCCCTCAGGCTTAGTGAAATTGACCAAAGTTTGAAGGTAAGTGTTTTCAGACCCTGGTTTCCTAGGACCAAGTCTTGGCCTCATCAAACATAATCACAGTCTCCTTTTACCACTTTGGCCCAAACACTATGAAGCCTTTTGCCCACTGGCTCAGCTTCTCTTGCCATATACTGATTATTAATGCCAGTAAAATACCTAGGCACCTTGGCAGTAACTTACGCAAATATGTATATTTCTAATTACAGGGAAATTGTTAGAACATGACTTGGATTAGAGATACACAGCTAATAATTCAAGAAGAAATAATGCTTTGTTTTCAGTAGAGGAAAATAAAAGCTTCATTTGAATAATTTTTCCTCCTTTCTCTCCCTTTTTGTTTTGATACTTACGCATGGGCAATACCGTAAACTGGCAATAAAAGAAGTTATCGCAAACAGTGTGGCCATTTCTCCTCAGACACTGGACATCCTACATCTGTTATATGGTTTACCATCCATCCACTTCCTTGCTATAGCTCCAGGTCCACAATTCTTTGTCATGTCATTGCTCTTGACCTATACCATGACTGATAACCATGTACATTTTTAAGAAAAAAATGTAAATTAATTAAAATAATTTAAAAACACATATCCATATGGTGTTTGTGCATATATTTTGCTTTTTCTAATCTTATCTTTGTAGTTCAAAAAGGTTAAACCTGAATGTGATATGTGTGTGTATGGAAACTGAATGCACTATAGGTTCAAATAGGCAAGGAAGTTGCTTAGTAACATCCTGTTCTTGACTGTGCTATCATAATTTGCATTTTCCAATAAAGTGTGTTTCCAGCCTTAGGACAGTGCTACTATTATTGCTGGTGGATTTTGTAATGTAAGCTTGACTCATTCAGTGTCAAGATCACCTAAGGCCAAATTCCCATTCCACACGAATTCTCTTTCAAGGGATGTCCTACCCTTCAAGATGCCCTTAAGAATTCTGGATTCCTTAAATATAGAACTATTTATGCTTACTCATAAAACAGGGAATGTTATAATATTTCTCTGCTTCACTGTGTCCAAGGAAGTAGAGAAATCTGGTACCATATTTATGAGCAGCAATAAACCATGTGTTTTGCTTTTTCCTAAAACAAGCCTGGCAAACTGTTTAAGAACACATGTGCAGAGCTTGGGCACAGGGTGAGAGTTTGGTGGCACGGAGTGAGGCTAGAGGTGGGCGTGTGGAGAGTCTGATATCCTGATATCAAAGCAATTCCATTCAGACTTAGGCCTGAGCTGCTCCCAGTCATCCAAGTCATTTTTACTAATATCTGACAACTTGCAAATATTGTGTTACGTTCAACACTGAAAATGAGGACTGTGCATTTCCTTTTGTCTAAATGATGATTAAATGGTGAAGCAGCTACAGAAGTATTGACTAACGACAGCATCCATTTACTAGAAAATATGTCATTTGCTACTGCAAACATTTATGGTCTGATTATACCTCATGTTACACTGCAATGGTTTGGGTTTTTTTTTTTTTTTTGTATTTTTGGTACATCAGAAACACTTTTCCCAATGTTTGTTAGTTTAAGCATTGTTCAACATTTATTTATTAAGCATTGACTTTATAAAATAGGTACCAGGAATATGAAAATGAGTAAGATATGTTCCCTGACATCCAGTAGCTCATAGTCTAGAGATGTCACCATAATAATAACTAGCATTTATTGGACACCACCTGTGTCTCCTGAAGCCTGTTACCTCATTTAATTTTGACAAAACCTTATGAAGTGAATATTATCACACAAACACACACATTTAGAGAATGAATGTGAGGCTCAGAGAAGTTAAACACATTGCCCATGATCACAGAACCAGTTAGTGGCAGAGTTGGGATTTAAGCCCAGATCTTTCTGATTCTAGAGCGTATGTTCTATCTATGAAGCTCTTACCGATTTTATTTTATATCAAGTGAACTGTGTAATACATAAAGTCACTCAGGAAACAGTACTGGATGGGGATTATGATACTAGGCAGTGCTTACTCTAGCAAATAGGTATCAGAGCCCTGGCATAGGTCCTCACTTTTGCTAGGATTCTGTCCTACTCCACCCTTGCTGATAAACGGGAAGCCACACGTCCTGGTCCAGCACTTATTCTCAGGCCTCCCAGGGACACTCACTCTCCATCACGTAGTCTCTTCCCTAAGTAGTCTGTGTTTCCCTCTGCCTTGCGGGTAACTTCATCTGTGTGTACCAAACCTGTCACCCCTCTTAGTAGTCCTCAAAAGACAAGACTTCAAGGGAGAGTTAATATTCTCAGAGTTCATCAGAAATACCTGTTTCCAAGGTCAAGACCCACCTTAGAAAGGAGGTCTTCATATACCCTGTCTGTGCTTATTTTGTGTTTTCACAACACAAAATATTTTAACGATGATTTAATTTAGTTGTGTATTGATAGTCTCTGTCAATCTCTCAGGGTTTTTTTTTTCTGAGGGAAAAAATTACATTTTGTAATTTTTTAATTTAGAAACAACAGCAATAACAACTTGAGTCGGTGACTTCTGAACCATTTTTGTTCTGATTATCACTGTAAACCTAAATGTGTGAACACTATCAGTAGGGATAATATTTACCCTATGGGACTGTTAAGCAATTTAAGATGAGATAAGAAATGTCACAGGGAAAAGGTGTTACTCCACACATGGTAGTCGTTATTATTTATTGGGTTGAAGTGTTGGCCTCCCAAAGGGCAATGGTGATTTAATAGAATATAAGCAACTAAATCCCAGGTTAAAGCAGTGAATTCCTAATTGTAGAATTTTCCTGTTAAACTATCAGGTGGGAAAGGCCTGTCAAGATGTATATGGAAGGAGTGAGATCCTTGAAATAATTAATACACCTGGTATAACTCCCATCATTAGGTAAACCTGGGCTCATCCCTACTAGACAGTAATAGAAAATTAGAGGATAAAAGGATAGTCACAAAAATAAATAGAATATATTGAAAGCTAACTATGTACTAAACAGTGTTCTAGGCATATTTTACATTTATTAATTCATTTAAACCTCTCAACTCCCTATAAAGTAGACATTACTAATTATCTCCCTTTTACAAAAAAAGAAATCTGAACCTAAGAGAGTTTAAAAAATTTGCCCAAGACCACATAATCAGAAGGAAGATTTTGAATCTGATTTTTCCTCACAGCAAAGTCCATGCATTTTCCACTTTATCACACCGGTTTTTGTTTTTGTTTTTGTATTATTATTTTTGAGACAGAGTCTCATTCTGTCACCCAGGCTGGAGTTCAGTGGCTCTCAGCTCACTGCAACCTCCGCCTCCCAGGTTCAAGCGATTCTTGTTTCTCAGGCTCCAGAGTAGCTGGGACTACAGGTGTGCACTTGTATTTTTTAGTAGAGACAGGGTTTCCACCATGTTGCCCAGGCTGGTCTCGAACTCCTTTTACTCAAGCAATCCTCCTGCCTCCCAAAGGGCTGGGATTACAGGTGTGAGCCACCGCACCCAGCCAATCACACTGTATTTAATATCACAACGAAGTGCAGTCTGCCCTTCTCAGGATGATCTTAGATCTATTTTTCAGCAAGTCGCATTCGGGTGGAGCAAAAGCTTTTAAATGGTGGTCAATTACACAATGATTAAATTTAGTTTACCATTATAGGTCAAAGGGAAGTGGGAAGAGTTTGATGACTGTGTATTTGTCATGTTTCTAGTTATAGTGTACAACTCTGCCTGTTTATCTGAGTGAGTGCCAAGAGGTGAGGTCAGGGCAGGGGCTCTTGCACATGGCACATACTATCTGCCCCACAGCTATTTTGACTTGGACAGTCATTGTGCTGGGTGGTAAAAATTCCAGTGGGCTGGGTAGGACATACTGGGGCCCTGTTTCCTCTCATCTGTGTTTGAGAACTAGGCAGCATTGCATCAAATGGAAGGAACAAGTGATGAGACATCAGGAAAATATCAGAATGAAAGAGAAATGCAAGGCTCTAAAGGAAGTTCCAACTCACTTCGACACCCTCCAGTTAGCAAAGAGGTGACAGAATCCCAAAAGGGCAGGGGAGAGATTATGGATAGCAGGCTCCTGGAGGAAAAACTAGGTATGTCCAGTAGCAGATCTGTGGAAACTATTAGAAACCGAGCTAATTGTGGACTTCTTAGCATGCCTCAGGAAATGGGAAGGAACTTTTCCCTTTTGGGCTTGTATTTTTTCCAATTTTCCTTGTTCGGGAAATAATTAATTCTTTAAGCAATGTAACCTCCTGCTGTGATTTCTCAATTCCACAAAAGAGAATAATTATAGATTAATAATGGACCAAAATAGAAAAAGCTAAATGTGTGTAGCAGATAAGTAGGAAATGTTCTGTCTTGTAAAGGGTATTGTTTCGGTGCCCGGCAACACAGAAACAATTCTCATCTATGCAGCTCTAAATGGATGTTAGAATTCACCCCTCTTTCCTACTGGTATAAAATTTTCAGTCTCAGTAGGACTAACGCTTTGACACATCCTAAACCTCACCAGGAGTAGGAAATATTTCTCATAGCATAAATATTTTTTCTTCCTTGAACTGAAAGGTTTGTGGCCTTCCCCATGCATGATAACTGGGCAGTTTTCAGAATATACCTCACAGTAAAACTTAGACTTCACACCTGTAATCCCAGTACTTTGGGAGGCCTTGGTGGGCGGATCCTGAGGTCAGGAGATCAAGACTATCCTGGCCAACATGGTGAAACCCCATCTCTACTAAAAATACAAAAATTAGCTGGGCGTGGTGGCACGTGCCTGTAATCCCAGCTACTTGGGAGGCTAAGGCAGGAGAATCACTTGAACCAGGGAGTCAGAGTTTGCAGTGAGCCAAGATCACACCACTGCACCCCAGCCTGGCGACAGAATGAGACTCCATCTCAAAATAAAATAAAATAAAATAAAATAAAATAAAAAACTTAGACTTCAAGTTTTAACTATTGAAAAACTTCCATGAATTGGGTACAGTACTGAGCTAAACGTTGTATATATGTTATTTATTCAGGAAATATTTTCAGGTACTATGCTGAGTGCTAAAAGCATTGTTCTGCCTTTTAATACTAACAATGCCTGTGAAAAATATGTAGGATTATCCAGACTTTATAAATTTAAAACATTAGGATTCAGAAAAGTAATATGCACATGCTCCTATACTTTACATGTGACAGACTGGAATCAAATGGTTTAGGATGCCCCGAATAACTGAACTCTTAATGCCCCAGAAGCCCAGATCGGGACCCACCACTGGGAGTTACAGCCCTCTGGAGCCAGCTTCAGAGGTGCACAGGTTTATTCTCTTCCCTATTCACCAGTGAAAGAAGCCCAGAGCCTCCATTCCAGGCACTCTGTGCTTCCCAAAGTAACAATTACTTAATTTGACAAGATAATTTAAAGAGATTGCCAAAATAACTTACAGGAGATTGCCAGTATAATCAGCCCTCCCATATCTGGGGATTCTACATTTCCAGATTCAACCAGTTGAAGAGAGAAAATATTTGAAAAAAAAAATTTAAAATAATACAAATAAAAACAATACAACATAGTATTTATATCATATTGGGTATTGTAAGTAATGTAGAGACCATGTAAAGTATATGGAAGGATGTGCATAGGTTATATGCAAATATGCTATTTTATGTCAGGGAGTTGAGCATCTGCAGATTTTGATATGGAGGCAGGGGTCCTGGAACCAACATCCCATGGATACCTGAGGGACAAATGTAATCACCATGTTTTCCCAGGTGGATTTTTAACAGTGGCCTTCTGGAGACACTATGCCTATGGTTTAGTCTAATTGTTAAAAATTGGGATAGGTGAAGAAAGATGGCAGATAGGCACAATGGGAGGCAGATATTTCCATAAATGCCTTTTAAATCAGATCCTTTCTAGATTCACTTTTGGCTCTGGATCTGGAAGCTATCATCATGGCAACCCCAGAGTCCCATTGGTTTGCCTATTGGTTAGGTGGGCCAAGGTGTCCACATATCACAAAAGAGTTCTCAAAAAATTTCTTCCCAATAACGAGGGAGATTTATATTTAAGAGCACCTTTAGCCAAACTGAAGGAAGGGAAAGTTCACAAATATGGTAATAGCTCAAGTCAATGAATTAGAGGCTTTGTGTAGGGTAATTGTTGAGACCTCCCCAGTTGACTGACCAAAACAATTCTTTGTTGGCTAGCAGAGTTAGAGAATAGAATTTTGCATAATCCAAGTATTTCATATAGGTCCCTTCTGCTGTTACTGGAGCACTAGTGAGCTATTGTATTTGTGGTCATAATATTAGCTGCATAGGTAGTTCTATAAATGTGTCTGGTTAATAATCCACAAACGTCAGTGTTTTACATTTGTAAGTAAAGAAGTCTCTGTCCACAGCAAAAACGTTACCAGGCAATATTTTTTAGCATTAAAAATATAAAATAAAATCAAGTTACTTCAAAGTTCTAAAGAACTAGAAGTCAATAAAATTCATAAATATTTATTTTTCAATAATTCTGGATGTATCTTAGGATCCTAATATAGGATGTACATCCTAATATAGTTATGTTTACCTGTCATTTATTTTAATTGATATATGCCAGTACTTCTATAGTAAGATTTTATTGGTAAAATGTTTTTTATTCTTCAAAATGCAGATTCCTTTCATAGGGTATATTCATCTACCATTTTCCATTCTTTGAAATCTGAAATAAGTCCTAACCTTATACATTCACCAGGAGTGTGTATTAATCACTTCTCACACTGCTGATAAAGACATACCTGAGACTGGGTAATTTATAAAGAAAAAGAGGTTTAATGAACTCACAGTTCCACATGGCTGGGAAGACCTCACAAGCATGGTGGAAAGTGACAGGCACATCTTACATGGCAGCAGGCAAGAGAGAATGAGAGCAAAGCAAAAGGGAAAACACCTTATAAAGCCATCAGATCTAGTGAGACTTATTCACTACCACGAGTATTGTGTGAGGGAAACCACCCCCATGATTCAACTGTCTTCCACCAGGTCCCTCCTACAACACATGGGAATTATGGGAGCTACAATTCAAGATGAGATTCAGATGGGAACACAGCCAAACCATATCAGAGTGTATACTTTCATTTTATTCCTCAATCTTCATTCCTTAAGTTTTCAACAAATAATTTGCTTTTGAAAGGATTAGGAGCTTAAGTTGGCTTTATAGTTATCCAGTAACCTTTTGATTTCTCCAACCAATGATTTGTAAAGGAATCTTCAGATTCAGATTTATCCTTTCCTACTTCATCTTCAATTGCTAAATTAAGCATGAGTCCCATCACTGAGATAACAGTCTTTCTTGGACAGAGTTATGCCAGGTCTTTTTCTATGTAAAGCAGTCATCTATTAGGCTGTCGTTGGTCTGTCAAGATGAAACTGTGTGCATTGGATCCATGTGAATGAACATAGAACATTATACAAATATTGTATGTTTCTATTCTTTGCTTGAAGCTTCTGGTTACTTAGATCTTATAGTGCTTCATAGTATAAAAAATGGTTAAAATACTTAAAAGTTTTAAAGATAAAGATGTCAGTGTCACAGTGCATAACTGGGTTTTACATGGTCAAGTATACACACATACACACACACACACACACACACAATTTAAAAAATCTCTGATGCACTATGCCATACTCAGCACCAATCCCCATTACAACTCTCCCAATGTTTCCTGGCCAGGCAGGTCACCAAGATGTTTGGGACTGTTTATGCCTTTGCACCTACTCATCATAATATTGTGTGGGGATCAATGGGAGAGATATTTGGCCCATTTTTAAGCCATATCAGGGGATCTTCCACTTCCTAAACTCACTTAGACTTGGAATTTAAGTCTAGACTATTTTGTTTTTAACCTTGCTAACACCTACCTACCTACCTACCTATTCATTGTCCATAGCCTAGGTAGTCTTGAAAAACCCTCCATTCCCGCAGCTTCCCCCAATGCCTCCTCTGAACTCAGTGTCACTCCTGTGTGCCTCCTTTAGTGTTTTTTTTGTTTGTTTGTTTTTGTTTGTTTGTTTGTTTTTGTCATTGCACTCACCACCTTATATTGTAAAAGTCTATTACTAAGGAAGTATTCCTCCCTCCTTTATGTGCAGAATTCCTTGACAGAAAGGATAGGTCATGTTTACCTCTGTCTTGCCTCCAATGCGCAGCATGAAGCCTGGCTCTATGATCAGCTCTAAAGAAATGCTTGTTGATGGGCAAATAAACTCGAGAATCTCACACCAGAGCCAGACCGGAAGTTTCCTTCATTTCATGACTGGTTTTCACAAAAACAAGCATTAGGGAGAGTGGAAGGAAGAGCTTGCAAAATACCTTACTACTGCATTATGAATGTGGAGTTGTAATTTTGAGGTTCTTATCCATGAAGATGGTCCTTAAAATTCAGAATTTTAATTACCAACATAACACCATCCTTTCTTACTAGTATCATTATTTTATACTATGTTTTCAGTAGGACATATCTGATGGAAATACATTTCTTTTGATATTATTTATTATAACTGGTGAGCTACATTCCACCCAATAGTAAATGCCTCTCAGCAAAAAGATAGATACTTTTGATAGTTAATATATTCAGATATTATGTTGTTTGTGGAAACCATAACTTAATAAATTTTAAAACAGTGTCTTCTTTAAAAGTAATTTTTTATTAAACTTTGTATTTTGAGGTAATTGTAGATTCACATGCAGCTATAAGAAATAATGCAAACAATACTTTTTACCCAGTTTCCTCCAATGGTGACATCTTGAAAACTATCGCACAATAGCACAACTTTGATATTGACACTGATACAATCAAGATACAGAACATTTTCATCCAGGCATCCCCTGTGCTTAGCCCTTTTGTAGCTACGTCTACTTCCTTTGCCCACCCTCACCTTAAAACCCTGGCAATAATTAACATTTTGTCATTTCAAGCATGTTATATAAATGGAACCATAGAGTATATAACTTTCAGGTATTGGTTTTTTCCAATCAGCATAATTCTTTGGAGATTCTTTACTTAGCATACTTCTCTGGAGATTTATCTAGGTGCTTGTGTACTAGTAGTTCATTCTTTGTTATCGCTGCATAGTATTTCATGCTAGGGATGTTGAGCCATTTACCCATTGAAAGATACTTGGGTTGTTTCTAGTTTGGGGAGATTATAAATAAAGCTGCTATAAATACTCATACACAGATTTTTGTGTAAACATACATTTTCATTTCTCTGAGATAAATGCCTAGGAATGAGTGTGATTTCTAGATCTGATAGTAATTGCATGTTTAGTGTTTTTAAGAAACCAACAAAATATTTTCCAAAATTAGATGTGCCATTTTATATTCCTACCAGCAATGTGACAGCAATTGTTTTTCTGTATCTTCACCAGCATTTGGTGGTGTTACTTTTTTTATTTTAGCCATTATGATCAGTGCATAGTGATAGCTCATTTTGGTTTTACTTTGCATTTCTTTAGTGGCTAATGATGTTGAACATCTTTTCATAGGCTTATTTGCATCTGTATATCTTCTTTAGTGAAATGCTTCTCTGTTCCTGTTGCCTATTTTCTAATTAGATTGTTTTTTGACTGTTGAGTTTTAAGAGTTCTGTATATATTCTTGATAGCAGTCCTTTGTCGGATATGTGATTTACAAATATTTTCTCCCAGTCCATAGCTTGTCTTTTTTATTCTCTTTACTGTTTTTTTCCACAAGGCAAGAGCTTTTAATTTTGATAAAAATAACTTTTTATACTTAATTGGCAACCAAATACCTAAATGTCTTTTGATAGAAAAACTTGTCCTAGATAATGTAAAATCATTTTACATATTCACAGATCCATCTCCACTAATGTCATATAAGTTTAAAAATCACAAAGTAATTTGAACAGATTCCTAAATTATAAATTAGTTAACAGTTATTTTTTGCTCTAATCTTTAGTTGTACATTTACTTCAAATAAACATTTGTTAAAAACGTACTCTGTACTGAGGAATGAGGATACAAAACTCATAATTTGTCATTTCTTTGCTTCAGGGACTTACATTTTACTGGATTACATCTAAATTTTTATTTGGCAGTTTTATTCCAGGAAGATCATGACAGTCTTGTTTTCTAAATCTTAACTGCCTTTTGATGAAAAAGAAAGATAAGGCTTTAATTTCTCTAGTGAAACCTGAAGAAGTAAAATAAAATAACTTGTATGTCCCTTCACAAGCCACAGTCAGAACACTGTCACAATCTCGACCTTTGCTCCCCAAACCCTATTTTGCAAACCAGATGCTATTTCTTTGGACATTACAGGCTATTTTCAAAATACATCAGAACTTAACAAAACATCATATTAGCTAAATAGCACTATAAGAAACTGCTTATAATATTAAAATTATGTCTTGAGTTTATAATTATATAAAAATTGAATCTACCCTAGAGCAAAAATTATAATTAACTACTAAAAAATCGAATAAGTGATTTTTTTTTTTTTTTTTGAGGCAGGGTCTCACTCTATGGCCCAGGCTGGAGTACAGTGGTGTGATCATGGCTTACTGCAGCCTTGATCTTCTGGGCTCAAGCAATCCTCATCCTCCCACCTCAACCCCTCCAGTAGCTGAGACCACAGGTGCACCCCACCACACCTGGTATATTAGTTTATTTTCACATTGCTGTAAAGAACTACCTGAGCATGTGTAATTTATTAGGAAAGCAGGTTAAATTGATTCAGAGTTCCTCCTGGCTGGGGAGGCCTCAGGAAACTTACAATCATGGCGGAAGACAAACAGGATGCAAAACACCTCTTACAAGGTGGCAGGAGAGAGAGAGAGTGAGAGGGGAACTGTCACACACTTTTAAACCATCAGATCTCGAGATAACTCACTGTCATGATAATAGCAAGGGGGAAGTCTGCCCCCATCATTCAATCATCTCCCACCAGGCACCTCCCCTGACATGTGGGGACTACAATTCTAGATGAGGTTTGGTTGTGGACACAGAGTCAAACCATAGCACCCGGCTAATTTTCTTTTCTTTTCTTTTTGGTAGATATGGAGTGTCACTATGTTTTGTTTCCCTAGCTGGTCTTGAACTCCTGGGCTCAAGTGATCTGCCCACCTCGGCCTCCCAAAATGCTGGGATTACAGGTGTGAGCCAGTACACCCAGCCAAGAAGTGATTTGTATAATGGCAGGATTATGAATGATTATTTCTGTGTCTTTAATTTGATCATATTTTTAAAACAGTCATTATTTTTGGTCATCATGCTATATACTACAGAGAGCAGTTTTTAATTTGTGAACGTGTAAGTCAACTTGATTTAGCTGAACATAGCAGAGTCATCAATCAAACTGATTGATGACTAAGGGTCCGCAGGGTAACACATCATCATAGTTGTTTCCATGGTGATGAATTATGATGTCACAAACTCATCAAGACTGTGACTCAGTGAACCATCTAGACAGAGGATGAAATGCAGTAGTTCACCAACATGTATGCCATCTTTGTATTATATGGTATTATTAATTAAAACGAAGGGCTGAGTATTTCTTTCATTGAGATTACATGAAGATATTACGTATATTCAGACTTGCCTGAACACGGCTATGCTGGTTTTAAATTGAAGGTTTTCACAAAGCAAAAAATTGAGAAACAGAATTTGACATAGAATTGTGTATTTATTAGAAAAGATCTTTTCTTCTCATATTCTGAAAAGCACACTCATTAATTACAGTTAAATTCAGGCAAATTTGGCAAATTTTCGTCAGTATACTTATTCTTTTGTTAGTTAATAGCTTTGCTTTTCAGTTTTAGATATTGGTATTAAATATATAAAGAGAAAAGACCTTAGTGTTCTCATGCTCAGAGATTAAGAGAATAGTTATAGGTTTGAAATTAGGCACTTTCCCTGATAGTTTTTGTTGGTACATGTTTTAGGTTATGTTTCTATGAACAACCAGATGCAAACGTCCTGGCATTCATCCTGCCTGCTTGCTGTTTGTACCATCTCCGTGGTAGCAACCATCCAAGCTGCTGGAAGCACAGACTGAGCTCTATGAGTCAATTATTTTATATACCTGGGAACGTGCTAGCCTTCCTGTCACTCTTTGATGTCACTATGTAGACAGTTTGCAGCCTAGGCAACATGGTAAGACCCTGTCTCCAAAACTTCCAAAAATTAGCCACCAGGTGTGGTGGTGCATGCCTGTAGTCCTAGCTACTCTGAAGGTTGAGGCAAAAGGAACCCTCAACCCCAGGAGTTTGAGGCTGCAGTGAGCTATGATCGCACCACTGCACTCCAGTCTGGGAGACATAGTGAGATGCTGTCTTTAAAATAATAATAATAATTTTAAAAATTAAAAAATATCTAGACAATTTCTCTGCTTTCAAGACTCTTCAAAGATCTCAAAGAGAAGCTTTACTCTGGAGTCTCAACAGAGGCCATTCAAAAACTCAACCTGGTTTTTCAACAATAAATTAGAAATGTAATGCTAACAGTAGGTGCCAAGGCCGAACATCAGGGAAAAGACATTAGTGACCTTGAGTTCTAGACTAGATTTTACCAGTTTCTGACCTTCAACTCTGGTACTCGATTTTCTCATAAATGTGAGAAAATATCTTAACCGTATCACAGAATTGATGTGAGAATTCAAAATAAAGCATATTTAAAGCTCCTAGGTTAGTGCTTCATTTATGAAGGTCAGTGCTTCATAAATGATAGTTATTTTTTTCCATTCAAAATAGAGATAAAAAAGACTTTATCTCACTAATGTGTCATGCAAATAAGGATTAATCCTGTTTTCTATTCCTGAAGCATACAGAATGTGATTTCTTTCTCCATCATTTCCATCTGACTATCATCTGGGAGAACACACAGCTGCTCCACATCTGGTGCAACACAGGCAGATGTAGCTGTCCAGAGGGAGAAGAGTGTTTGCTTTTCTCCACCTAAACACTGACCCTCTTCTGCTTAGATTCAAAGACTGTCTTCCTTCTGCAGGTTTACCTGAGCCTGGACTCAAAGAATTACCTTCATTATGAGCTAAAGGAAGTCAGGCCCATTCTTCTTCTGCCTGGCCCCTCTGGCTCTTTGGCACTTCCCACATCCTCCTCATTTGGAAAGGCTTCATGACTTTCTGGTTCACAAAGCAGCTCTGTTGTTGCTTATTTCCACTACAGGGAAAAAGTGAAACACTTCACTCAGGGCGCAGAACAATGGAAGTCCCTGGAAGGAAAGGCTTGCAAGAGAAAACCAAGTGGCTTCTGAGATATTCGAAAGTCCAGTTGTTTTCCCTTTTTAAAAATTTTCAGATGCTCTTTGATGCCATTTCATAAAGCCTGTGATTGGGCCAAAAGTCTTAGTTCACCATGTACCACAAATAGTGTACTCTATATAGCATATGCTTAACTAAGAAAAAATAAAGATTTAGAAATAGATGTATTGAGGACATGCCATTAAAAGCAGCTTCCATTGAATCAACTGTTTTTCAGAGTACTGTCAAGATTACCTTAAACTAGTCTAATCAAGGTAGGTGGTGGATTCCAAACTTGGGAAAAAGTGAGTCTTTGTATTCTGTGAAGTTTAATAACTACCCAAGGAAGAAGTGTTGGATACAACAACTATGAGTATCTTAGAAAGTATGTCTTTTTTTTTTTTCTGAGTCAGGGTCTTGCTCTATCACCCAGGCTGGAGTGCAGTGATGTGATTATAACTCATTGCATTGCAATCTTGACCCCCTGGGCTCAAGCCATCCTTCCATCTTAGCCTCCCAAGTAGCTAGGACTACAAGTGGATGCCACCATGCCCAGCTAATTTTTTTCTTAATTTCATTTTTGTAGAGATAGGATTTCCCAGGCTGGTATCAAACTCTCAAACTTCCTGGTCTCAAGCAGTTCTCCCACCTTGGCTTCCCAAAGTGCTGGCATTATAGGCATGAGCCACCACACCCAGCCTGGGTGTCTGTCTTTATGCTAAATGTCCGAGCCTTTCCATTTGTCTTTTGCCTCTTCATAAACCTCTGCTGAGCTTTATCAGGTCATTCACATCTTTCATTACAGGCAAGTGGTAAACTTAGTAATATGCTTCCTCTGGTGACAATGGGCAAAGGACTAGAAGCATAAGTAAAGAAATAGTAGACTGAAATAAGCGGATTTTGACATGCAAAAAGATGCAGCAAGGTGAACCTGGTTAAGAAATAGACTCAGAGAGCTTGAACATGGAAGGATGCTAGGACAAGTGGCAGCTAAGGCAGAAAGACAGCCATGGTTCCAGATGTCTGGGGAAACAATGGAAGGCAGATATTACAAAGTTTTCCATTTTGTACCAGAAGTGTCCGTATGAACACAAACTCCTAGTAAGTGTTCTTAATTGTTCTGTGGGCTGATGTGCATTTTTCTCCTACAATAGGAACTAGCAATCTACATATTATTTACCAAGCCTTCCTAGATAGAAGCATTTATGATTATTTTTTGTTTATATAAATGTCTTGCATTTACTAGAAAATCATGCTTTTCGAGAACGCATTTCTATTATGGAGTTTCTTAAAGAGAGAAAAAAAATGTATGGCTTTAGAAAAATCCTAGTGATTTTTTGACAGTATGAACTGTATTGTGTGTTCTTGTCTTGGATCAATATCATGGCACAATGCTTTGATAGTGTCTGAAGATTAAGATATACAATACAATTTCCTCCCTTCCCTTCTTTCCTTTTTCCTTCCTTCCTTTTTCCTTTCTTTCTTTTCCTTCCTTCCTTCCTTTCTTTTTCTTTCTCTCTCTCTTTCTCTTCCCTCCCTCCCTCCCTCTCTCTTTCCTCTTTCTTTCTGTCTGTCTGTCTGTCTGTCTTTTTCTTGAGATAGGGTCTCACTTTGTCACCCAGGCAGAAGGGCAGTGGCCCTATCATATTTCACTGCCACCTCAAATTCCTGGGCTCAAGGGATCCTCCCGCCTCAGCCTCTCAAGCAGCTGGGACTACAGGTGTGCCCCTCCATGTGCGGTTAATTGTAGTTTTTTGTTTGGGGTGGTTTTGTTTGTTTGTTTGTTTTTGTAGAGACTTTGTTGCCTAGGCTGGTCTCAAACTCCTGGGCTCAAGCAGTCCTCCCACTGCAACCTCCCAAAATGCTGGGATTATAGGTGTGAGCCACCATGTCCAGCCCAATACCATTTTCTTATGTTTCCCATATATGCATAATTTTACTTGCATGCAATTCTGAATGGATGAAACATGTTTTAATCACCTATTTTTCTACTTTGTAGAAGAGCCAAGGTAACATGAACTAAATCATTAAAGCAGTTGACTTGTTAGTGGATTGTGATAGGACTCAGGCATTTCCCAAAGGGGGAACCCATATTTTGGTAATCCCAGACATTTTAATTATATTTTTCTATCCATTCCTCAATGCCACAATGAGGAACAGCATTCTTTCCTGGGAAGTCTCACAATTTTGTCAAAAGTAGAAGAGTTGCCTTTGACGAATACAAATCCAGCAATAAAGAAGAACAGGTCTAACAAATGAGGCCACCTTGGAAAATGTCATTTTGCCCCTTTGAGCCTTGCCCATCTTACCTTTAGAGGAAGAGATGGGACTGAATCAGTTCAAAGAGCCTCGATAGCTTTAAATGTCTGTGATTGATTTTTCTGCAGAGCAAGATCAAACAAAACAGTATTTCCTAGCTGCTGCCCTTACATGTAGTGGTGATTCACAGAGAATTTGGGGAGGAAAGTAGCCATTATGGGATGTTTTGCAAAAGGCAATACCAAGATTGATCATCACCTGAGGGCGATACACTATAGTTGTTCCTCTGTATCCATGACAGATTAGTCCCAGGACCCCTTGCAGATACCAAAATCCACAGATGCTCATGTCCTGCTTATAAAATGGCATAGTATTTGTACACAGCCTTGTATATCCTCCTGAATACTTTAAATCATCTCTAGATTACTTATAATACCTAGAGTTGTATAAATGCTATAGAAAGTATTGTTATACTGTATTTTTAAATGTACATTAGTTTTATTTTTTTTCCGAATACCTTTTTATCCATGGTTGGTTGAATCCACGGATGCAGAACCCATGGATATGGAGAGCTGACTGTAATAGTCAAAGACAAGAGTGGCTGGTGGTAAGCACACTATCTGTCCACAAGTGAATTTCCCCTAAGAATCCTGCTGGTACATTTCTTCATTTCTTGAGATTATTGAACCACGTGATTTGCCTCACTGCTTATTTCACCTTCTGGGTGACATGGGCTGTGAATGTGCAGTTCAAGGCCTAAATATTAGCCCTGATTCAAAATGGACATTAACCAAAAAAACAAACAACAATGATACTGGCCAACTGACTTCTCTCACTTCTCTCTTCTCTTTTCTTTAATTCATTCCTTACCTATTTAGAATAGCTGAGGCTCATTTTTATCTTCTTATGACAGCCAGAATTGTCATCTATTAAGATTAAGTAAGGAAGGCATAATTGATATTCACAAACCACCCCAGGATTTATCAGAAGTGAGGGTGTTTCATATGGATTACTAATTGTCTAAAATTTGGCTCTAAGCACCTGAAGATCACTAGGCAGGAGAGAAGAGTAGGGTTTGTTGTACATGAGAAGAGGCTGTGGGGTGGGGATGTTCACCGAGAAGACTGCTTTGGTCTTTGATACTAGCATTTTTCCTTCTATATGGTTAACAAGGCACATATTTTCATTTTTATATCCCCAGAATAAAGGCTTGAAAGGAAACAAAATCTCAAATAAATGGACTAATTTGTTAAATTCTGGACTAAACCTCAGTTTATTTTAACAGCTTTAACAACGGTCTCTGGAGCTCATAACACATATAGAGCACTATTGGTGTCACACAAAACCTTGAAATCAGAATTGCCACAGACCGAATCTGATCTGAAATGGCATTTCATTCAACTGCAGCTTTGTGTCACAAGAACCTGTCTCTGTTTTCCTAACATGGGTATGATGCATATTCAGAAGCAGCCGAGTGATTTACTTCTTTTTTCATTACGCTTGTGGATTTGCATAGATTCAGAAGGGGCATCTTCTGGGAGGTATAAGAGTTTATAGAAAGACTAATTTCTTGACTAGGCACGATGGCTCATGCTTGTAATCTCAGCACTTTGGGAGGCCAAGGTGGGAAGATCACTTGAGACCAGGAGTTTGAGACCAGCCTGGCCAATATGGTGAAACCCTGTCTCTACAAAAAATACAAAAATTAGCTGGGCGTGGTGGTACATGCCTGTAATCCCAGCTACTCAGGAAGCTAAGGCACAATAATTGCTTGAACCAGAGAAGTGGAGATTGCAGTGAGCCAAGATTGTGCCCCTGCACTCCAACCTGGGCAACAGAGTGAGACTCTGTCTCAAAAACAAAAAAAAAAGGAAGATTGATTTCCTGTAGACAGAAGGAGTGTTTATATTGGCAGCAGCAATGCAGATCAAAACTTTGGGGTCACCCTCTTGAATATCTTATTTGTATTTCTTCTTGGGTTACTAAAGTCTTGAGGAGAAAAATGAATAAAAGGCTTAAGAGGATTCTCATTTCCATGCAAAGCTTCTCCACACTCCTGAGAGAAGTTTAGGGTCAGGAAGGAAGGTCAGACAATATAAACCTCAGCACTATTCAGTAAAATAGCCATGGGGAAAAATATGGTAAGTTTGTCTTAATTCATACCCAAGGACATTTAGCGCTCAGAAAACTAAAATACTTTTTATTTATTTATTTATTTATTTATTTATTTTGAGACAGAGTCTTGCACTATTGTGCGGGCTGGAGTGCAGTGGCGCAGTCTCAGCTCACTGCAACCTCCACTTGAACCTCCAGGTTCAAGTGATTCTCCTTGCCTCAGCCTCCCACGTAGCTGGGATTACAGGCGCCCACCACCACACCCGGCTAATTTTTTTTTTGTATTTTTAGTAGAGACGGGGTTTCACTATGTTGGCCAGGCTGGTCTTGAACTCCTGACCTCGTGATCCACCTGCATCGGCCTCCCAAAGTGCTGGGATTATAGGCATAAGCCACCTTGCTTGGCCCTAAAATACTTTTAATAAGATTGTCTCATCCTTCTCTTGGTTTTCCAATGGAAATGGTGGTATAGCAAGTCCATCTGAAACACTTCTGCAAAATAACAATGAAGCTAATCACTGTGGGAAACATTTACATCATATGTATTTGCATACAGAGGAAATTGATAATCTTGAGACATCAGCATACTAGAATAGCAAGAGACATGTTTTATTCTATTATATTCTCTTAGTCAGCAATGTTTAATTGTTGCTTAAAGGAAACTGAATAAAACGTGGGCGCAGTGGCTCCCACCTCTAATCCCAGCACTTTGGGAAGTTGAGGAGAGAGGATCGCTTCAGCCCAAGAGTTTGAGACCAGCATAGGCAACATAGTGAGACCCCATCTCTACAAAAAATATTTTTTAAAATTAGTCGAGCATGGCGGTGGCTCCCTGTAGTTCCAGCTACATGGAGGGCTGAGGTGGGAGGATCACTTGAACCAGGGAGGTCAAGGCTGCACCCTGGCCTGGGCAACAAAGCCAAACCCTGTGTCAAAAAAAAAAAAAAAATACGTAAAGCAACAGTTTTTCTATAACGGATTGCATGGTAAAAGGAAGGATGACTTTCTTACTATAACTCCTTATGATAATTTTTTCCAAAGTGTTAATCTTAGGGGTTGAAATTTTTATAGGTAATCATTAACTTTAGTAGAACATTATTTTAAAGTTTAGGTATTTCATCTGAGTATATTACTCTGGCTTTCCTAAGCTAGCTTAGTTATATATGTTCACTTCAGTTTGAGTCTCCACTAAATTTTAACATGAACAAAATATTATATGCAACACCATAGAAGCAATTGTTAAATCATTGTTACTTTTAATATCACCTAAATCTAACCTAAGTAAATGTGTTTATTTTTATTACCAACTGATGTAGATATACCCACATGGACAGAAAACAGCATAAACCACCAAAAGGACTTGAAAATTCCCTCTTCAAGACTTCTTTTGCCAATGACTAATGTTTAATGCTATTTGCTAGAGATTCTGGTGCCAGGAGGATTTCTAACCAGGTTATTTTATCAATAGGAATAAAATATCGAGGGCTTAAATTAGTGTAATCTCTCAAGATCTTGAATTTGACGTTTTCATAATTTTTACTTAATCATAGCTCCTGGGGATTGGAATTACTCTTTTAGCTGGCCCGAGTCTGGGAGGAGGATCCAAAGTCTTTGAGTTGTTTTCTTTTATTTCTTTTTAGCCCCTAAAGCACTGGAAATGGTTGGCCCTGAAGTGCTCCTAAGGTAACCGCAAGATGAGGCAAAACAGGATTGAGATGAAAACCAAGCTCACCCACATCCTACGTCAATTAGCTATTTTTTTTTCTGTGTAAACAATGGGAGGGAGGTGGATTGTAGCTTTTATGGTAGAGGTTCCTCGGCACCTCCTGACGCCCCCAGGGGTCCCCCCTGCCACTGCCCTCAGCCCAAATATAAGCTGACAACAAAATGTTTCTTCAAAGTGCTCATTGTTTACTCTATTCTGGCTTCTTCTTAAAGGTCATCATCATGTTGAATTATCTTGAGAAAATCCTCTGAAGTGTATGTGTGTGTGTGTGTTTAGGAAGGATGTGAGGAGGATTGGGAGGTGAGTCTCTGAATAACAAGTTGAAAAAAGAGTATGGAGGAAAGCGGTGTTTAAAATTGTCCAAAGCCATCGGCCGGGCATGATGGCTCACGCCTCTAATCCCAACGATTTGAGAGGCTGAGGTGGGAAAATTGCTTGAGCCCAGGAGTTTGAGACCAGTCTGGGCAACATGGTGAAACCCCATCTCTACAAAAAAAGTACAACAATTAGCTGGGCATGGTGGTGCATGCCTGCAGTCCCAGATACTCAGGAGGCTGAGATGGGAGGATCACTTGAGCCTAGGAGTTTAGGGCTGCAATGAGATGTGAGTGCACCACCATACTCTAGCCTGGGCAACAGAGCAAGACCTTGTCTCAAATAATAATAATAATATATAAATAAACAAATAAATAAAATTATCCTAAGTGAAATCAGTTGTTGATAGAACTGAAGTACATCAAGCCTAGTGGGACTGTGGTTGTCTCTCCAGCCTAAAAAAAAAAAAGAACAAAAACAACAACAAAAAAACTTAACTCCAAAATTGCTGTTGCTCCATTTATTTCAGGTGTAAGACTTCTTTGAGATTTAAAAACAATATAATCATTTACAATGTACTTTGTTGGACCTAAGCATAGGAAAATTCATTCATTCATTCATTCATTGAGTACCTGTTATATGCCAGGCAATGCACTAGGCACCATCAAAGATGAATAAGCTATGTGCTAAAATTCACAGTCTAACAGAAGAAACATGAAAGCAGAGTGGAAATATACTGTGGCAATACATATTTGGATATACTGGTATTAAAAAGTAAGGATGTTTCAGCTAAATCTTTTTTGGTGTTTATTTTTTAAAAATTCATCTATTAACTTCCTACACACCATGCATATATTCAGCTAAATCTTAAAGTATGAGAAGAAACATGCCATTCATGAAAGGGAAGAGGGAGCCAGTGCATCAGATACAACCTATGCAATCGTGAAGATTTATGGCAGAGCACAGGATATTTGGGGATTGGCAGGCATTTCAAAATGGCTGGCACATAAAGTTCCGGGATGGGAACAGGCTGGCAAGAGAAGAGATCATCGGAGCCAAAGTAACTGAACTGTGATTGAATTTTAGATATGATAATATCTATAGGAAACCTGGCAACCCGGTGGGCAGGTAAATATGATAGAGCGAAGATAGAATCTTCAGGCCTTCAGGGGACTAAGCAGGAATAGAATAATTTTATTGAGCACTTTAAGTGGACATTATGCTAGATTATTTTACATATTTCATCTCCTTTAATTTACACCACAACCCTGTGAGTGCAGGTTGATAAAGAATTAAATAAAATCCAGGTGAAGTAGCAGCACCTATAGTTCCAGCTACTTGGGAGGCTGAGGTGAGACCATTACTTGAGGCCAAGAGTTCCAGGCTGTAGTTCACAATGGTTGTGTCTGTGAATAGCCACTGCACTCCTGCCTGGGTGACACAGTGAGACCTCATTTCTAAAAAAGAAAAAAAAAATTGAGACAGGGTCTCGCTCTGCCACCCAGGCTGGAGTACAGTCACGCAATTACAGCTTACTGCAGCCTTAACCCCCAGGCTCAAACAATCCTCCCACCTCAGCCTCCCAAATAGCTTGGACTACAGGTACATGTCACCACACCTGGCTATTTTTTGTATTTTTTGTAGAGATGGAGTTTCACCATGTTGCCCAGGCTGGTCTTGAACTCCTAGGCTCAAATGATCCTCCTGCTTCCACCTTCCAAAGCGCTGAGATTATAGACGTGAACCACTGCACCTGGTCTAGAAATTATTTAATAATAAAAAAATGAAGACAGAATTCAATGAAGAGCATAGAAGAGTCTCTTAAACCTTTGTTTTAAGCTATGAGCCAGGAAAGAGATGGTGGCAAGGGTGAGATGGTTGCAGTGCTTTTTTGTTCACTTATCTCAGGCCTGTGTGTTCTGAGTTAAAGACAAGTCAGTTGGCAAGAGAAGGAGAGAGGAAGCTTCCCAGAACCATTTGAAGGAAAATTTGGAAAGTCTTCTCTAAGGGAGTTGCCCTCAACTACCTTTTAACACAAATGGAGGACTGAAAAACAAAACAAAACAAAACAAACAGGAAGGAATTGCAGATATACAGATCTTTGGCCTTTCAAACTATGGTATCTCTTAGTACTATTTTATATATTGATAATAATTATAATTTTTCTCAAACTTCCCAAAAGTGGAACATTGTGGGAAATAATATGGGAGTGGACATTTGAATTTCTGTTTGACTTTGCAGCAGAAATCTCTTTTCTAACTCTCTCTTTCAATCTCACCATCAGAGCCATCTGATTGCTTGATAACATGATTCTTTTTGCCCAGCCCTTGTTATCCTCCCTCCTGCCCTAGTCACCATGACATAGGCTCCACTCATTTCTACCTAGGAACCTGGATGCACTGCTTTGCACTATTGCCTCCTGGCAAAACAGGGCAATGAGAAAGGAAATGGAAGCCCAAATTCAGAGCCCTCCTTCCCAGCACAAGAATGAGGAGATGCCCTTTTTCCCCGGGGAGGGGGATTCTTCCCTCTCTCTTCAGTAATTGTCTTTATCACTGTCATGTTCTAGCCAGTCTTTATTATCCCCGCCACACAAATTTCATGTTCTTCTGGCAGTCAAATCAGGAAATTCAAGGACACAACTGCTCTGGCTTCGTAAAGATGGGGATCAAATTGTTTGAGTTGCTGATAGCAACTCTTTGCTTCTTGATTCTCCATGCCTCCTCAAGCTTTTTTGGCTGAACTTTTAGCCTTGGAACAGGGTCACTGGAAAATACTTCTTAATATCCTTAATTTCTAATTCTAATATTTGCCTTGTTTCATTTTGTTTATTTGGGGAGGATGAAGTTCAGGTGTTCACCTATCAAACTCACTTCCTTCTTTTTTTTAGACAAGGTCTTGCTCTGTCGCCCAGGCTAGAGTGCAGTGGTATGATGTTGGCTCACTGCAGCCTCCACCTCCCAGGTTCAAGTGATTCTCCCACCTCAGCCTCCCAAGTAGCAGGGATCACAGGCTCGTGCTACCACGCCCCACTACTTTTTTGTATTTTTTGGTAGAGACGGAGTTTCATCATGTTGGCCAGGCTGATCTTGAACTCCTGACCTCAAGTGATCTGCCTGCCTCGACCTCCCAAAGTGCTGGGATTGCAGGTGTGAGCCACCGTGCCCAGCCCTAACTTCCTTCTGATCAAGTCATTCTCAAAAATAAACATTTAATTGACTGTCAACTACAATGATAATAAGACAATGTTTGCCTTAAATGAGCTCTAAATCTAGTTGAAGGGATAACACATGGAATGGACTGGTAATAAAAAGTGGGCTTTGCTTGGTGCTACAGTTGTGATGTGAACTAAAGAGGGAGTGTTTTGGACTGACTTTGAGTTGGGGAGGCTTTATGGAGGAGGTGACATTTGAGTTGGGCCTTACGTTGTATTTTATGAAATAAAAAAAGAGGAAAGACAGTCCAAGATGAGAAGACAGTATAAATAAAGGGACAGAGGCATGGAAGGGAATTTCTTGGCCAAAGGATAGTAAAAAGTACAGAACCACTAAAGTCTAGAGCACATAGGCTAGAGGCTAGAATAAGTGAGAAATAGCTAATCCTAGGAAGATAAATTGGGGCTTAATTGTAAAAACCTTTGCATGCTATACTAAGAAGCTTTGAGTTCATTCTCTTGGCAACTATGAGCCATTACATGTTTCAAAAGATAGATCTGATGGAAAAACAGAAGTATAGAGGGTAATATTCTAATGTGTAAACTTCTACTGTGAGTCCAAAAGAATATGGTATCTATCTCTGAACCATGTTCAATATTTTGCTTAGACTGTTCGAACTATGTAAGAATAAGAAATACTAAAGTGTTTTTTCTCTGATATAATATTTAAATACCTTTTAGCTATCAATTCCTTCTAATTTCCCTTTAATAAGACATTTACTACAAATAGACATCATTCCCATAGCAATCTTTTCTTGAGACAAAGAGGTCAGTAGGCCAGGTTCTGCATAGAATATAAGCTATTTTTCCATTTTAGAATGCCACTCTCCATTGATGTCTACTCTCGTTAAGTAGAAAATTCCAAGAAGTACTAACAAAATTATGTTAATTTGTGTATGTACTGACTTCCAGACATTTGGAACCAGATTCTGAACCTGTAACTCATTTAAATCTTGCCGTGACTTTGGTTTCCCAAGTTCTAGGTCTTTCTCTGAAAATTTAAAATGCTTCTGGAAAGATATTTTCCATGACACTTTTGCCTTAGGAAAAAAATTTTTGGTCAACATTGGAAGAAAAAAAAACTGAGACAACATATATCTTGCTCCTTAACATATTCTGTATGAAATTAAGGTCTTATTGACAATCTACGTATCAGAGCCTCGTACACAGGAGCTATTGAAATGATGTGTCAGTTCAGAAAATCATGTTCATTATTTCTGATTCTCATCATAAACAAGCAGTAAATCACCGTATAAGGGGTGTATGCATTAGGGCCTCCCACATAAACTTCACCTCTGCGTGTGTAAACATTTTCTTATTATCGCAAATAATCAACAGGAGAAGAGCAAATGCAAGTTTAGCTTTTCTCCAGAATGTTTATCATGGTTACTTTAAACTGTTTATAGGAAAGAGTGAACTATAAATGTCTTTCAGGAGGTGGGTAGGACCATATGGCTCAGAGGCTTTTCTGCAGTAAAATGTTTGGTTAAATTTTAGGCAACAGACAGTCCTTCCACAGCAATTATTTGTGATTTCGAGCATCGTTGTTGATACTCAACTCCTGAAACAAATAACACCGACCTAAAACATTTATAATAACTGAAGAAACCAGGTTCCTTTTAACCCTGCTAGGATCCAGCTGCCCCCTTGCAACCCATCCCCAGTCAGCTGCAGCTCAGGCAAGCCCAGCCTTTCCATCCCTGCACATCAGACTGTGGTGCAGAGAAACTCCCTGTGTTCTTCAAAACAAACATTGGATGTAATCCACCTCAATCTTTTCCATGGTGAGGCTTTACAAATTTTAGTTTTCTCTAAGAAGATAGCCTGTATATTCAATTGCCTGGGTAAAAGTTTAATTTCTGATGCGTAAAGCATATCCTGCCTTGAAAAATATCTCAGGAAAAATAAAGGCCACAACAGTTTCATGTGTGCCTATATCAGGATTGCTGCTGAGTAAGTTGTGAAATGTTTTTGGATTTCTGAGCCATTTGGATTTCAGAATTGTGGAGGAATTCTGGATCTGTATTTTATTGTGTATTACCAATTATTTTCCTTTCTCTTTTATGTGACGGGTAGTATTTTGATTATTTAAAATCATCTTTGTAGAAAAATTATTGGCAGCTATGAATTTCATTTCAAGATATTTAAGATGCCTTAGAAACTTTTCTAAAAACAGTATAATAGGATTGAGAACCACTCATGTATGGCCTTTACTGTTTCGAGGTTTTTCTTTTTTGACATGTATTATTTGATGAAACCCTATGAGATTAGGTCTTTACTTCCGAAAGAAGAAAACCAAATTCAAGGGCAATTAAAAACTTGTCAAATGTCTCAATTTTAGTAAGAAAAAAAACCGACATTGGCCTAGATCTTAATCTGTGCCCAGTCCTCTTCCCATCCCTCTTTTTTTTTTTTTTTTTTTTTTTTTTGGTGGCTGCTCTCAAATTTTTGGGCTCAAATGAACCTCCTACCTTGGCCTCCCAACGTGCTGAGATTACAGGCATGAGCCACCGTGCCTGGCCAGCTAAGGTTAATTTAGTATTGAAGAAATATTTTTGTTATGAATTTAGTGTAGCCAAGTGTGCAGTGTTTAGACCATCTACAGTAATGCACATTAATGGCCTAGGCCTTCACATTCACTCACCACTCACTCACTGACTCACCCAGAGCAATGTCTAGTCCTGCAAGCTCCATTCATGGGAAAGGCCTCACACATGTATAACATTTTTTTGTCTTTTATTCTGTATTTTTCTATGTTTAGATAAGTTTAGATGTATAAATACTTATCCTTGTATTACGGTTCTCTAGTGCTCAGTACAGTGACTTGCTGTACAGGTTTGTAGCCTAGGAACGATAGGTTATACCATATAGCCAAGGTGTGTAGTAAGCTGTACCATCTTGGTTCGTGTAAGGACATTCAGTGATGAAATTGCCTACTGACACATTTCTCAGAAGGTACCCCCATCGTTAAGCAACCATTACTGTATTAGAAAGCAGAAAAACAAATTCAGCTCCGGACTTAGCCTACCCATATAGCATCATTGGCCAGAAGAAAATCACTTTGCTTTATGAATCCCAGTTTTCTGCGGGAATGAAATGAGGTACCATACGTGATCCTACCAGCATAACACCTGCCAAATAGTGCACATTCAATACTAAACCATCCTTTTTATGCCTATAAATAAAGGATTTGTACTATATCAAGAGCTTCTCTATGTCTGAAGTTACAATAGAGTAATTCCAAATTATCTTTCATGGAATCAAATCCCTGATGATCCCTTGATTTTCTGAGTTCTGTGAATTTCATCACAGCCCAATTTGACCCATTACTGCTAATTCAGTGTTTTTATTAGTAAATTATATTTCCAAGTTGAATCAAAACAACAGTATAGCAGGCACAGCTTAAGACACAAGATAAATAAGTTGTTGCATTCACCAGTCAAAATATTTTTAAAAAATCAAGAAGCAATCACTGAATAGTTTTCCTTGATTTAGATACCAATTAGGTTTAATGACCAAATGAGACTGATAATCAGAGCTGAGGAACTCAATCAACAGGATTGCAACATGCTTTTTTTAAACCTCTTGAAAGATCACATCACTACAGAATAAGGAAACCTATTTATTTATTTAATTTGAGACAGTCTCTCTCTGTCACCCAAGCTGGAGTGCAGTGGAATGATCTCAGCTCACTGCGGCCTCCACCCCAGTTCAAGCAATTTCATGCTCAGCCTCTGAGTAGCTGGGACTACAGGGGCACACCACCACGCCCAGCTAATTTTTTTGTATTTTTAGCAGAGACAGGTTTTCACCATGGTGGCCACGATGGTCTGGAACTCTTGACTTCAAGTGATCTACCCACTTGGTCTCCTGAGGGAAATCTATTTATGACTAATGCTGTTCTTTTTACTAATTGTTTCATTGGCTGTCAGCCCTTAGAGGAAAAACTGTTCAAACAACCTTTTATTCATAGACCCATGTTATTTAATTTTAGAATTATTTCCCATGTATGCACAACCGAATTTTCATTTTCATAACAAGAAAACAAATTCTTTAAGTGAGAAACAGTACATTTTACACCCTTCCTTTTCACAAAAATCTCACAGTATTTTCTGACTTATGGTCTTGATAATTAGCACTCCTGTTTGCTCGTGTTCTCTTTCTTTCACAAGCAATGTGATCTTATTTTTAAAAAGGACCTGAGACAAGTAGACAATTGACCCTTGAACAACACAGATTTGAAAAGTTTTGGTCCACCTATACACGGATTTTCTCCCACCTCTGCCACCCATGAGAGAGCAAGACCAAGCCCTCCTCCATACCCTACTCCATCTGAAGATGACCAGGGTAAAGACCTTTATGGGGATTCACTTCCACTTAATTATTAGTAAATATCTTTTCTCTTCCTTATGATTTTCTCAATAAGTTTCCTTTATCTAGCTTACTTTACTGTAAGAATACGGTATAGACTACATATAACACACAAACTATGCATTATCAACTATTTATGCTGCTGGTAAGGCTTCTAGTCAACAGTAGGTTATTAATAGCTAAATTCTGGGGGAGTCAAAAGGTATATGCAGATTTTCACGGGTGGTTGGACCCCCCCAGCATCCATGTTGTTCAAGGGTCAACTGTATATCCTAATTGTTATTTGACACTGGAAGAAATTAGATCTCCTGGCCGGGCGTAGACTCACGTCTATCATCCCAGCACTTTGGGAGGCCGAGGAGGGTGGATCACCTGAGATCATGAGTTCGAGACCAGCCTGGCCAACATGGTGAAACCCCAACTCTACTAAAAATACAAAAATTAGCTGGGCGTGGTGGTGGGTGCCTGTAGTCCCAGCTACTCAAGAGGTTGAGGCAGGAGAATCACTTGAACCCTGGAGGCAGAGATTGCAGTGAGATGAGATTGTGCCATTGCACTCCAGCCTAAGTGACGGAGTGAGACTTTCTCAAAAAAATAAATAAATAAATAAATAAATTATATCTCCTCTTAGAAGTTTGTCCCTCTCTTCAACTGAAATCTATCACAGTTCGACCTACATGGTAGTTGCATTGATCTGTCCATCCTGGTGCCACATATAGAACATCTACTTTGTCAGATACTGTTCCACATACAGTAAGCAGAACACATGATCCCAGTCCACATGAAGGATGGTGTCCAGTCATGTATGGCCTGATTCTTTTCTGTAAAGTGCTTTCACATTTGTAGTTGGTTCCTTTCCTAGAGCACTCCTGTTTTTGCATTCTTGTAGAAAGCAAATTATTTCCACCCTGTCACTGATTTTTTTCTCCAATTCAAACAATACGAACTAGAAAAGAGAACTCCCTTGTAATATAAAAGGAAATAGAAATCCCTATGTATTCAATGTTTTTAAAGTTTAATATGATTCCTCTTAGCAATAACCAGCAAAAAGAAAATGTTTCTACTTTAATCTTTTCTTTTGAACTGAAGTGTTCCTCTATGTCATTTACATGACAATTGGCCCAAATCTCTCTGTTACCAGGACTTGGTATTCAAAGTAAGAGGCTTCATTAAATTTCAAGAGGACTTTTTTGGGGAAAGTTTTTGTTTGTTTTGTTGTGTTTTATCATAACAAAACAAGGCATAGTGACCAGGAAGATGGAGTTTCTAGTTAGTGCATACATATACATGCTTATGGTTACTTAATGTGATAGAAGCAAATTATTCAGATGCCTCTTCTCCACAGAAGGTTTTGGTCTTCAGCACGTAAAGCAACTTTTTTTTTTTTGTTTTTTTGAGATAGAGTCTCACTCTGTCACCAGGCTGGAGTGCAATGGTGCGATCTCGGCTCCCTGCAAACTCTGCATCCGGAATTCAAGCGATTCTCCTGTCTCAGCCTCCTAAATAGCTGGGACTACAGGCACGCACCACCACGTCCAGCTAATTTTTGTATTTTTAGTAGAGACGGGGTTTCACTATGTTGGCCAGGATGGTCTCGATCTCTTGACTTCGTGATCCTCCCGCCTCGGCCTCCCAAAGTGTTGGGATTACAGGCATGAGCCACTGTGCCCGGCCTCATGTAGAGCACTTTAAAAGTACATTGGATCCATAGTAATCACTTAACTATGAACTTGTATATCCATATCAAAACTTCATGTTGTACAGCTTAAATATAGACAATAAGAATAAAATAAATAAATGAAAATATTTTAATATGCTGAGCCATGTTCTGGCCATTTTTCTCTGGCCTTATGTAGCTTTAGCTTTTCATTCTCAAAGCATGGATCAAAGAGCTATAAGAAGAAATTAACCAGAGACTTTATCCTGATTGTTTCACATTTCCAAAGGCAATAAATCAGTCATGGGCTGAGAGAAGAGAACTGAAGTCTACCACAACAAATATATTTCTGCCATTTTTTCTTTTATTTCCTATAGGTTTTGCTTTATGAATTTTGACATGATATTTTCATCATGTGTAGATATCATACCTCTTTATGCTTTTATTGCAGGTGAAGTCATTTCCTAACATCACTGCTCCCTCTCCCTTCTCCCAGCAGTTATCTATGTGAAACAAATAAATGTTATTTGTGAGGTTCAGCTAATTCAGATAATTAGCATTACCAAGAGGCTTACAATTATTCTGGAATTTGTGTTTGCTTATTTGTTTCCCCAAATACAGCTAAAGGAGAGGAGAGGATCACCAGATCTTATAGTAGGCAAAACTATGAATTATTAGTAAATCTTCCTCCTGGCTTTCTATCTCACTGGCTGCTCATTCTCATTGTCCTTCACTCTTTCTCCTCTGTTTAACTTCCAAATGCCAAGCATCCCTGGGAGTATTCTCTTCATTTATTACATTCACTCAAATGGTTTTAAATACCATACATATACTGATGACACCTAACACTCTAGTTCTCGTCTGTGTCTCCCTGAACTCCAGACTCGTAGGTCCAACTGACTTCTGCATATGGCTGTCCAGTCGGCATCTCCAATTGAACATCGTCAGAACAAAACTTCAGGCTTTTCCCCAACCAGCTCTTCTGGTCTTGCCCATCTCAATAAACACCACTGCTATCTACCCAATTAATTGAGCCGGCTATCTGGTAGTTATTCCCTTCTTTGCCTCACTGTCTTCTGATCCCCATATCCTATAAACTCTAATACCAAGTATCCCTGGAATCCTTTCAGTTTTTCCTATCTTTACTTCTTCTCCTTAGTCTAAGCTATTATACTCTCTTGCATAGTTTAGCGGTAGTTTTTAAGCCCTTTTTTTATTTTTATTTTACGTTTGCCTTTTCTAACAAATTCTCCTTAAAACAGCCAGAATGATCTCTTTGATGTATGATTTAGCCAAGTGTGGTGGCTCCCACTAGTAATCCCAGCTACTCCAGGAGGCTGAGGTGGGAGGATTGCTGGGAGTTCAAGACCAGTCTGGGCAACATAGTGAGACCCCATTTCTAATTAAAAAAAAAAAAAAAGAAGAAGGAAACATGAATTAGATTTTGTTGCTCCCTTGTTTAAACTCTCTATTGGCTTTTTACTTCATTTAGAATAAAATGAAACTCCCTGTCCTGGCCCCTATTTGATCTTATTTCCTGTCACTTTCCCATTGTCTGTTATACCTCACAATCACTGGACTGCAGTTATTGCTGTTCCTCCGAACTACAGGCCTTAGGGCCTTTGCAATTGCTATTTTCTATGGCTGGAACACTTTCTCCTCAGATCTGCAAAAGATTGGTATCTTGTTTAGTCAGATCTCAAATTAAATACCACACTCTCATAGAGGCCTTCTCTCACCTCAGGCTGGTGTTGGTAGCAGTCATTGAACTTCACAACACCTTATGTTAATGTTGTGCAGAACACTTACCACTGCCTGATATTTTACTGATAGGTCTTTTGTCTGTTTCCTGCCACTCCTGCCCCTGAAATAGAAAGCAAGCTCCATCAGAGAAGAACTTTATCTGTTTGTTCACGGCAGTAATTCCAGGCCTTGGAAGAGGGTTTGGCACACAGATGTTACTTAATAAACATAAGAGTGAATGAATGAAAATTGTTAGAAGACACCATCTAAAGTGAGTCAGACAATATGTCCAGCTTCTTGTGTGTGCTAATTAATGACACTTTGTGGACTATATATCTGTATATAACTACTTCATTTCTTACAGAGCCTTGATAGATGAAAGTAACTAGACATTTAACTTAAAAGGTGCTAGGTCATCTTCAGTTCCAGGCTGTAAGCATTAAGATTGACTGTACACGACCTGTTAAAACCATTTTCTGGGAAAGGCTCTTAAGTACCTGTCAGAGTTTACAATTTGAGAGCAAACATAAATAAACCCAAACGCCTTTCAACTTTGAACATTTGATGCTTGAAAATCACCTCTATTTAAATTTTTGCTAGTCACATCTTCTCATCTTTTGGTTTCAGGACCTGATTCATCAGTTTCTATAGATCCATTTATAAACTCAGTCAGCATTTTACTTTGCCAGCCTATGAGCACAAGTAGGCAACTGGAGGCTTGGAAAAAACCCAGACAACAACAATTTGTTTTTCACTGGTTCTGCTTTCAAACAACTTCCAAGAGCACAATACAGCAAAAAGTGAGAGTTATCTATTTCTCCCTTCTTCATCCGAATACAAAATACATCCTATTTTACTGCTTTTTTTTTGTCTTTTGCCTCTACTTTAAGACTTATCTAAGAAATAAAGAAAAGCCAACCACTCGTTCTATCCACAGAAGAAAAACACACACCAGCATAGACAACACAAAAGACTGTGTCTAGATGTTAAGACTATATATCCTATAGGACTATAATTTTCATAGATCTAAAAAGTGAGAAACATATATATGTATAAAATTATGTGGGATGCAAGTTACTGAGATTTTGAATATGGGGCTCTGTCATTTACCCTAAAATGTTCAGTGGTCTTTTCTATTTTTTCTCTATTCTCAGTAAAATAGAACTTTCTCAACAATTCTGGCTCCTACTCTTCCAATGGGCTCAGCTTGTCTCATGATTTAATAGTACTAAAAACCTTTTCTTAAAAAGAAAAAAAATCCTTTTTAAAAAAGTTTAGGTATAAATAAGAAATTTCTATATTATGAAAGACTGGTTTGCAAAGAAACTTTAATATCTTCTGGATCTCATCTCAATCACAGTCTATGAAGGAAATAAAATAAGTGCCTTCTAAAACGGCCTATTATACTACTATAGCTGTTGTCTATAAGGAAAAAGTTTGTTAGTGAGTTGTATTCAATAGAAAACCTCAAAGATGGCTGGGCGCGGTGGCTCATGCCTGTAATCCCAGCACTTTGGGAGGCCGAGGTGAGTGGATCACTTGAAGCCAGGAGTTCGAGACCAGCTTTGCCAACATGGAGAAACCCCATCTCTACTAAAAATACAAAATTAGCTGGGTGTGGTGGCGGGCGCCTGTAATCCCAGCTATTTGGGAGGTGGGAGAATTGCTTGAACCTAGGAGGCGGAGGTTGAAATGACTCTAGATCATGCCGTTGCACTCCAGCCTGGGCGACAAAAGCGAGACTCTGTCTCCAAAAAAAAGAAAAGAAATCCTCAGAGAAGATATCCTAGAACTATTTAGTTTTCCCTTAATCGAGTCTGAAAACCTCCTGTGCCCTTCCACCACTTAATAATCTAACCAACTATTGTAAAATTACCTATTCTTCTAAACCACCAAATAGTTCGAATAGAATAGCCTTAGATATCTAATAACTAAATGAAACCACAGTTTACCTCTCTAGGCTTCAGTTTCTTCTTCATAAAATAAGAAGCTTGAACTCGAAAAGTTTTAGATGCGAAGTTCCCAAAAATCTAGTAGAGGAAGCAAAACTCTGTTTGGCACCCTGTTTCCTTGCCCTGGACTTTTAGCATTTCTTTCTTCTGGTGTAAAGTCAAACAAAAAATAGAGATGAATCTCTAAATTTACCTTTTTATTGGGGAGATAAGAGTTGCAATACAGGGCATACACACAGACCTGATAGTCTTCTGTATGTCAGAAGAACAAAGAGAAGGTTGGAGGTTTTACGAAAAGGAGAAATGTCTTGTCCTGAAAGAAATTTCACTGGCACTAGTAAAGTTGTGGGGAGTGGCAACCTCTGATTGGTGAGTGACAACAGTGCAGTAGGTAAAACTAATCTTAGACTCACAGTGGTTGTCTTAGCTGCTATTAGATAAAAGTGATTTCAGGTTACAGCAGGCAGTTTCAGCAGCTAGGTTTGCAGAGAATTACATTCCTAGAACATGATATTTTAATATACATATCCATTGTGAAATAAATACTATAGGCAAGCAATTTAACATATTTATCACTTTCCATAGTTAACATTTTTGTAAGAGCACATAAAATCTACTTATTCTGCAGATTTTGAATATACAATACAATATTATTTACTATAATCTTTCTGTTGTACATTAGATCTCTAGACACACTGATTCTTTTTTTTTTTTTTTTTTTTTTTTTGAGACGGAGTTTCAGTCTTGTCACTCAGGCTGGAGTTCAGTGGCGCAATCTCGGCTCACTGCAACTTCTGCCTCCTGGGTTCAGATGATTCTCCTGCCTCAGCCTGCCGAGTAGCTGGGATTACAGGCATGCACCACCATGCCCGGCTAACTTTTATATTTTGGGTAGAGACAGGGTTTCACCATGTTGGCCAGGCTGGTCTCAAACTCCTGGCCTCAGGTGATCCGCCTGCCTTGGCCTCCCAAAGTTCTGGGATTACAGGAGTGAGCCACCATGCCTGGCCTAGACATACAGATTCTACATGATTACAAGTTTGTTCCCTCTCATCTACTTTCCATTTTCTCCTCTCCCTGCCCCTGGTAACCACCATTCTACTCTCTGTTTCTATGTATTTGATTTTTTTTTTTTTTTAAGATTCTACATGTAAGTAAGATCGTGCAGTAGTTTTGTTTCTATGTCTGGCTTATAGTTCACTTAGCAGGTTCATTCATGTTGTTGCAAATGCTAGAATCTCCTTTTTAGGTTGGATAATTATTCCATTGTGTATCTATACCACAATTTATTTACCGCTTCATCTGTTAATGGATTCTTAGGTTGTTTTCATATCTTGGCTATTGTGAATAATGCTGCAATGAACGTCAAAGTGCAGATATGTCCATGAGGTGTTTATTTCATCTCTTTTGGGCATACCCAGAAGAGGGATTGCTGGATCATATGGTAGCAGAATGTTTTATTTGGAAGGGAAACTTTTATACTGTTTTCCATAATGGCTATAACAATTTGCATTCCCTCTGAAAGTGGACAAGGGTTCCCTTTATTCTACACTCTCACCAACACTTGTTATCTCTTGACTTTTTTATACGAGTCAGTGTAACTTTAAATCCACCTGGCCTGATGCTAAATTATGAATGGGAAAAATTATATTAATACTTAGAATCCTGACTGGGTGCAGTGGCTTATGCCTGGAACCATAGCACTTTGGGAGGCTGAGATGGGAGGATCACTTGAGCCAGGAGTTCGAGACCAGCCAGGGCAACATAGTGAGACCTCATCTCTCTAAAAAATAAAATATTAGCCTAGTTTGGTGGCACATGCCTGTAGTCCCAGCTACTCAGGAGGCTGAGGTGTAAGGATCACTTGAGCCCAGGAGGTCAAGGCTACGGTAAGCCATGATTGCACTACTGTACTCTAGCCTGGGTAACAAAGCAAAGCAAGACCATCTTCACACACACACACGAAAAAAACTTAGAATTCTTTTTTTTTTTTTTTTTTTTTTTTTTTTTTTTTTTTTTTGGGGGAGGGTCTCATTCTGTTGCCAGGCTGGAGTGCAGTGGCGATCTTGGCTCACTGCAACCTCTGACTCCCAGGTTCAAGTGATTCTCCTGCCTCAGCCTCCCGAGTAGCTGGGATTACAGGTGCCTGCCACCATGACCAGCTAATTTTTTTTGTATTTTTAGTAGAGACGGAGTTTCACCGTGTTGGCCAGGATGGTCTCGATCTCCTGACCTCGTGATCCTCCCGCCTCAGTCCCCCAGAGTGCTGGGATTACAGGCGTGAGCCATCACGCCTGGCTAAACTTAGAATTCTTTACATTCAAATAATGTCTGGTATTTTTTTACATTATTTTCATGTATATTCCCTAATTTAAACTTATCCCCACCCCCCCCCACCCCACCATGATGTCGTCAACACAGAACTGTTTTCTAGATTAGGAAACTGAGGATAGGGATTTTAAGTATCTCGCTCCTAGATCAGGACCGCATCCAGGTTGCAGAATCCCAATCCAGCACTCTTCCACATAGTCACAGCACTACCCCAACTCTAATCTACTGATGACACAGAACAAAATTAAAGTCCTTGTCCAAATCCCAGAGTTCATGAACACAGAGATGTTAATGCTCCTGTAGTTCATACTGCAAAAAGAATGTGAGAGCTTGTTTCATTTTTCACTTAGAAAATGTATGAGATGTTCTTTCTGAAGGGGTTCTGTCACTAACAGGTTGCATTACTTGTACAACCATTATATCTGAATCTTCCCAGACCGTGGTTTTTTTTTGTTTGTTTGTTTTGTTTTTTATTAAATACTGTCATTAAACCAGAACTCATGGATATCTATGTCATTTCCAGCTATAAAATTCTAGAAACTTGGGGATTTTACCTTTTTGTTTCTTATTTTATTTTCTTTTTTATCAAAAGCCTTATCACAGGTAAAATGGTAATCTAAGCAAGAATAAGCTCTGTCATGATTTATGAAGCATGGAAATTCAGCTGTGGCCAGGCACAGTGGCTCACATCTGTAATCCCGGCACTTTGGGAGGCCGAGGTGGGTGGATCACTTGAGGCCAGGAGTTCGAGACCAGCCTGGCCCACATGGTGAAAACCCGTCTCTACTAAAAATACAAAAATTAGCTGGGTTTGGTGGTGTGTGCCTGTAGTCCCAGCTACCCAGGAGGCTGAAGCAAGAGAATCGCTTGAATCTGGGAGGCGGAGGTTGCAGTCTTTAGCATGGGTGACAGAGTGAGATTCTGTCTTAGAAACAACAACAACAACAACAAAAACCAACAACAAGCACAAACCAATAATAGAAACTTTAAATGATTCTGAGCCTTGAGAGGAATGTGATTATGCAACCTGGGAAATTCACCTGCCCATGAATAGTATCTCTGTAATTAATAACAAAGTCTTACAGGACAGTCCTTGCCATCACCATATCATAAACGTATATTGCTTCTTTTAGTTCATAGGAACAGGGTCTCCTGCTGTGTCATAGCTGTAGGATTTAGCCTAAATGCTCAGTGAGTTTGATGCTCCCTTGAGCAAGCCCGCTTATTTAAGAAAGTAGTTTTTGGATATTCATGGTTTATTGCTGACAGTTAACGTTCTCAAAATAGTGAGAGTCCTAAAGTCAAAGGGGAATTTATTAACAATTTTATTTCTGAGAGGATATGACAACAACAAAGACATTAATAAAAAACACCAGCGAGCTTTCTGGCAATATGTATTAAAATTTTCAAAAACACTTATACTCTCGAATCCAGCAGTTATTATTTCGGGAAATTGCTCTAAGAATATTATCTTTTTATACAAAGCATTTTCTGAAGAGAAGTATTCAGGAAATTTTCATTTATGAACAGAAAAAGTCCAACATTATGGAAATAGTGATATAAAATACAGCATATATAGTTCTTTGGTATTTTACAGTCATGTAATCATGGAGAGAAATACTTCAGATAAATTAACATAATAAACCACAATACAAAAAAGTATATTTACAATAGAAAAAAAGTTTAAAAGTGTGTTAGCAATACAAATAAACAAATACAAGAAGGATCTATCACAACAATGCTACAGTGATGAGCCTTCAGATAATTTTCATTATTTTTCTTGATACTTCTATATGTTCAAAACTTTCATTAATGAGCCTGTAATACCAGCACTTTGGGAGGCCGAGATGGGCTGATCGCTTGAGCTCAGTAGTTCAAGACCAAGCTAGGCAACATGGCGAGACTCCATCTTTACAAATAATACATACATACATAAGTAACTAAGTAAGTAAATTAGCCAGGCATAGTGGTATGTTCCTGTACTTCCAGCTACTTGGAGGGCTAAGGCAGGAGGATTGCTTGAGCCCAGGAGGTCAAGGCTGCAGTGAGCCATGTTTATACCCCTGCAATCCAGCTTGAGTGACAGAGTGAGACCCTATTTCAAAAAACAAAATTTCACTGATGACAATAAATATTACCTTGACATCAAAAAAAAAAAAAAAATCCAGTGCCTGGATGATCACCCAGTAGCATCTAAAAGTGCATTTGAATATATATCCAGGTTCTGATGCCAGCATTGATGCTTGTTATGTGACAAAAAGAAATCACCTAACTGCTTTGGGCTTCCATTTCTTCAAAGTAAAATGAAGTGGTTAAACAGGATTACTCCCCAGATGTCTCCCCAAACTTTACACTGGTGTAATAATTGTTTGCAAGGATCATTGGGTGATTATGTCTAAAAGCCTGCAGTTATTAGTCCTCATATCAGGAATGTGCTATCCCCATTCATTTTATTGTAGAACCTGGTTTGCTGTGGGATAGTTGAAATTTGAAGAATTCACTTGGTCAGTGTGTTTCACGGCCTTGCTACTTTTTCTGCTTGGATGGACTCACTTCTCTATATGATTTTCTCTTTAAATCAGAAGTATTTGACCTGAAGCAGTAACTCCTCTATTCATATAATAGTGATATTCTGATACATATGTGAATATTATAAAAATAAGTAGAATGATAATATTATTACTAATATTATTGTGGCAGTAATAATATTATCATTCACATGTGATCAATAGTAAAAGCACACACAGCAACCCCTCAGGATTTCATCCTCAGGCCATTGACTCCCATCACCTTTACTGATATTTAGCTTAGCTTTACAATCCTCCCCTTTGAAAAATTCATATTTTAACCTTGCCTCCCATAAAGACACACATTTTTTCAGATATAGAATTTGCAAGGCTGAGACATATCTTTTTAGAATGAACCCAATATAAACACAAAGCAACATAGGAGAAAAGTACTAGTTACATGCCCATGGCAAGAAAATATGCCTGAAATGGTTCTGTTTATTTTGTTGTTGTTGTTTCTGCTTGGAATTTCAGCAGTTATTTGGCAAAGTGATTAGCTAGCTGGGAAGGAAGAAAGCTCGTCTCCATCAGCCTTTTGTCAGAGCCCGCCTTTTGGTCCCGGAGCCCCCATGAAAGTGTGCTGTAGACCAGGACCACTGTTGCCCTGAATGCATGAGTATGCAGCCTTTTTATCGTAGGCTTGTCATCTCCTGAGTTCTGCAATAGATGCCATGTGAAATCCAGTATATACTCAGTCTAACACATAGCTGCTGCATAAGAAAATTTCTTTCCATGCTTAAGCAATTTCTGCATAGAGCTTAATTCATAGAAATCACTTATTCATTCAAAAAGCATTCACTGAGTTCCTAGTAGGGGCCACATATTACGCTAAAGTAGATACAAGGATAAACCAAATGTAGATCTGTCCTTTAAAGAGTATAACATGTAGGGAACAACTACACTCTACATGGCAATAGAAAGTCACAAGTGGGTGAGAACCACAGGAGAGAAACAGTCAGAGGGTGATGACAGCCAGAACTGGTATGATGTGAAAGGTCAATGACATCAGAAACGGCCTCAGGGATTTTATAGCCTGGCTCCTTCAATTTCAGTTCTTGGTATAGGCCAGCTTTTCAGGACTGTTGATTGTCCCTCTTCTTTGTGTGAAATTCCTAGTGCACAGAGCTTCTGCAGTGCCTCTTAGGTACTTTGAAAATCCCAACGATAAACATCTGGACCCAACACAGAAGCCTCCAGGAAGCTGTCTTGTTGGCAGTCACCTACGAGCAGGCGATAAACACAACACATTAAATAGTATGTAATGCTCCAGGGATTGCAGTCCTCTGCCTCCTAATCTCTCTGTCCTTTCCTCTTTTATTGACTTGTCAGGAGCATGACAGTTGTGCACAACCATTAGCACACAAGAAATGACTTTCCTGTGGGGGTGATGGGGACTGGGGAACCTACTCTTTGAGATAGAAAGTTACCCTGATGCAGAATAATTACAGTCCAGCTTAGCCTCCTTATAAGCGATTAATCTTACTTTTCCTCTTAGCTTCTGTCTGTTTGTAACCTGAGGTTGACCGAAGTTAGTTCTTTTAGTTGGTTCTTGAGAAAACCCTTTCAGTCTGTATTTCCAGGAATAAATCTTAACTCTAATTTAAAAAACAAAAGGGCCCTATAAATAGTTACTTCAAACCCTTTAATTTATAGCTGCATTCTCAATGTCTTCATCCTCCCAAAATCACTCACCTCTACATTTTTGCCCTAAGTACCTAGGTTAGCACAACTTTTCACAACTTCTCTTTAACATTTCTCTGAATAACGTGAACCTTCCTTATTTCCTTAAAATATAAACTTATATATGTTCTTCCTAGGAGATTTTCAACTTTTCTGTTCTCCACTTATTACTCTATTCACTCTGTTCTCTATCTGAGCTGTCACTAATTAGTATCTACTTAAATAAATATTTGAGCAATTTAACATTACAGTTTTTTTTTTTTTTTTCAGCAAGAAGTGTGTTCATTATCCATTAAAAGCCTGGGAGAGGGACTACTAATGTTACACCATCAATATCTATTTTTAGCCACTTCGGTTTTGGAAGTGTCTCTTCTTTTGGAAGTGGGAGACCAAGTGGAGGGGAAGAACATGAACAAGGGATTGAAGCCATTGAGAAAGTCATTTATTCATTCGATAGATATCTTCTGAGCACTGCGCTAGGACCTAAGGACAGAATAATGAAGGCAGAGTTTATCCTTCCACTAGCACAGCAGTCAAAACCAATAGGAATTAAGATTGTCAGAAGTGACAAAACTGTACATAGACCTGTTCACATAACTAACAAGGGAAACGATGGAGGTGATGTGGAAGTCTGAACGTGGTGCAGGAATAACTCAGCCAACATCCCCCTCCTTTGGGAAATTTAGATAGATGTAGGTAGATTGAGAAGTGATATAACAGTCATGTGGCATCATTGAGAGAGTCAGTTTTCTATAATGACAAAGACATGGAAAGAGAGATGTTTAGTACATGTACAGCAGAAGGAGTTGATTCACAACGCAATGGAAACAGAAGTCAAGAAGACAGTGAAGTGGATGAAGCAAGGAGAAATCATAAAAACAAGCACACTGGGACTGTCGGACCTCAGGGGAGAGTGACGTGGATGGTAAACCAAGTTTGGGGCCAGAGAAAAGTGAAAGCTTGTGCTGTTCTTGTTGGTAGTCATGGGCAGGCTGTAGCAGGGTTATTATTAAAACTCTGATCCCCCAAGTCCAACTGAAGGGGCTCCAGTCACTACCCCATCATCTCAGTGGTGAGATGTAGTCAAGGCATCTAACCTCTCTGCCTCAGTTTCCTCATATGTAAAATAGAGACAATCATTATAAAGTGTTTAGCAGAATGCCAGATCCACAGTAAATATCAGTAAAAGGAAATTTATAAATTTGTAAATTGTTAGGGAATGGGGTGAGACCCTCAAGATTCTAATCTTCAAGGGAAAGAGGATGCTAAGGAAAGTCAGAGGAAGCCCGAGAATCCTAAGAGAGGATGATACAAGCAAATTAATTAAGGAATAAGATCAAAGAATATTGGGAAATGTTTAATCCACTTGGTGTGGGAAAAGGACTTTTTTGTTTGTTTGTTTTTGAGACGGAGTCTTGCTCTGTCGCCCAGGCTGGACTGCAGTGGTGCGTTCTCGGCTCACTGCAAGCTCCGTCTCCCTGGTTCAAGCGATTCTCCTGCCTCAGCCTCCCGAGTAGCTGGGATTACAGGCGCCAGCCACAACGCCCACGCCCAGCTAATTTTTTTTTTTTTTTTTTTTGTAGTAGAGACGGGGTTTCACCATGTTGGCCAGATTGGTCTTGATCTCCTGACTTCATGTGATCCGCCCGCCTCGGCCTCCCGAAGTGCTGGGATTACAGGCGTGAGCCACTGAGCCCGGCCGAAAAGGACTCTTTTTTTTTTTTTTTTACACAGAGTCTCGCTCTGTTGCCCAGGCTGGAGTGCAGTGGCGCCATCTCGGCTCACTGCAAGCTCCGCCTCCCGGGTTCACGCCATTCTCCTGCCTCAGCCTCCAGAGTAGCTGGGACTACAGGCGCCCGCCACCACACCCGGCTAATTTATTTATTTTTTTCTTTTTTTCTTTTTTGTATTTTTAATAGAGACGGGGTTTCACCGTGTTAGCCAGGATGGTCTCCGTCTCCTGACCTCATGATCCGCCTCCCTCAGCCTTCCAAAGTACTGGGATTACAGGCGTGAGCCACCGCGCCCGACCATGAAAAGGACTCTTTTTAACCTCTTCTCCATGTCTAATCTGAGTTTCAACCTTTTTATTCTTATTCTGTTATAAGTACTTCTCCCATTCAAGAGCATATAAAACTAGAATTACTTTGGGATGAGTGTGAGTGGGGGAGAGAGAAGGTTGGGAGATCACTAGTTGTGTTTGCTGGTACTGAATCCTACCCTAATACTTCCGAAATGAACCTCATTGGATAACTCAACTCTTCATTATGTTTTTGCTAATCTTTTAGGAGCCTTTTTGCAACCCACCGTCTCCCTACCCTCGTTGGGTCTTTTTTTTTTTCTTCTTCAGTCAGGGTTTTGCTCTGTAACCCAGTGGGGAAAGTGGCATGATGATGGCTCACTGCAGCCTCAAATTCCTGGACTCAAGCTATTTTCCCGCCTTACCTTCCTGAGCAGCTGGGACTATAGGCGCATGCCATCATGCGTGGCTAATTTCTAAAAAATATATATTTTTGTAGAGACATCTCTCTATGTTGCATTTCTGGTCTTGAACTCCTAGGCGCAAGCAATCCTCCCACCTCAGCCTCCCAGAGTGCTGGGGATTGCAGGCTGTTTAATAGAAGTTATCAACATATGGAGTCATTTATGTCTATTGAAATATGAACAGCCAATTCCCTTCACTTGTCCCATTTCTAATTCAGACACTAATTCTGTTTCAGTTTAACTTGGATCAATGGACTTATCTTTGCTTCTGTTCAGTTATCTGTTTCAACAACAATAAGATTCTTTATCTATATGGCATAGTGGGTGAAAGGACACACTAACCTTACCTACTGCTCCTTTTATGTCAGAAAATCCATTTTCTAATCACTTTTTCTTGGACCCAAGTGAGTCTGTTTTTTCCCCTACATTTTGTAATTTGTCACATTTACATTTTAGGTGGGTTGTTCTAATCGACTTTTCTTATAAAAGGGTAGTGGTTCTAGATCAATCGCCATCAATCATGCTACCAAGCAATGGTGAAGTACCCTTTTTAAAATATTTTATTTAGAAGAATTTCTTATTTCAGATACAACAGATGATACAAGTTGAATCTAGTAGGGTTTAGTAAGAGACAATAAACATATTAAACAAAGCCTTACGTATTTTTTAAGGTGAAAAAAATCCCCCAAGATAGAGTCCGTGCTTAGAAACTACCCCTGTTAAATACTTAATATATAACATTTGTAATGTTCAAATACCGAAAGAAAAAAATGTACTTGTTCAGAGTCTATTCTTGAGTCAACCTACCTTCTCAGCTCTACTGACCCCAAACAAGGTAAACAAGCTGATTTAAGTTACAACTAACTTAAAAATTATACATCTAACTCTTTTGTAAATAACTTTAGGGCTGGTGCTCAAAATAATTGGAACTAGCTATGAAAAGAAAGCTAGAAATGAGAATGAGGAAAATTGGTAGTAAGTGTCTATAGAGAAGTGTGGACCATCTGCAATTCCTATATTTAAACAGGGAGAAGAGGGAGATGGGGACTCACTCTCTCCCTCACAACCACATGACTAAACTGGCCCAGCCAATATCTCATCAGGTGTCTCCACCACTTTACAAAGCCACTGGGAATTTATCAAGGGATAAATACAAAACTGGTGTAGGGAGAGGGGAATGGGAAGTTACTTCCAAAGACTCTGACCCTGAGTTCTTGGCGTTTATTCTTTTTTTTGAGACAGTCTCACTCTGTCGCCCAGGCTAGAGTGCAGTGGCGCGATATCAACTCACTGCAACCTCTACCCCTGGGTTCCAGTGATTCTCCAGCCTCAGCCTCCTGATTAGCTGGGATTACAGACACCCGCCATGACACCCTGCTAATTTTTGTAATTTTAGTAGAGACAGGGTTTCAACATATTGGTCAGGCTGGTCTCGAACTCCTGACCTCAGGTGATCCACCCACCTTGGTCTCTCAAAGTGCTGGGATTACAGGTGTGAGCCACCGTGCCCGGCCCTTGGCCTTTATTCTTTATTTTCCCTGATATTAATCCCTAATGAAATGCATTTAGTACACATTCATCTTTTTAAAATGTGCAGTTTTTGTCACAGAAGTAGTGTAAAGGACACCAGAATGGTTGGAAGACGATTTTTGTGGTCTTCTACAAGTCCTGTTTTGGTGACTCTGAGCAAGTCTTAACCTTGCCTACATTTCCTCACATTTAGGGCAAGTGTACTCTTCAGGGTCAACTGCAATATCTGTGGGAGTGCTTTGTGTTTTGTAGCATGCATCTTACTAGTGCTTTTGTTGTTGTTTGCGTTGTCGTGCGGGTTCCCCACCTCCCCCATAACACTGTAAAGAAATGCTGAGACTAAGTGGTAGGGAGTGGCAGCCATCTGGTGAGGATGGAAAGTTAATATCTTTATTTATGTAATAAACCTCCCTTTAGAATTCTGTTACTGTCAAATTTCTCCTGGAATTCTAATAGTATTTTCGCTATGTGTTTTGACCTTTTGCTATTGGGAAGACACAAGTTTATGAATGACAAATGGGTAGGGGAATTTAGGCTGCACAGTTAAGTAGGAAGAATGAAGTCTTTGCTAGAGTTAGAATCCAGTTTGACCTTGAACAAGTTACTCAATGACTAAGCTCCATTTGCAAAATCGTTTTGTTAAAGGGATTAGAGGTAACATATCTACATATGTACATGTGTACAGTGGTATGGAGAATGGACTGGATGAATGCGTGCTGTTACCAATGTGATAATTACTATTCTTTTTAAAAATAGAGTATTTTATGCATACACAATACTTATTCAATTCAATTTGCCTTAGTGCACAGTGATGGAATTTTAGAACTGGAATTGACTTCAGAAATAATCTGGTAAACGAAATCTTTTCGAGGCTCTTCATTTTATGGTTGAGGAAACTAACATCCTGAGAGCTAAAAGTCATCGTTTTCCTTTAAAATATCTAAATAATCCCAGATGTTGGATCAGAACTCCAAAGTCATAATCAGGGCTTTTCCTATTTCTATAGTATTTCTAATACTATAACATGCTATTGCTCAGTCTTTTATTCTCTAATTCCATCCTGGTTTCTAGACCAAATATACCTAATTGTATTCTAACCCACAAGTACCTCATCAATGAGAAGTCTGACCTATGGTTTATGATTTCCGCAGACTTAAATCAACCCTGGGCTTCTATCCTTATACTAGTTTTATTTTATGTTTTTTGTTTGTCTTTAGAGAAATGATCGTGTTCTGTCATCCAGGCTGGAGTGCAGGGACATAATCACAGCTCACTGCAGCCTCAAACTCCTGGGCTCCATTGATCTTCCTGCTTCAACCTGCTGAGTAGCTAGGACTACAGGCACGCACCATCAGGCCCAACTACATTTTTAAATTTTTTTCTAGAGACGATGTCTCGCCATGTTTCCCAAGCTGGTCTTGAACCCTGGCCTCAAGCAATCCTCCCACCTCAGCTTCCCTAAGTACCAGGATTACAGGCATAAGCCACTGAGCCCAGCCCCACCCTTACATGTTTTCTCTTGGCATCCTGATCCCTGGACACAACCCCATTGAGATACCCTTCCATTTAATACTTTTCTTAGTCATTTACCAAATGTGTTTATAGTAATATATTCCCATATATTTGTGGCAGAGTACAGCACTCATATAAATTTTGATGAACACAGACATGCTGTCCCATACTTGTAGGTAAAACAATCATGTGAAATTAAAATAAATATTTTGTTTAGATAGATCTTGACTATCATACACTTATTCTAACAATATTGCCCATTCCTCAAAACATTCTGGGAACTCCTTGAAATAAAACTGACTATGGTAAGAAGAGTTTTTCTGGGAGTTGGGAAACTGATTCCATTAGAAGGCAGATGGTGATAGTCTCACAGCACACTCTCTCCCATGCGGTCTCTATTCTACAGGCATGCAGATATTTCCAAAAGCATCCCTTCCCTCCAGGGTCCTGAAGACCCTACCTCTGGTTCTGCCTTGGACTGCTCTCAGTGATATTCCCTTTTTTTTTTTTTTTTTGGACGGAGTCTCACTCTGCCGCCAGGCTGGAGGGCAGTGGCACCATCTTGGCTCACTGCAACCTCCGCCTCCCAGGTTCAAGTGATTCTCCTGCCTCAGCCTCCCAAGTAGCTGGGACTACAGGCACGTGCCACCACGCCTAGCTAATTTTTGTGTGTGTGTGTGTTTTTTTTAGTAGAGGTGGGGTTTCACCATGTTGGCCGGGATGGTCTCGAACTATTAACCTTGTGATCTGCCCACCTCGGCCTCCCAAAGTGCTGGGATTACAGGCGTGAGCCACTGTGCCCGGCCGATATTCCTGTTTTTATGGTTGCAATTGTATGCTATGGCACCGGTACTATGTGGGAAGAATGATGCTAGGTACTCTACTGGTATGGCCTCATTTGTCGATTTGAGGATTATTGGTTTATTTATGCAAAGCACATAGGATCATAGGATTGCTCTCTAGGAGAATGGAGTAATTAATACCATGAAGACTCATAGACAATGCTTCCTCCCCTAGAAACTCATTATTTTTCGAATTTTGGCACTGATCTTTCCTGCCTACTTCCTGGCTTTTACTACCTTGTGAAAAAGCCCCAAGTGTTAGAAGCAGCTTCCCCAGCTTACTGCCATCCCTTCTAAGGTCCCTGGACACCACTGCTTGTCTCCTACCTTAGAAAGTGCCTACTTGGCCAGGCACGCTGGCTCACGCCTGTAATCCTAGAACTTTGGGAGGCTGAGGCAGGAGGATCACGAGGTCAAGAGATCGAGACCATCCTGGCCAACATGGTGAAACCCCAGCTCTACTAAAAATACAAAAATTAGCTGGGTGTGGTGGGGCATGCCTGTAGTCTCAGCTACTTGGGAGGCTGAGGTAGGAGATTCACTTGAAGCCGGGAGGTGGAGGTTGCAGTGACCTGAGATCACGCCACTGCACTCCAGCCTGGTGACAGAGAGAGACTCTGTCTCAAAAAAAAAAAAAAAAAGTGCCTACTCATACCCTCCTCCTATTTATTCTGATTTCTGTGCATGTATTCTTTTTGTTTGTTTGTTTTTCAGAGACAAGGTCTTGCTCTGTCACCTAGGCTGGAGTGCAGTGGCACAGTGGCATGACCATAGCTCACTACAGCCTCAAACTACTCCTGGGCTCAAAATGATCCCCCTGCCTCACCTACCAAGTAGCTGAGACTACAGGCAAATGCCACCATGCCTAGCCTGTGCCTGTTTTCTTAAGGCAGAAATGATCTAAAAGTGTGGCAGAGGGAAAAGAAGATGGGACTTAGAGCTTAAATAAATCTAGATGAAAATGTTGGTTCTATCACTCACAGGTTCTGTGATGTTAGGGAAGTTAAGTTATTTGCAATAAAAATTATTAATATTGTAGAACATGTATTGATCCTATGTATCAGGCTTGAATTAGGTGCTTTAAGTGGGTTGTCTCAATTAATTCATCACTCTGATTTTCAATTTTCTGTTCTAAGAAATGAGATCAAATATGCCTATCTTGCCGAAGAGTAGTAAAAATTAGACAGGTAGCTGCCTCTGGATCCTGCAGGGTAGAGAAAGTATTACATATCTGCATGTGTGGATGTGAAGGACACACAGATACATAAGGTAAATGAGAATTTATTATAAAGGTGTATTTGACAAAAATTGGGGAAAAAAGGAAAATTGGAGAAGATATCTTTCTGTGAGATTAAAGACAAATAGGGGAAAAAAGGGACCAATGACAAGAATTAGAGCAAGGTATGTAAAGAATTCCAGAGCTGGCTCTAAGAGATAGAGCAGCTGGTCATATATGAAAGGGATGATTCATTCTTCAGGGGCTATCCCTCGTGATCCTATTTCCTTGCACAAGCTATCAGTTAATTTATTGATTCACCTCCTTTATGTGCTCATAGGCATCAAGAATACAATGGATCACATACAATTACAGAAAAGTTTCATTTCAGGAGGTCAAACAGGAAGTTTCTTTCTGACTTATATTGAAGTACTCATGATGACAATGGAGAAAAATGAACATAATCTTTTATGGGTGGGGACCATGTGATCTCTTTTCTTTCAAGCTCCAGAGGGTTTATAAGACATTTCCATGTTCAATTTGATTCCGGAAATTATATGTTGGGTAGAACAGACTCTTTTTGGCAACTCATGAGAATTGCCAATGATCCCAGCATTTGCTACTCTTGATAGTAATTCCCTTCATTTCCTCCATTTTTATACATGACCTGCAGTAAATATTGACAGTTACTTTGCTGGAAAGAATAACACAGAGACAGCTTTTCTTAAGCTCCAAACTGAATTTCGTGGTTAATTGATTGGCCAGCTGGCCCTGCCGTCTCTTGACCTCTACAAGAGCCAGCAAGATTGATGGTTTCAGCAGCCTTTCATGGTGCACTAAAGCATTCAGATCTATCTTTTGTTATTTGGGAAACACTAAGTTCTTATGTAGCACATTATTTACATGGACTCAAGGGCTGACGAGCTGGGAGGCAGCAAATGCCCAAATGGAAGACAATGTATGTAGATCAAAGAAGCCGATGAGACAGAGAGTTCATAAAATGTGAATACAATTCCAGGGGAGAATTGATGATTATGGAAGCAGAAAGCCAATTGAGTTAAATATTCATTCCAGCAACAAGTCTGATCGTCTCACTGGGACCTGTGCCTTTCCGAAGTTTCCTCAGCTTTTCAAGGTCTACACAAGGAAAGAACAAAGCCATCAAGGAGGCTCTCATTCTGGAAAGCCGGCTGCAAGATGGCATGAACCAGAGGTCAGCGGCCACCACTGAGAGTTCATCGTATTCGCCTCTGTAAAGAATAAGCCTCAAGCAGTGGTTCTGCAGGAGCGGTTCAGCATCATCAATACCAATGAGCCCTAATGAATGTGACAATTCAGAATGATTGGGCCTTTTCCTCCAAAACGTTTTTCTCCTCAAAAGTAAAACAGGCTTGAAACTCATGTCTTATATATGCTGTTTAGATTTTCATATATTAATGTCACGAATCAGATGATAGGAAGGTATATTAACAAGTGAGACATTGGGATATGGCCCCTTGTTCAAGAGCATCAAAGCATTAAATATGTTGTTTTAAAAATACCTTTGGCATAGTTTTACCACCTATTTCTCAATTGCCATCAAAATTTTAACTTTTAATGACTTTTGGAAGTAGGTTAGATGGGGTGGTGGGAGAGGAATAGAGGATACAGAAAGATAAAAACTAAATCCAAAAATAGTATTGAATGAGAATTACTAATAAGAATTATTAATTGAGTGTCTTCTCATAAAAATAGTAATATCTGTTCTTTGGTCTCTCACAATACATAGTTTAACTCCATATATAATTTAATGAATGCAATGTGTCACTTTGGTTATAGGTTTGCATCTTGGAAACGATGTTAGTAGAAACAAGTCAGTTTCCCTCTGTTCCTTTTTGCTTAGCTTTCTGGGCTATCTTCACCAATGCCACAGTCCATCTGTAACAGAATGCATTGGAGATTTGAAAAATCACGACAGATAATAAATCTCTATATACTTCTCATCCTCTGGAACAATTGAGACATTGAAATTGCCTGATCTTTTTGAGTGAGTGTTGCCACTTTGACCCAGGCAAATGAGAAATAAAACAACAATACCAACCAGCAGTTTCAAGTATCCTTCTGCTGCATAATAACTCAGCAGTAGGCTTTGCTAATGGTGTTTATGAGCTGCCAGGCTAGAATTGGCCCTTAAGCAGGGAGGCATTTGCCCAGTGGGCTTCTTCCATGTGGGGGGGCCTTTTTGCAGCCTGGGGGCCCTTTTAGGTGATTCTCAGCCGGAGCGGTCTCTTCAGGCCAAAGACTTTTGCAATGAGCTAACTATGTTCAATTATTGCTTTCAGATCCACCCTACATTCAAATGTTTTGGGACACCAATGTAATACCATAAAAATGACTGTGTAGGACACGCCTATGCTAATGTCATGACTGGTTTGTTTTACGTATTATTTATTTATTTGATACTGTTAATAAAAAGCAAACAAGCCAAAAAGAAATACTCCCCAACGTTTAATAGAGATCATTGTATCCTAAAATCTTATAGCACATTAGAGTGCAATGAAGCTCAATGTAACAAGCATCAACAATCAACTACGAAATGAGTATGGAAATAGAGTATATCCAAGGAAGACAGAAGTGTAGACCACATGATGACAGCGGGATAAAGACAAAGGAGAAGGTAATCGAGAGCCAAGGGTTAAACCATTCAAATTGTCCTTTGGCATTAAAATGATCCAAGATGTTTCATGAGTTCAGGTTAAAAAAGGAAATCAGTAAACCCCAATATACTTTAAGTTTCATTTGACGCCCACAAGCTGAAACTACCTCTTTGTGGTGTGTGTCTTTACATCAGCAAAGAGTATAATTGAATTTGGTTATTATCTCCAGTGCTACCTGTTTGGACCTGCTATTTCACCTTCCTGAAAACTGTTGCATTGAGTTCTACTGGGGAAAATTCTTAAGATAACATCTGTTTACTAAGAAGGGGGTGTGCTTACCTGCTCTAAGGTATTGAAATACATTGTAAATCTATACCTAATTCATATAAACATAATTTCAAGGAAAAACAAAAACATAAGAGACAGACCCTGGCGGAGTGCCAAAGAATTTGTCAGGGTCCCAGTCCCTGTACCTTATGGGAGAATTAAATTCATTAAACTGGGCCAGATGTGGTGGCTCACACTGGTAATCTCAGCACTTTGGGAGGCTGAGGCAGGTGGATCACCTGAGGTCAGGAGCTTGAGACCAGCCTGGCCAACATGGTGAAACCCCATCTCTACTAAAAATAAAAAAAATTAGTCAAGCTTGGTGGTAGGTGCCTGTAATCCCAGCTAGTCAGGAGGCTGAGGCAGGAGAGTCGCTTGAACCTGGGAGGCAGAGGTTGCAGTGAGCCGAGATCGTACCACTGCACTCTAGCCTGGGCGACAGAATGAGACTCAGTCTCCAAAAAATAAATAAATAAATTCATTAAACTGAACAAATTGAGCCCAATTTATTTGTCATAGTTCAAAGAAAAGGAGAGAGTAGAGTAAAGGGGCTTAGTGCAAATGTCTGGTCAGATACTCAAAGGTTTAGAGCCTCTTAACCCTTATATTTCTTTACATAATTTATTCTCATTATTTTTTGTTTGTTTTTTGAGACAGAGCCCTGCTCTGTCATCAGTCTGGAGTACAGTGGCGCGATCTCAGCTCACTGCAATCCCTGCCTCCTGGGTTCAAGTGATTCCCCTGCCTCAGCCTCCCGAGTAGCTGGGACTACAGGCATGCATCACCATGCCCAGCTAATTTTTTCTATTTTGGCAGGGATAGGGTTTCACCAGGTTGGCCAGGATGGTCTCAATCTCCTGACCTTGTGATGTACCCACCTTGGCCTCCCAAAGCGCTGGGATTACAGGTGTGAGCCACCACGCCCAGCCCATTCTTGTTTCTTGGTAAAGGAAAATCCAACTATATATATCTTCTTTAGGATCACTTAAAGACCCATACAGATCTGTCAAATAGACATCCAATATTTTGGTAGGCTTTGAAAGGAGGTGCAAAAGGATGAGAAGGAATTTAGGGAGATCATTATCTGAATCATTGAACAAATGCTCCTTAAGCACCTGGTGAAGAGAGGCTACTGAGAAGCAGAGCACGTGGTCCCAGCCTACGAGGTGACAAAGTAAAATGGCAGAAGCAATTTGTAATGATCTCACCTATATGTGGAATCTAAAAAAAAGTCAGCCTCATGGAAACAGTAGAAAGGTGATTACCAGGTCTGGGGGCTAGGAGAGAGATAGGGAAGGGGAAATGCTGTCAAAGGATCCAAAGTTTCAGTTAGACAGAAAAAATAAACTTCAGTGATCTATTGCACAGCATGGTGACCACAGTTAAAAATAATGTATGGTACATCTCCAAATTGCTTAAAAAAAAAAAAAAGGTTTCAAATGTTGTCACCACAGAAAAACAAAAACAAAAACAAAAAAAACAAAAAAAACGAGGCAAGGTGATGGAGATGTTAATTAGCTTGATTTAACCTTCCTACAATGTATATGTGTTAGTCCGTTTTTGCGTTGCTGTAAAGAAGTATCTGAGGCTAGGTAATTTGTAAAGAAAAGTGGCTTATTTTGGCTCATGGTTCTGTAGACTATAAAGGTAGCGTGGTGCTAGCATCTGCTTTTGGTGAGGGCTCAGAAAGCTTCCAATCATGGCAGAAGGCAAAGGGGGAGCCCACATATCAGATGGTGAGAGGGAGCAAGAGTTGAGGGGGAGGTGCCACGCTCTTTTAAACAACCAGATCTCATATGAACTCAGAGCAAGAACTCACTCATTATCGTGAGAACAACACCACGCTATTCACAAGGGATCCACCCCCATGACCAAAACACCTCCCACTGGGCCCCACTTCCAACACTGCGGGTTACATTTCAACATGAGATTTAAAACCATGTCAGTATACATACATACATTAAAATATGCATCACATTGTGCCCTATACACATATAAATTATTGTTTGTCAATTAAAGAAAGAAATAATTTTAAAATAAATAGGCCAGGCGCAGTGGCTGATGCCTATAATCCAAGCACTTTGGGAGGCCAAGGCAGGCAGATTCCTTGAGCCCAGGAGTTCAAGAGCAGCCTGGGCAACATGATGAAATCTCATCTCTAAAAAAATACAAAAATTAGCTGGGTATGTGGGGGGTGCACAGGTAGTCCCAGCTACTCAAGAGGCTGAGGTGGGGGGATTGCTTGAGCCTGGCAGGCGGAGGTTGCAGTGAGATTGCACCACTGCACACCAGCCTGGGTAACCCATTGAGAACCTGTCTTAATAAATAAATAAATAAATAAACAAACAAATAAAGGTTGTGTTAGAACAAAAAAGAAAAAGAGTGACAATGCAAGCCACATAGTTGAAGTTGACATTAACTAGCATGTGCCAACGAGTGACAAAGGAAACAAGTGCAAAGCAAGAAAAGTTAGCCATTATCATGGTCCATAGATAATACTCTCAACCCCGGCTCTTGAGTGAAGCAGTATTGTGCAGTGGTTACATTTATGGACCTAATGGTCAAACTGCATGAGTTCAAATCCCAGCTTTACAGCTAATGGTTGCATTATCTTGGGCAAGTCATTTAACATCTCTGCCTTAATTGATTCACCTCTAATATAGAGCTGATAGGAGTCTGAAATAGCTGCTATAAGGACTAAATACATTAATATATAGATAGCATTCATAACAGTGTTTTGTGGACTTTCCGAAGGTGCTGGGCCTTCCAGTTGCCTTAAAGAATGGATTGGATTAGGGTGGAGGAGATGAAAAAAGGCATCACAGTACATCAAGTGAATGGTGCCAGTGTAAGTAGAATACAGGAATAAGGAAATGCCCAGCTTGTTGGGGGGTTAGTATGAAGACCTCTAACTGGGACTGAAAGTTCTAGCAACAGTAAAATACCCTGGCCTCCAACTACTAAGTACCCTGAATACTAAGATGAGTTTATTTTTCATTCTATAGACAATTTCCATCTCTTTCTTTCAAAACAAACAAATGATGACGCTGTATGAGTAACAGAAGATGACTGGGAACAGAACCGTGAACAGAATTAAGCACCTGCAATCAAATAAAATTCACAGAAAACTTAATTTACCACATTAGTGATATGCATAATCGTTGTTGTGCTGGTAACCAGCTCTTCAGGAAAAAAAAAAGAAAATTCCTGATTTGTTAAAATACTGTCACTATGGCCCACTGAAACTATCAAAATGAGGCATATAACAGGAAATTGGGAGGAGAGTTATACAATCAGCTCTTGCTAGAAAATGATGATCATTGACATTACCCTTATGGAACCAATCCAAATTTGGGGGTTGTTTTCTTTCTTTCTACTTTTGTGTGTGTGTGTGTGTGTGTGTGTGTTCTCTGGTATCTGTAAATAACATCCATATCAGTTTCTCCATCCATTCTTTGCACATCACTGGTAATGCCTGAGATCAAATCTGCCATGCTTTTCCGGGCAGATCCAGGCTGGGATCTCAGTATCCCTGCTTCCCTGAAGCTGTCCAACCTCACTCCCTTCATTGCTCTGCTGTGATTAGGAAGGAGCCATTCCAAGGACTATGGGGTGCTCTGTGGGATAAGCCCAGTCCTTCTTCCATACAGGAGGAACAGGGGACGGGTGCTGACAAGAGGAAATGCATGGAGCAGAGAGAGGGAACAGGCAGATGGACTCAAGGTCCCCAGACTCTTTCGAGTGTTGAATCAGAAGGACTGGAGCTGTGGGGGAAGAGGGTGGGAACAGGGTAGTGGAATAACATGCAGACAGATGGGCTGAACTGAAGGTCCAGAGGCACTCCCAGCCGTCAACCAGCAGTTCTTACACCAGGTTGATGTTAGGGAACAACCCCAGCTTTAAAACTTATTTATACCAAAGTGCCAAATGACTCATTTGAGACAAGGCTTTGATCTCTGGGGACAGGGCGTTAGACAGCATGAGGCTTAGGTTGCCAGGTGTCTTCCCACAGTTCCTGTCTTGTGTATGTTACACACTCAATTCATGTCAGGATGACACTACATTGGCATGATCCAAGGGAACCCATAACTGACATGAATATGTGTGTGTGTGTTGATTGGGGAGATGGGAAAGAGAACATTTCTTCCAGATTTTCTAGTTCTTATAGTTCATAATCTTAATCCTCATCTCCACTTCTCTGCCACTTCTCTGGCTAAATCCAAAGCACAGCCTGGCTAGAGAGGACTTCTCTTCCTTGGGGGTTCTAGTCTATTCTCTGAGTTGTGACAAACATTTCCATTCCCTGTAATTACCCACTTGCCTTGTCTCTGAAGAGGCATTCACAGAATAAACCAAAAGAATTGTAGTGTTAGGAAGATGTCAAATCATTTGACCTCTACTCCATCTCCGGCTTTTCCTTCTCCCCCCATGAAAGTTATGCATTTAGTTGCCTCTTGTTCATTAGTCTGGACTTAGAGCAAAGTGACTACTTCAACTTCTTGTGCTCAACATATGCCACAGTTGCTTACATGTGATAAGTCCATTTGTCACTTGATAAGCCTTTGCTAGAATTTCCTTCTCTCCATCTCCAACCTTATAATGATCTTGAAGGCAATGTCGGAGGCTAGGTAAGTCTTCTTTGTGTTCCCCACTTGAGCATAGGTGAGCTGTCATGTCAATTTCCTTACACTACTGAGAAGAGGGGATGTGGGTGGGCAGGGACCCCCAGAAACAACTTTACCCCTTTCACAGTTTCCATCACTGCCTCCAATGTCCACCGACGTTAGAAAGTTTGGGCAGAAGTGGCCAGGTGCGGTGGCTCACGCCTGTAATCCCAGCACTTTGGGGGGCCGAGGCGGGCAGATCACAAGCTCAGGAGATCGAGACCATCCTGGCTAACATGGTGAAAACCCGTCTCTACTAAAAATACAAAAATTAGCCAGGCGTGGTGTCAGGCGCCTGCAGTCCCAGCTACTAGGGAGGCTGAGGCAGAAGAATGGCATGAACCCAGGAGGCGGAGCTTGCAGTGAGCCAAGATCGCACCACTGCACTCCAGCCTGGGCGACAGAGCAAGACTCCGTATCAAAAAAAAAAAAAAGAAAGTTTGGGCAAAACCTAGAGTTTCAGGGAAAGTCATTTGAGGTTTGGTTTAGGCAGGAAATAGAACAAAACCAGTGTACTAAGGAGAATACAGTGGAAATAAGAGGGAAAGGAATGAAGAAACTGGTAGGCTACTAAAATGCCCAGGTACAAACTACTGAACATCCACCTTTATGCTGTCAGTGGGCAGAAAAAGAAATAGACAATGACAAGATACATTTTGAATTAGTGTGATTTAAGGACTGGCTGATGTGCACAAAACATGAGAGAAGGGAGTCAACTTTGACAGAGATTTCAAGAGCAGATCACTGATGAAATGTGATAACATTCAGAAAATAGAGAAGTTGACATGGGCTTTGATGAAAACACAATGAGTTCAGTTTGAAGCATTTTGAAGTCAAGGTGATTTTGTGAAATACAAACGATGCTGTCCAGCAGGCATAGAATCTATCTGGAGTCATTTGTACAATATACCTATGCCTTTTTTTTTTCTTTCTCCTACTGTAGACTTAGATAGGAACTCACTTTTGTCTTTTTTCTGCTAGGCCAATAAATACGTTCTCAGCTTAGAAAAGGGGCTTTTTGGTTTGCCTATTTCTGTTTCTTTTTACAGAAGTTAACACATTTATTTGTGACCTATTAAAATCATGAAGTATTACCACTGGGTTTTATGTTTTAATGGAAACATTTCATGTTTAGAGAATAATGATGCTTAAAATTTATATGAATTAAAATTTTAGCCTGTAAAAAGAGCCTGGAAATATCTTCATACCATCATCTATCCTTCCACTTAAATATTAATCACAAAGAAGATCAGGCGTAGTGAACATACACCACGCAACCTCCCATTCAGAGAATTCTTGTGCAAAGAAGGATTCCAAAGGGTTTCAGAAATACTAAACTTCTTGAAATTGAAATTGAAATTGAAATCCTTCTTGGCTTCTCTACCTGTTACTTCCTCTGCAGTGCTCAGTATAGTGTCTGCTCTCCCTCCTTTCTTTTTCTTTTTTTTTGAGACAGATTTTCACTCTTGTTGCCTAGGCTGGAGTGTAATGGCGCAATCTTGGCTCACCGCAACCTCTGCCTCTTGGGTTCAAGCGATACTCCTGCCTCAGCCTCCCAAGGAGCTGGGATTATAGTACCACGCCCAGCTAATTTTGTCTTTTCAGTAGAGATGGGGTTTCTCCATGTTGGTCAGGCTGGTCTCCAACTCCTGACCTCTGGTGATCCTCCCTCCTCGGCCTCCCAAAGTGCTGGGATTACTGGCGTGAGCCACACACCCGGTCTGCTCTCCCTCCTTTCTTCACTTTTCTGCTTCCTCTCTCATATTAATAATAAGCTTCTATCTTTCCTTAATTGTTTACATATCTGTCTGTCCTCTTTCTCCACCCCACGAACTCCTCAAAGGCAGAGTCCCTGTCTTTTTTATTTCATATCCCTAATGGTAGCTGCAAAGCAGACACTCAAGAAGGAAGGAAGGAAGTAGGTGGGAGAAAGGAAGAAGAAAGGAAAATGAAATTAACTACTAGTTTGTTTCCCTGTTTCATTGAGAACACACGTATTAACCAAACAAGTAAACAATTGTCAGAATATTGCATTTTAAACTCCTGAGAGAAGTTGCTGCTTCTGTGGCATTTCTATCTAATTAAGTTTCCCCTTAAAGTTGTAATCTTTTCTTTCAAATCTCATAATACGTCTTATTTAGGTGATCATACCAATTATATCTTTCCCACTCAAACCCCTAAAGTTATCCTTGAATAAATGAGCCTTGCAAATTATATTTCCCCAATTTGCACTTATTTCTTTCTTTTTTTTCTTTTTTCTTTGAGACAGAGTTTCACTCTTATTGCCCAGGTTGGAGTGCAATGGAGTGATCTCAGCTCACTGCAACCTCCGCCTCCTGGGTTTAAGCAATTCTCCTGCCTCAGCCTCCCAAGTAGCTGGGATTACAGGCGCTCCCCCCCTCCCCATGCCTGGCTAATTTTTTATATTTTTAGTAGACAGGGTTTTGCCGTGTTGGCCAGGCTGGTCTCAAACTCCTGACCTCAAGGGATCTGCCCACTTCGGCCTCCCAAAGTGCTGGGATTACAGATGTGAGCCACCGCACCCAGCCTCAGAATTTCTTACTGAATAATCCTTTTATAGTTTGTTATAACTAACACAAAACAGTAGTGGGAGTTCTTATTCAGATAGCTAACAAATTCCAGGCACCTCCTGTACTATAAGTGTCCCTCATAGCACAAAGGGGAAAGCTGCCCTTTAAGAATCCATAAATGCAATGAAACTCTACTTACGCCACCCAGGTTGTTAGGACACAGGAATATTAATCTGGAGAAGCCTTTGATAATAGAATATAGTCAAAGTTGACATTGTGCTAGAATATTTGAATTTTTTATTTTCCAGAAATTATTTTCACTCTTTGCTACATTTACTGTTTGACCTCAAAAGAATGTAAAAGCAAGTTTTTAAATACACCATTATTTCCTCAAGAGGCTACAGAATTGCTGGATTTTTTTTTTTTTTTGGAATGGAGTCTTGCTCTGCCACCCAGGCTGGAGTGCAGTGGCATGACCTTGGCACACTGCAACCTCCACCTCCTGGGTTCAAGCAGTTCTCTTACCTCAGCCTCCTGAGTAGCTGAGATTACAGGTGTGTGCTCCCATGCCTGGCTAATTTTTGTATTTTTAGTAGAGGTGGGGTTTCGCCATGTTGGCCAGGCTGGTCTCAAATTCCTGACCTCAAGCAATTCACTTGCCACAGCCTCCCAAAGTGCTGGGACTACATGTGTGAGCCACTGTGCCCAACCCAGAATTGCTGGAACTTAATGCCAACTCTCAATTGTCTTTCCTTCTGCTAGATCTAGTTAATAGCAGGTGTCTGATACATGTTACTGAAGTGAATATGAAAAATCCAGAGTAAGCAAATAAATCATATTTTTTTAATTAAAAACATATAAAGTACATTTTTGTCAAATGAACCTAATTGGCAAAGCAAAATCTCATCTTTTAAATTTCTGAGTTTCCACTATTGATAAAAAAAAAAAAAATAACGTAAAACAGTGTTGGATTTTCAAACTCAAAAGAAAGAAAAAAACCACAAAAAACAAAAAAAGCAGAAGTTGGGTAAAAACGAGTTCTGACTAAAAGCTGCAATACTGTCTCAAATGTGCCCATGACCCCACCTATTGCTCAATTTCTACACCATGAGGGTAAAGGGAAACGAAATGCAACTTGGATTCACTTGACTTCTTAAGTCTTACAGAGAGAGAAACTGATCAGAAAAGATACATTTTTGGAGGTTGGTTTTTTTTTTTAATTCTTGCTTGTAAGGCAGGGCTTGGTGACTCCTGGTCTCCTCCAATAGCCTAATTTTCCTCCCAAAAGTAAGCTTTTGATTCCACTAGGGTGGGCAAGTATCTTTGTACTCTGCCATTTCAGAGATAAGAGCCAACTGATTTTAGAAATCCAAGAGCAAATGAAATGTGCAACATTTTACTCTTGGATTGCTTGAGACCGCATCTGTATGCCTATTCCCTGGAGTGCAGACTGTCTTGTGAGCATTTGGTGCCACTGAACTCTGAAAATCAGGGCATGCAGCATCTGCTGGGGAACACAATCTGGTTTCTGTGGATCAGAAGCATTTCTCTACACGTTAGAGTCTTAAGGATTTTTAAAGAGAGCAGGTCTACTCAGGCAACTCGTTACCGTCCCTTTCAACCGGAGTCAGAACTAAGAATGCTCAGCAGATGGTTGTGGAGTGAGGTAAATTTACATGCAGCCTTCAGTCATTAGTGACAGATCTATTTTAAAGGGACGAGGTTGTGCAACAAGGGTACAAAGGCAGCTCATGGTTCTAATTGTTGGGCTCCATTAGAAGGGGTCTTTCTGGAGACTGTGGTTTCTTAGAGCACCGCAGTCTACCCCTGAATGAAAGGCATCCTGCTGGCTAATTAACTTGCAGCACTTTCTTCTCTATTGTGCCTTGATTTTTTGTTTTGTTTGGTTTTAATCTCAGACCTTGTTTCTAGTAGGACTGATGGAGTCTTCCATTATTTCGCCTAAATATTTTATGAAGAACAGAGTTTCCAATCACTCACTCACTCTGATTTCATTACTTTTAGCATACTTTTCGTTCTTATAATCTGCAATAAAGAGGAAGACTATTAAGATTCAAGCTTGTTTGAGCAAGTACACTGCCAGAGCAAAATCAGAGGAATTCATGGAAGACTGGGAAGGTGCAAGTAATCTTTCTCTTAGAATTGTGATGGTAACATATGAAATAAAATGTGGGAGCAAATGAAGCCATTGAAAAGAGAGGCCATTATACTTCTGACCACTTGGGAAATACCCCCCAAAATAGCTGAAAGGTCCCAAGAGGCTGGGCACAGTGGCTCACATCTGTAATCCTAGCACTTTGAGAGGCCAAGGCAGGCAGATCACTTGAGCCCAGGAGTCAGAGACCAGCTTGGGCAACATGGCAAAACCCCATCTCTACCCAAACAAACAAACAAACAAACAAACAAACTAGCCAGGCATGGTGGCAACTGCTTGTAGTCTAGCTACAGCTTCCATGAATTGTTCAGTGATGCTCTCTTAACTCCATGATCTATGGAACAGGCAGGCAGAAATGGAGAGACAGTGGGTGGAGGGGAGGAGCCTCAGATGGCACAGAAATCTGTAGCATCTAGATCAGAGTGACACCTCAGAGTTTCGAGTAACGACAGGCACCTGGCCCATGGCTGGGATTGTTACCAGTGGTGAATCTGTGCAGGTCTGCAGCAACCTCAATTCTTCCCTCTTTAGGATAAAAACTTCATTGAGGGGCATAAAGCAGAAGAGACTGAAGCAAGTTTTAGAGAGGGAGTGAAAGTTTATTAAAAAGCTTTAGAGCAGGAATGAAAAGAAAGTAAAATACACTTGGAAGAGGGCCAAGCAGACATCTTGGAGGTCAAGCACAGGGATTTGACCTTCTGACTTGGGGGTGTATATGCTGGCCTATTTCCAGCACTTCACATCCCTTTTCCCTTGATTCTTCCTTTAGGATGGGCTGCCGCATGTGTGGTGGCCTGCTAGTGCTTGGGAAGTGAGCATGCGCAGTGTGTTTACTGGCGTTGTACACATGCTCACCTGAGGCGTTCTTCGGGTGAATGCCCCCAGAAAGTCATGTACCAGTTAAACTCTGCCATTTGGCCTCTTAGTGCATATGTGTGAGCCCCCTGCCCAACTCCTGGGACCTTATCGGGAAGCTGATAATCACCAGTTTCAGATTTTTCCTATTTATAAAAAGACTGCCTTTCCCTGGAGCTGGCTGCAACCAATTATTTTAGAGAGACAGTTACCAACCACCTGTTCATCACTTGATGGTGGCCTGACATTCCTGGTTAGGGCGGGGGGCACTGTCCTGCTCTGCTCATGTCTGCCTACCTACTGTAGCAGGACCACAGGCAGACTTTTCTTAAGGAGACTCCCAGCTTTCTTCCTGGTGAAGGACCCAGAGTTTGTGAGCCCAGGACTGCAGATAATCAAAAATATTAAATTATGGAAGCTAAATATTTAAAATAATAACTCATAATGGCTCTCCAAATGTCTGTAAAAGCATTTCACTTAACAATAGCTGGCAAATATTATGTCAGTGGAAAATACAGCCAAGTTTTGGCTCATCCAAAATGTTGTCATCACCGCCACTTTAATATTTAAGAGATTAATGTTTCAAGGCTCTTCCAGAACATTGTATTTGGAGTCTGATTGAAAGACTCCTCGGTCCTCCCTCATTATTCTTTATGTGTGACTTTGGATGCTCTCAATACACTTAAATTGTATGTCCCTGTGGGGAATGGTTCTCAAAGTGTAGTATCTGGAGCAGCAGTATCAGCTTCACCTGGGAACTTGTTAAAAACATAAATTCTTGCAGCTGGATGTGGTGGCACATGCCTATAATCCCAATGGGAGACCAAGGTAGGAGGATATCTTGAGCTTAGGAGTTTGAGACTAGCCTGAGCAACATAGTGAGACCCCATCTCTATAAAAAATAAACAAAATTAGCTGGACACAGTGGTGTATGCCTGTAGTTCTAGCTACAGGGGAGTCTGAGGTAGGAGGATTGCTTGAACCCAGGAGTTCAAGGCTGCAGTGAACTGATATCGCGCCACTGCACTCCAGTCTGAGTGACAGAACGAGACTCTGTCTCAAAAAAAAAAAAACTGGGGGCCACACAACAGACATACTGAATCAGAAGCCTGGGGGTGTAGCTCAGCTTGTATTTTAACAAGGCCTCCATGCAATTCTGATGTGCCCTCCAGTTTTAGAATTGATGCTCTGTGCAAATGAACAGGTACTGGGGCATAATGATATGCAGGACTGTTCTTGAGCCAGGCTTTGTATTCATGAAGTGGGTGATAGTTGATTGGCATTGTTTCAGTACTCAGTAGCTATGAAGCATTCTATTGGTATCATTGGTATTAAATATGGAGCAGAAGCATAACTCATCTCCCTCATGGCCACATGAAGAAAGATCAGTATGTTAGAGCTGAAGGACACCTAAAGCCCCAAACAACTGCCAGAGACCAAAATCATTTGTCTCAAGAAATGTTAACACCCTTTTTGTGTTCAAGTTTTATTATTTCTTTACTAAAATTGCCCATTCACCCCTTTGTTTTATTTTTCACACCTAAAAAAGTAGCCAAGTTTGAAAAAGAAAGAGTGCTTGCCACCCTTTCTGTCCTTAAAGTGAAGGCCTTGTCTATCTCATTCTGATCTCTGCCCATCCATCACCATTCAGCACTCCTGTTGTGACTTCGCCCCATCTCCAATCTTACATTTTATTTTCTTGGTACTTTTGGTCATGGCTGTGTTGATGGTTTCAGAAGAATACATAGTATATTAAGGGGTAACGTTTACAAATGTTCTTGAGAGAACTAATTTTTCCCCCTTCATCTCAAGGTGTCACTGCTTAATTATTACGGTTCCTAAATAATCTCTATGATGTGGTTAACTATCCCTACCTTGCAGAAATCCTGGAAGATGAGACGGACCTAGCATGTTGTGTGAGCAACATCTCTTAGAGATAATCAATTTGATATCAGCACAATTATTGTGGCTACTATTGAAATTTCTCTTAGTTTCTTAGATTAGTACTATTGGAACTAATCGTAAATAACCAATTTACAAGAAAATGAGTCTCATTATATTATAGCACGAAGAGGATATATTCAAGGAGATACACCTTTGAATCTATTATTTCAATATGCTTATAAAAATTACTATTTTAATAAATTTCCCAGTCAATCCTATTGTGTAGAAAAAGATGCTTCACTGCTTACATATTTTAAGATGAGACTGGGAACAAGCAGATTAATTTGGTTGTGAGACTGGGAGTTTATGAGCAAAATGTTCTTCTGTGCAAACGAAGTAGAAGCTTCATTTCCCTTCCCTTCAGTTAACCCTATGTTATTGGATACGTACCAGGTACTAGAGATTCTCTCCCTGGGTAGTCTGGCTTAGAATGGCTCCCCAGGCTCTAGCCATCTGCATAGCTGCTAGAGGAAAAAGCTGTTTTAGTTGGCTCCAAGAATGTCTCTGGGAATTATAATGTATTCATAGAAATGAGTGTGGAGTGCCCACTTGCACAATGGAAGATCCACAATAATACACCTGGATCTGATAGCACCTTCCTGAACTTGGGCCACTTCCCTCTTTGAGGTTTGTGAGGCCAAAGGGATATACACAGAGGCTGCCTTTGTTTGTGATTACCTGGGAATTAGATGGGGTATCATTCCCCCTTATATCCTTTTACTATAGCTTGTTCACTTTTGAAAAGGTGGAAAACTAGACTAAATTCTGTATTGAAAATGTCAAGTCAAATATGCTATATAACCAAGAAATATCAGTATAGAATATCATGTATTCTACACAAAGCTACATTTTCAATATAATCCCCGTAATTATTTCACTCATCAAAGAAATGTATCCAGCTGAGACATAAAACCTTAGTCAATACATTAAGAAAAAAAGAAAAAAAAAAACATTTTTTTCCCAGTCATGGGGACCAGATTGTGTCTATTATTCATCAGGGCCTAGCACAATGTTGAGCACATGCTCAAGGTGGCCAATAAATCCTTGTGGAATTGAGTTATATGGGAGTCAATTATTCGGTCACAGCACTGGATTAGGAGGTTGAGTTCTTGATAGATTTACTTTCAGCTGACCTGTGTGACATTTGGTATTTGGTTTTGCAACTTTGTTTTCAGTTTTTTCCATGCACCAATACTCCTAGAATTTTGCTTTTGCCTCTTTTCTTCCCTTTCATCTTTTTTTTTTTTCTGTAGAAAGCATACATCCATATAGAAGACCTCTCTCAATACATTCCAGATCTGAGTTGCAGTGCAGCACTTAGCTTAGCTTGTGAAACACTCCAAAGACTTGATTAATATCATCCTATGGAGAGATGTCCTTAAGTAACTTAGAATGGATCCTTTATTTTTCCAGTAAATAAACTCTAAAATATGAGGATTTCCAAGGTGAAAAGAAAGAGTACGAACCCAAGAAATATTTTAAATGAATCTTGTTTTCCGTCCCTGTGTTCTGAGTAACATCTGTATTCACCCCTGCCTTTCCATTGATTGGAAACCTTTAGTATTCTTTGTACTCTCACAGTCCTAGTTTCTCAGAACTGTCTGTCCCAGTCTAGGCAGTTGTTTCATTAAACAAATGTTATTAAACAAATAATTTTGAGTGTGTGTCTGGTGGGGAGGGGAGGCTGGGGGGTTAAATTCATGTATTTTTAGGCAAGAGTATTAACAAGAATTGTTTGAAATATTTCTGAAACCATAGTGTCATAATGAAAATAAAAATAAGGTGGAGACTGGATTGTAATTAACACAGAGCTTTTCCATCCAAGACAGAGCTTAAAGGCCTCTGTTTGTTGGGTCACTTTAAAAACAAACCCTACTGCCAGGGATTTCCAATGGCAACTTTACCGTGCTTACCCAAATGGAGGTAATTAACAACCCTTCTGTGTGTTAAATTAGGTATCCACAGAATTGGGAAGCTTCAGATATTTATTGTAAACCAGAGCCTCTTTTCTTGTTAATCTCCTAAGACAGCAGACTAGTGACTCGCACCCATTAGAACAAATGAACTAAGAAACTGAATGACAGGTTCTGAGGCCCCTAAGAAGAAAAAACAGAGTCTGGATTAGAGCTGCTTAACAGACCACTCACTGGGGCATGCTCCCTCCCCACGCCCATTTCCTATCCCAGAAAATAACAAACTTCAGATGACCCGCCAAAAACGACTACCTTTTATATTTGTCGTTGAATTATTTCTTCTTTGTTTAAAATTAAATAATGCAAGTGATTTTTTTGCTTTAGAAAGGAGGATTACCTCTTCCTAGACATCCAGTTGAAAAACCAACTGGTATAGAAGGGAAATGCATCTCAAACAGATACAATGACATTCTTATAATTGCCTCATTTGAAATGGCAGCATTTCCCCGTGCTAATTGTCATCCTTCAGCTAATTTGGTACATTAAAGGAGATTGTTATTAAAAACAAAATTAAATCCATTGCCAGCATCTTTATTCTCTACCAGAAGAAAAATTTTAAATAAATGCAAATACGCCAGTTTTGCTCTTAATGTTGCCTGAAGTTGAAAGGATGAACTTTGACTTGAAAGATAATGAGTTCCCCCTGTTGGAGGATTTGAGGTTTGGGTTGGATAATCCCAGATGATGTTGGAATAGACAGAATTTAAGGTTCCTTCTAACCCTGAAATTCTATGGTTATAAAATCTATCCTTTTCTTGAAAGAAGAAATATTAAAGGTGTTTTCAAGGAAATGGTAGCATAATGAAAAAGGAAACACAAAAATGATTTTTTTTTCCTTAATAAGCAGTCACCTCACTTGGTAATAGTTTTTCTTCTTAATTGCTTGTTTGTTTGTAACAAATGCGGTGGTGTAATCAAGTGGCTTTTACAATAATAAAACACTTCTCTCAATTAAACTGTACTGCAAGGAATTCAAAGATGAACAGAAGTGTTCCTTCTTTTAAGATGCTGATTTATAAGCATCCCTTTAAAATTTACTTCTCTTTCTGATGATAAAAGTAATACATGTTTATTGTAGAACATTTGGAAACTACCAGGGACTATAAATAACCCATAGTTGCCCCACCAGAGAATATTCTTAATATTTTTGGCATATTTCTTCCATATATCTATTCATATTCACATTCATACTAATTTGTCATATTCTAATTTAACCCTCTCTTTAATGTTTATAATGTGATTATACTACTTTTTAACACATGAATTGTCTCCAAATAAAAGCCAAAGTGATCCATTTGTTAATTTTTTTTAATCCTACCCAGCTGAAATGGACAAAGAGGAGCCCATCTCACTCGGGGGAGGGGATCAAAGAGTTATCCTTTCTCTTGATCAATTCTGTAGCAATCAGCCATGATAAGAAGCCCAAATTACCAAATTAACAAAAAGAATTTTATTTAGTGGCCATATATAAAAGCTAAATGGACAGTTGGAGACAGACAACAAAAACTAATATAAAACTAAAAATGTGAAAATTCAGCATTTAATGAAAATGAGAGCTTAGAAAAACTAGCATCCAGATTTATTCAGACTGAATTTCTGCCCTGGGAAATTAATGAATCATCCTTCAGTTCCCTTTTGTGTCTGTGCATCCAGCCTCATTGTCCTTGGTAGTAAATTATGTACACCCCCTGTTTCCAAATCTTCAAATACGGTATGCGTCATAAAGTCACAAAATGTGTAATTTGGGTCCTGTATACAAATTCTAGCCAGGGAATGGCTTGTAGTCATGCTAAATATTCTTTACAAGTTGTGTAACAAAGACAAAGAAAACTACAAAAAAATACAGAGAAACATAAAAAATTTCCCATTCCTTCTGTGATTCTGATGTATTTCCCTTTGATTCTTTGCTTCTACATTGAAATAGACTTAGTGGGTAATACTAATAATTACAGTTAACAGTGACCAGGTGATATGGTTTGACTAGGTCCCCACCCAAAATCTCATCTTGAACTGTAGCTCCCATAATTCGCACGTCATGGGAGGGATCCCGTCGGAGGTAATTGAATCATGGGGGAAGGTCTTTCCTGTACTGTTCTTGTGATAGTCAATAAGTCTCACGAGATCTGGTGGTTTTATAAAGGGGAGTTCCCCTGCACATGCTGTCTTGCCTGCCACCATGTAAGACGTGACTTTGTTCCTCTTTTGCCTTCCACCATGATTGTGAGGCTTCCCCAGCCATGTGGAACTGTGAGTCCATTAAACCTCTTTCTTTATAAATTACTCAGTCTTGGGTATGTCTTTGTTGTTGTTGTTGTTTTGAGACAGAGTTTCACTCTTGTTGCCCAGGCTGAAGTGCAGTGGTGTGATCTCGGCTCACTGAAACCTCTGCCTCCCAGGTTGAAGGGATTCTCCTGCCTCACCCTCCCGAGCAGCTGGGATTACAGGCGCTCGCCACCACGCCCAGCTAATTTTTATATTTTTAGTAGAGATGGGGTTTCGCCACGTTGGCCAGGCTGGTCTCGAACCCTGACTTCAGGTGATCCACCCGCTTCAGCCTCCCAAAGTGTTGGGATTACAGGAGTGAGCCACTGTGCCCAGCCTGTTTGGTTTTGTTTTTGTTATTGTTTGTTTGTTTGGAGTATGTCTTTATTAGCAGTGTGAGAACAAACTAATACATCAGAAGTTCTGATTTTCATATCAGCACAGAGAAAAGTGACCTTCCCAGTCCAGTCTATCGTATTCTCAAATTACTTTCTCTAACTTGTGAAATAAGATCTTCTTGGTGAACTTTATCAGACATTTCTGAACAGAATTACCACTCTGTGGTGGCCTGGGTAAATGTAATATATTTATAATAATTTGAAAAGATTCCTCCAGGACTTTTACAAAGACAGATGATATTAAACTGAACAAATAGTGCTAGGTAAGAAGTAAATTGTTCAATTTTTTCACAGAAGCCCTGTAGATTTTAGCAAAACCCCCCAGACACAATGTCAAATTTCTCAGCAGGTTTCTTGGTTTTAGCTCTTCCCCTTAAGCAGTAGTTAACAGAATATTAGATGTTAGTAAAGTTATTTCTTTGTTATTCTACCTGGGTTGACTACCAGAGAAAATCCCTGAACATTTTACAAATTGCTCAACAGATTTTCATCTAAAACTAGAAAAGATTGGCCAGTTATGGTGGCTCACGCAGGAACATTGCTTTAGCCCAGGAGCTGAAAACCAGCCTGGGCAATAGAGTGGGACCCCCATTTCTAAAAAATAATATCTTTTAAAAAATTAACTGGGCATGGCGGTGCGTGCCTGTAGTCTCACCTACTTGGGAAACTAAGGAGGGAGGATTGCTTAAGCCCAGGATGTCAAGATTGCGGTGAGCTATGATTGAGCCACTGCACTCCAGCCTGGAGGACAGAGTAAGACCCTGTCTCAAAATAAAATAAAATAAAATTAGAAAGGATAGGTGTGTTTGGGAGGGAGACTGGTTAACCAGGGTGCATGGGATTATGTAGGGCTTGTCTTTCATTTGAGTTCTTCTCTGTCTTTTTAAAATGACTGATTATATATATTAGGTCCCAATGGCTTCATTATCACTATTATTTTAATTCATAGGTTAAATTTTATAAACATGAAAAATAATTGACAAGCCTAGAATCTCTTTTCTGTCTATATTAGAAATTAAATTATATTTAGTATTTAAGCAATACATGCATACATCTCATGTAATCCTTACTGTAATTAAGGATGAAATTATGTAACATAGGAAAAGCAGATGTAAGTTCTCATTCTCCTTTTACACATAAGGAAATTAATTCAGACTTTTAGTAAGTTGCCCAGAATCACGCAGCTAGTAAGATTCAGAACTAAAAATATAATACCTGTCTTCTAATTCAAATGTTTCACATCCAAGTGCCCATATACTAATAATTTTTAACTCTTTTGTTGGGGTTAAATGAGATAAAATTGAGTCTTATTGTATAGAATTTATCAGAAATAGCAAAATTTCGCCCAGGCACGGTGGCTCACGCCTGTAATCCCAGAACTTTGGGAGGCCGAGGCAGGTGGATCATCTGAGGTCAGGAGTTCGAGACCAGCCTGGCCAACATGGTGAAAACCCGTCTCTGCTAAAAATACAAAAATTAGCTGGGCATGGTGGCAGGCACCTGTAATCCCAGCTACTTGGGAGGCTGAGGCAGGAGAATCACTTGAACCTGGGAGGCGGGGGTTGCAGTGAGCCAAGACTGTGTCATTGCACTCCAGCCTGGGCGACAGAGAGAGATTTTGTATCAAAAAAAAAAAAAAAAAAGGAAAATCTCTAAAATGATACCTAAAATGATAAACAATTTAAATTTAGCATAATTATCATTTTTTAACTTACAGATTGACATATTTCTGCAAGTGTTTTCAGAGGCATTGGGGCCACAGAAGTCCAAGTCAAGGCAATTTTTGGTACTAAACAGTTGACTTTTCTCTGGTCCACATCAAAGCTGCCACTGTGCAGAGAACTAACATGTGTACGTGACTAGTCTAGGGCTGGAGGAACATGCGAGGGGACTGTTGGAAAGGAAAAACTTTTGCTCTTCCTCTAGGTTCAGTAAATTAGGGACTGTAAACAATAATAATGAAAGATTAATAAGAGGCACACAATTTTATTTTATTTTATTTTATTTACTTATTTTTTTGAGACAGAGTTTCACTCTTGTTGCCCAAGCTGGGGTGCAATGGCACGATCTCGGCTCACCACAACCTCCCCTTCCCGGGTTCAAGTGATTCTCCTGTCTCAGCCTACCAAGTAGCTGGGATTACAGACATGCATGACCATGCCCGGCTAATTTTGTAGTTTTAGTAGAGACTGGGTTTCTCCATGTTGGTCAGCCTAGTCTCGAACTCCTGACCTCAGGTCATCCACTCACCTCGGCCTCCCAAAGTACTGGGATTACAGGTGTGAGCCACTGTGCCCGGCCCCACAATTTTATTAATATTTATATGCAAAAGAGCTTGTAGAAAATCAGTGAAAATCAAAGAAGTGGTTAGACTAGGGGGTTTATAAACCCTTCTTAACCAAGGAAAGAGGGTTTGGGCATCAATGAGTGGCGAATTGTGGAGAAGTGACTAGAAAATGTATGAGAGAAACTAATGGAAGGTATATTAGTTCATTCTCAAGCTGCTATAAGGACATGCCCAAGACTGGGTAATTTATAAATGAAAAAGGTTTGACTCACAGTTCTGCAGGGCGTGGAGGCCTCAGGAAACTTACAATCATGGCAGAAGGAGAAGCAAACACATCCTTCTTCACATGGCGGCTGCAAGGAGAAGTGCTGAGCAAAAAGGGGAAAAGCCCCTTATAAAACCATCAGATCCTGTGAGAACTCACTCACTATCGTGAGAACTCACTTACTATCATGAGAACAGCATGAGGGTAACAGCCCCCATCGTTCAATTACCTCCGACCAGGTCCCTTCCATGACACATGGGGATTATGGGGACTACAATTCAAGATGAGATTTGGGTGGGGACACAGCCAAACCATATCAGAAGGTAAGGCCTATTTTAGTAAGTTTTGTTTATGCAAACTCATCTCAGTGTTGACTCCCTATCTTTATAACATGGGTCACTTTTTTCTTCCTGATGGTGTGGGGGAGAGGGCACCTATCTCAAAGAGAAATTTTGCTCTGCTTTTAGATGTACAAGGGAAAGACAGAGAACTGTTCCTGCATCCATTGATTATCAATTGCCTTCAGCTCAAAATAATCCTTATGCCAAAGTAGCATATTTTGGGGTGGCATATTTCAACCTCCTTCATCTCTACCCAGCTGGAACTGTCCAGGGAGTTGCATACCTCAAAAGCTGAGTTGGTGGCTATAAAGACAAGATTTGGGTTAGTTCCTGAGAGGTAAGAGACCTGCAAAGGGAAAGAACATAGATCAGAACGAGAATAAATAAGCAGAAAAGAGCAAATCTCAGCACATTCCCACTGATCTCACTAAACCAGGCTCCTAGTACTGGAAATAGGTCAGTCAACTTCAACAATTGTATCTCATTTCAGGAAGCAGCATGCAGGTGGGAGTGGGGCACCCCTCTGAAGTTTGGCCTTTATGCTATGTGAATAATCACACACTTAAAGAGAGGCATTTCTATGAAAACAAAAGAAAAACAAAGATTAACAGTTGGAGCAGACTCTAAAGCCAGTTTTTGAGTCCAGAAGGCAGTTAGTTGGCAAGATTTCTAAATGTTGGATTCAAGGCTGGGTGCGGTAGCTGACATCTATAATCCCAACATTTTGGGAGGCTCAAGTGGGAGAATTGCTCGAGGCCAGGAGTTCAAGATAAACCCGGGCAACACAGTGTGACTCCATCTCTAATAAAGTCATCCAAATGTAGTTGTATGCACCTGTGGTACCAACTACTCAGGAGGCTGAGGTGGACGGATTGCTTGAGCCCAGGAGGTCTAGGCTGCAGTGAGCCATGATCACACCACTGCCCTCCAGCCTGGGCGACAGAGTGAGATCCTGTCTTAAAAATAAATAAATAAATAAATAAATGTTGGATGAAGTGTCTTTAGATGGTGGATTGAGGATAACAGGGGCAGTCTCAGTCACGTGCATTTCCCGGAGTTTGAAGGAACATGTTCTGGTGAGCTTCCTGAGTGGTCCAAACTACGGTAGTGATAATTCCTTTGAAGTTAGGTTCAGTTGTCCAACTTCAGCTTCCAGGGCTCCAAGAAAAGGGCAATTGTGGTTCTCAGTGATGCCAAGTCACAAGGGTGAGAGAAGACTGGAAACATTAATTACAAGATGGCAGGATTCAGTTTATAAAGGGGGGAAATATCTCAATGATAATGAACATTCACAAGGGTGGGTTATAGTTTTCCATTAAAACATAAAATTTCTTTCTACAATCACCCCCAATGTGATCAAAAACAATCAAAGTATGTCTGCTTGTGTCTGGCAACTGAGTCTAGTCTCATTAAACTTGGCCAGATTATTTACATAATAAGTGCAGCAAGAATAGTAATTTAGCACGTAGGCTTTTTTGTGTTTGCTCTTCTGGAACTTTTAATAAGGACTCTCAGAATAGACTTTTAAAAGCTCTTGAGAGTAGTAAGCCAAGCCAAGAACTAGCCATTAGACTTTATCTGTAATACCTATAGATTGGGGTGAATTTCCCTTTTCTTGAGGACTCTAAAACATTCTGAGTTTCCCGGGCCTGCCAGAAAGTTACCTTCCTTACCCACCTGTAAGGCTAGGAACGCTATAAACCAGATACGAGTCTTACTTTTCCAAGGGAGCTTTGTAAGCGTTGGTGCCATATAGTCAACCTTAGTTCCTTAAAACTATTGGGTTATATGTGATTCCACACACATTATTTTCAAACATGACACTGCAGTCAAAGCCTTAGTAGGACAGCCAATGTTTCCAATTGTGTTCTGTTCCAAGGAGAATAGATTCTTATGGAACTTAGGCAAATAACTATATTGCCATGAAAATTGAAATACTCAATAAGCATTTCTGAATTTTGGAGAGATCAGGTAGGGGCAAAAGATAAATATTTCATTTTTGTTTATGAAGACATAATCTATTAAATTATTGTGAATTACAGGTAGCTTTTAGAAAGGGTTTCCTGACATCCAGAAGATAGAACATTAAATAACCAGCAAGGTTTCAATCAAAAAGGCCATAAAAATTATAATTGTTTTTTATCAGTTCATTCAGTCCCATGTAATTAATTCTTGTTTTGCTTGATCTTAGATTAGTGGATTTATGAATCCATCAGCTTCTCCATTAGTTCTGGAAATCCTTACTGTGTCCAGTGTTATAATCTTGAAGTTATTTAAGCAATGTCAGCAGAAGCCTGTACTCCAGAGTACCTGCCAAGGTTTTGTTCATGAATCTCTAATATGCTCTTTCTTTGCTGAAGATGAGGCATGCTGGCCTACAGCTGACTGCGTGAGCCTTCAGAAAAGCATCGGCATAAAACAATAATTATCTGTGAATGACAATGACTTAAAATGGCCATACCTAAAGATCTGATGAAAGTTCATTATAAGTCAATTGATAAAGAAATTTGGTTGTTTCTCTGACATACAGGATTTTAAGATAATAATGTGATACCAAGACATCTCATGAACAGCAAGGGCATTGACAGATTTCTAGGAATTTTATATGATTTCTGAAAAATCAAAATCATTATATCCATACAAATATAACCCAGGAATGGTTAAATATCTTCTCTTTATTTGACAGTGCTTCCCATGCAATTTAGCATATTAAATAAGCTCATCTCTCTTTTTACAAACTGAGAGAACAAATCCTTTGAGAGTTTTCCAGGGGCCCTCTGGGAAATTCCAGAGTCAATTCAAGGTCAAGAAGACTTCATTTGGAATTTGATTTAGGGAAGTTGTGAAAAACGTGAAAAGGTTTGAACAATTGATTAAATGGGATCACAGATCACTATAAAACAATACTTAGTTATCTATTTAACCAAAGTGACAATAAAAGATTTTCAAGATAAATATGGAAGATAACATAATCATAAAAAATTTTAACTCTTTCAATCTTAAGAAAACTTGGTTTTCTGAAATAATCAAAGACATAATAAGTGCAACATAAAGCACAGAATATTTATTTTCTAGGTGTATCACTCAAGAGGTAAAGAAAACATTTCATAATCTCTTACCAAGAATAGACTACTCGGTATAGTGGCTGAGGCCTGTAATTCCAGTCCTTTAGGAGGCTAAGGTGGGAGGATTGCTTGAGGCCAGGAGTTCAAGACCAGCCTAGGCAATATAGTGAGACCCTGTCTCTCTAAGAACAAAAAATAGATTAATAAACCAAGAAAACTTGCTCATTTTAAAAGTAGTTTTGCATCAATACACTACTGTATTAGTCCATTCTTGCATTGCTGTAAAGAAATACCTGAGATTGGGTAATTTACAAAGAAAAGAGGTTGACTCACAGCTCTGTAGGCTATACAAGAAGCATAGCAGCTTCTGCTTCTTGGGAGGCATCGGGAAGCCTCCAATCATGGCAGAAGGTGAAGGTGGAGTAGGCGTCTTACATGGCAGGAGCAGGAGCAACAGAGGGTAAGGGGTCAGGTGCCACACAATTTTAAATGACCAGATCTTACGAGAACTCGGTCACTATCATGAGTACAGTACCAAGAGGGATGGTGCTAAAACGTTCTTGAGAAATCTGCCCCCATGATTACAATCACCTCCCACCAGAGCCCACCTCCAACACTGGGGATTACATTTCAACATGTGATTTGGTGGGGACACACATTTAACCCATATCAACTACTAAGCTCATTCTTTAAAACCTTATAAATACACCCATTCAGTCCTAGCCAGCGTGGCCACACAATGTAAGATTCTCTCTCTCTTCTGTTCTCTCTCTCTCTCTTTCACTGACCTTTACAACTTTCTATATCAACTCACATTTTTGTCCTTTATTTTCGTCTTTCTTATTTAAATGACCTCTAAACTACTCTAGGATAAAAGTCACTGTCATTTTTCTTTAACAAAAACACATCTCACTCTCCTTGTACTCTTTGCCTGCAGAGTTTTGTTTCTTCATCCTATTATTACTAGTAGTTCATTTACACATATTTATTAGATTTCTTAACCCTTAGTAACATTAACTTTCAGTGAAAATGAAGAAATAAACAATCATAAACTGTCAGTTACATACATGCATTCTGTGCTACATTAGCACAGGTATAAATACATTCTCTCATAATTTCTAGAGGCATGTTTCCTAACAGTACAACTTCTCAGTGTGGCAAAAGAGCAGGTTTATTAACAGATCCAAATACCTTTAGTCTCTGCCAAATTAAGAAGTCAAAAGTAGCCGGGCGCAGTGGCTCACGCCTGTAATCCCAGCACTTCGGGAGGCTGAGATGGGCGGATCATGAGGTCAGGAGATGGAGACCATCCTGGCTAACACAATGAAACCCCATCTCTACTAAAAATACAAAAAAAATTAGCTGGGCATGGTGGCGGGCGCCTGTAGTCCCAGCTACTCAGGAGGCTGAGGCAGAAGAATGGCGTGAACCAGGGAGGCGGAGCTTGCAGTAAGCCGAGATGGTGCCACTGCACTCCAGCCTGGGCTACAGAGCGAGACTCTGTCTCAGAAAAAAAAAAAAAAAAAAAAAAAAAAAAGGAAATAAACTTAAATAGATAAACTTTAGTAATTAGTATTTTGGTATTTTATTTTCTTTGAAATTATCTACCTATTTCATGAATATCCGTCATTTAACTTAGTATAACTTTAAGATTTCAAGTAACCAAAAAGATGTCGGAAACTATTTTTAAGTCACTGTACTATAAAACAGTTATTGTTGAAATAAAGTTTGTCAGAGTAATGACTCAATCTGAATAAAATGCCATCTATAAGTTTAATAGCCTTAAACCTCAGTAGTTATAATGTTAGTTTGACTAGTAAGTCCAAGTAGAATAAAATGTATATTTCATGTTGACAACTTGAAGACGTAACTCTCTTTAATTAAAGAAATAATATTAAACTGGTAGTAGCGGTGAATCCATACGGGTATGCAGCATCCTTACATCTTGCCTCCTTAGAAGAAAGAGTTCAGCTGACGGACATACGCAGAGTGAGAGACCGAGGCAAGTTTTAGAGCAGGAATGAAAGGAAGTAAAGTGGAAGATGGCCAAGCAGGCGACTTGAGAGATCAGGTGCACCGTTTGACCTTCTGACTTGGGGTTTTATACGCTGGCATGCTTCTGGGGTCTTGCATTCCTTCTCGCCTGATTCTTTCCTTGGGGTGGGCTGTCCACATGCTCAGTGGCTTGCCAGCACTTCAAAGGGTCCGCATGCACAGTGTGTTTACTGGACGTGTACGCATGCCCACTTGAGGTATTTTTTCCCTTAGCAAATCCAGTGTTCCTAGAGGAAGGTCATCCGCCATTTTGCCTTTTAGTGCCATGCTTGAGCCCACTTACCCAACTCCTGCGATCTTAGCCGGAAGCTGCTGATCAGCAGTTTCAGGCTCTTCCTATCTGTTGGGAGCCTGCCTTTCCCTGGTGCCAGCTGCAACCAATTATTATTTTAGAGAGACAGTTAAGGACTGCCTGTCCATCACCTGATGGTCGTCTGACATTCCTGGTTGTGGGGAAAGGGAACCCTCTCCTGCCCTGCTCATGTCTGACTAGCTACCTGCTGTAACAAAACTAGTTTTATTTACCAAAGATTATCTTATATCAGATAAACTTGAAAACATGTTGGTTATATTTAACCATTAAATAATATATTTGGTTATATTTCTGAGTGTTTTAGCAATACTTATAAGCGTTTTTTTAAGCCAACTTAGAATAGAACTCATTTATTAATTTGGTAATACCATCATGAAGTGAGGAAATGTCACATAGGTACAACGTACATACATATATACACACATAAACATATAAAGATTTATTTATTTTAAAATTTAATTTATTTAAAGACAGAAACAGATAGAGATTATTTTAAGATTTTAGCCACAGGTCAGGTATAAATATAGAAACACAAAACTCACAAATTTATATGAGCTGGCATTTTTGTCTTTTTAAAAAAATCTGAATTGTATTTCTGGCAGATGGAACAAGAGGTTACCTGCTCAATGAGGGTTAAGGCTTTTTATCAATATTGTTGGTGGAGACTTAAAAAATTTTTTTCTTGACATAATAATTTAATGTAGACAGTAGCATTAGTCTCAGGTTATTGTTTTAGTCAACAGAAATTAAAGCCAGGTGACTTTTGGGCTGGAAATCAAAGTTATTAATATTTCCTTAGGTGTTTACATATCAAAGAGATGGCCCTCAGGTCCTTGAGAAGACAGTTTTGGGTGGTAGAATATTTTACAGCTGAAGGAGGAAGAGAAAGGATGTAAACTTTCAAGTAGTCCCTTTAAAAGGGAGTTTTCGGGCATTTTTGTCTGTTACAGGGTTGCTGCGTATCATTGTTGTTATTATCAATTGTTATTTTCTGGGACAAACAGTAAATTCTTCTGGTAGCACTAAGCTTTATCAAGCAGGCATTTTAAAAGTGGGGTTGGGGGGATGATTTTTGATGGGTGTGAATTTTAAGTTCTTGTCTAAATCTAATTTATGCTTGTTAATTTTGTTAAGGGAGCTATCCAGTCTAACCATGATACACTTGTTTCCTTCTTTCAACTTGATCCTCCCATAGGTAGCAATACGATGTTTATTTAGGGTGAGAGCTCTCTAAATATCCTTTTAAACATAAAAGCTTTTTCAAATCCCAGTTCCATCATCTGGTCTTTGACAATTTAGGATCTCCAAAGGTATACGTGCTCCAAAATGTGACACAAAACCAGTAAGACTTTTATGACTCAAAACCAATCATCCATTTTATGGTTTAACCGGGGACCAAGAGTTGTCCCCAGAGAGGGTGCAGAAGACTCTGCCCTCATGATGGAAAGTCATTCCCAAAAATAGCCAAAGAGAAAGCGAGCTGAGACCCTCATGGTCACAGGCAGCAAAAATGGTGTTTGTGAAAATGGTATCTCCAGCGTTACACAAAAGTGAGGCACCTGCAATCACAGACTTGTGGACCTGTGACACTTGGGAGGCAATACGGAGATGGGACTTTTTCAGCACTAATAAGACAATGAGGAAGGACAACAAGTGCCTTGTATGAGCTGAGACACTTTATTTAGACAAATTCCCCAGATTGCTGACATAGCCAGGTGGGAAATTTTGCTAGTGTTTTTTAGGGTCCTTGACTGACAGCGAGCACCTCCAGACTCAGGCCCAACCACCTGTGCTTCCCAGTGGGCAAAAACACAGACAGAGGTGAGGCGTGGTGGCTCAAGCCTATAATCCCAGCACTTTGGGAGGCTGAGGCAGGAGGATCACTTGAGGCCAGGAGTTGGAGACCATACTGGGCAAGATAGCAAGACCCTGTCTCTAAAAAAAATTTAAAAATTACCTGGACATGGTGGTGTACATCTGTAGTCTCAGCTACATGAAGGCTGAGGCAGGATGATTGTTTGACCCTGGGAGTTTGAAGTTACAGTAGCTATGGTCGCAACACTGCGCTCCAGCCTGGGCAAGACCTTGTCTCTTTAAAAAAGAAAGAAAGAAAAAACAAAACAAAACAAACAGAGCATGCTGTTACTAGATCTAAGTCAAGTTCTCGGGACAGAAGGGAGGACTTCATCGAATTTCTTTTTTATTGGGGACCCACAACAACATTTGCCCAAAGGGTCTGTAGTCTGCTGAGAACTTTAAAGTCACCAGTCTGTGAGGCTGGCTCAAACAACAGGCTTATACACCTGTGCCAATATTCTATTCTATGATTTTCCTCCTTATGACAAACAACACAAAAGACAGAGACAAAGAGAAAACAATGGCTGTCTCCAGGAGGAAAAGGATTAATCACAAAAGTCCTCAAGCCAAAAATCACAAAAGTCGCAATACCCAAAGAATTATTTCTTACAAATGTTTTCTCCTGCCAATCTAAATTTGGAGAGGAAAAGACAAGGAAATGCTCATACTGCACTCCCTCAACCAGGCTCTCTGCAGAAATCTTGGGGGGTATGTGGGGGGATCTTTTTGACTGGGCATGGTGGCTCACACCTGTAATCCCAGCACTTTGGGAGGCTGATGCGGGAGGATCACTTGAGTCCAGAAGTTCGAGGCTGCAATGAGCTGTGATTGCACCACCGCACTCTAGCCTGGGCAACAGAGTGAGACCCTGCCTCTAAAAAAAATAAGATAAAAAAAGCAGTTTTTCAAGGGTGTACAATCTCCTACAGCATTCTATCTATTCTTTGATTAATTACCCTCAACCCATTTAGCCATTAATTTATTGAACAATGTATTAGACATCCACTTCGTTCCAAAGACTCTACTTTAGGGTTGAAAAAAACCTAGGGGTGAACCTGGCATGGTTTTTGCCCTCAAAATTCTTACCCTATGATGGGAGAGAGGGAAGATATGTTCATGATTAAGCTCTAAGTCAGAATGGTGAAAAAAATCCTTTATAGAAGTACAAAGATGGAGCATGCCTCTTACTAAATAGTTGTAAGAGCGAGCAAGAGTTACTAAAGCACTTCAGGTTAAGGGGAGGCAGAGGGTAAGGCAGGTTAGTGATAGGGTACTTGTAAAATCTCCAAAGCATGAAAAATTTTCTAATGTTTTGAAGTAGCAGAATATAAAGTTTGTAGGAGACAATGTCCAAAGAAGAGACTGAAATGGTAGTTTGAAGCCAGTCTGTGAATCCATTGAATGGAACACTTCACAGTTTAGTTGCCTCTTCTTGATTACAGAGACTTACAGAGGCATTTCAACTGGAAAGTGTTTGATCTGCTTTGTTCATTTGAGGAAACAACTTTGCTGGCTGTGAAAAATGATAAACAGCATGAGGGAGAATTTGCTGGCAAAAAACAAAACAACAACAAAAAAACTAAGTTTATAATGCAACAGTCCCATTAAAGAGTAACATGAGGTGCCCTTATATACTTTTAGTGGCAATGTATAACATTTGGAAGTAACTTGGTAGTACTTATTAATCCTTTGCAAATCTTTGCCCAAATGAGTGACAGGGTCTCACTCTGTTGCCCAGGCTGGAGTGCAGTGGCATGACCTTGGCTTACTGCAACCTCCACCTCCCAGGTTCAAGCAATTCTCATGCCTCAGCCTCCCAAGTAGCTGGGATTACAGGCATGTAATTACATGCCTGGCTAATTTTTGTATTTTTAGTAGAGATGGGGTTTCACCATGTTGGCCAGGCTTGTCTCAAACTCCTGACCTCAAGTGATCCACCCACCTTGGTCTCCCAAAGTGTTGGGATTACAGGCATGAGCCACCGTACCCAGACTACAAAAATGTATTTATGGGGATGTTCAATGCAGTAGCAGCTCATATGTCCATTCATAGAAGATGGGTTAAACTCTGACGTAGCTAAACCAGCTAACACTTTTCAACCATTAACAAAGAATGGTAGAGTGGAATGTGGTGGCACATGCCTATAGTCCTAACTACTCAGGAAGCTGAGGTAGGAGGACTCCTTAAGCCCAGGAGTTTGAGGTCAACCTGGGCAATATACAATATAGTGAGGCCCTGTAGAGATCTATAATATGTTCTGCTGTAAACATAAGTCCACAATATAAGGGCCATTTTTTTTTTTTTGAGACAGAGTTTCACACTGTCGCCCGGGCTGGAGTGTAGTGGTGCGATCGCTGCTCACTGCAACCTCCACCTCCCAGGTTCAAGCAATTCTCCTGCCTCAGCCTCCCGAGTAGCTGGGATTACAGGTACCTGCCACCATACCCAGCTAGTTTTTTTTTTTTTGTATTTTTAGTAGAGACAGGGTTTCACTATGTTGGCCAGGCTGGTCTTGAATGCCTGACCTCGTGATCCACCTGCCTCAGCCTCCCAAAGTTCTGGGATTACAGGCGTGAGCCACCGCGCCTGGCCTAAGGGCTATTTTTTAAGTTGCAAAACAAAAACAAAGTTTTAACAGTTGTCATTCTGATATGTAGAATTATTAGGAAACCTACACTATTTATTTTTTATACTTGTATATACTTTGTGGTTTTGTTGTTGTTTTGGTTTTTTGTTTGTTTGTTTGTGTGAGACAGAGTCTCACTCCGTCACTCAGGCTGGAGTGCAGTGGGGCAATCTTGGGTCACTGCAACCTCTACCTCCCAGGTTCAAGCAATTCTCAGGCCTCAGCTTCCTGAGTAGCTGGACTATAGGCACACACCACCATGCCCAAATAATTTTTATATTCTTAGTAGAGATGGAGTCTCACCATGTTGGCAACGCTAGTCTCGAACTCCTGACCTCAAACGATTTACCCACTTCAGCCTCCCAAAGTGCTGGGATCACAGGTATGAGCCACCGTGCCTGGCCTATACTTGTGTATACTTTGAATTGTTTCTTTTTTCTTTTCCTATTTTATTTTATTTTATTTTATATTTTATTTTATTTTATTTTTTGCGACAGGGTCTGGCTCTGTCACCCAGGCTGGAGTACAGTGGTGCAATCATGACTCACTGCAGCCTCAAGCTCCTGTGCTCAGGTGATCAGCCTCCTAGGTAGCTGGGACTACAGGTGACCACCATCACACCCAGCTAATTTTTGTATTTTTTCATAGAGATGAGGTTTCACCATGTTGCCCAGGCTGGTCTCAAATTCCCAGGCTCAAATGAACCTCCCACCTGGGCCTCCCAAAGTGCTGGGATTACAGGTGTGAGTCACCACATCCGGCCTGAATTGTTTCTATTATTCACATATAACTTTGTAATCTTAAAAAAAATACTTAAGACTTTAAAACAAAGATGATTAGAGCCTGGATTAAGCTAGTGTCGGCAGCCTGAGGAGGGAAGGTTTTGGATGCCATTGCCAAAGTAGATTGAAGAGGAATTGGAATTTGAGGGATGCAGGTGATTAAAGGAGAGGGGGAAGAGTCAAAGGTGACACTCACATTTCTAGCTTGGTAAATTGGTTGTTTGTTTATTCCATTAATAGAAATAGAGAAAAGAGACAGCAGAGGAGGGCTTCATTGAGGAGGATGACTTTGTTAGTTTCATTTTGGATTTAAGTCTGAGGGTCCTGAAAAGGCAGCTATATGTTTGGCTTGAACCTCTCCACTTTCCACCTTCTCAGTAATTCATTAATATTTTGGATGTCCTAGCCTGTTGATGTGTGTGTACTGGAGGTGGTGGTGGTGGGAGCTAATATGTTTAGAAGTTAACATTTCATCTGTCTTTATCCTTTTACTCTCCTTTCATTCAGACCCTACAATTATTGCTACAGGGAAGAAATGTGGCCTTGCCTGTGAAAATCTAGTTTTTGGAATTTTTTTTGCTTGTTTTCCCCCTAAAATTTAGCTCCAAAAGAGAGAAGATTCTTAACTAGTGGAAAAAATGTCTTGGTCAGAAACAGGAGAAAGAACATAGCTATCCTAGACAAAAATAATAATAATAATAATAATAATAATAATCATAAAAGCAAGGGAGGGAGGGAGAAAGGGAAAGAAAGAGAGACAGAAAGAAAAAAGAAAGAAAAGACAGGAAAGGAAAGAAAGGAGGGCTAGGCATATTGCCTCGTGTCTATAATCCCAGCACTTTGAGAGGCTGAGGCAGAAGGACTGCTTGAGCACAGGAGGTCAAGGCTGCAGTGAGCCATGTTTGTGCTGCTGCACTCTAGCATAGGTAACATAGGGAGACCCTGTTTCAAAAAAATAAAAAATAAAAAAAGGAGGAAAGGAAGAAAATTCCAGTAGAATAAAGAAAAAAGGAAAAAGAACAATATTTACAAGTACCTGCAGAGAGAAGGTGAGAAGATGAAGACCTGTTTTCTACTTTTTTGGGCAGCACTGCTAAAGAAATAAAAAAGTACCCAGAAGTCGCAGGACTCTAATAAAATGGAACATCACCTCTATTCCTGCCTGTTCTTTGGAGGAGTAGAAGGTGAGGAAATGGGGAAGTGCAGGATGAGTGATTCTGGAGAAGACATGGCTGTGCTCATGTTGGGCTGATGATGTCACTGATAACTAAAACAAAGGGCTCAGCCAGGCACCCAGAAGCCTCAGGGCCACCGCACCCTAAGGACCATGCAGGCTGAGACAGGACTCTTTTCAGTAATCCGGAAGATGGCTCCACCCTCTCTAGTCCAGGCCATACCCTGGGCCATACCCTTAGCAGTGCTACCCAAAAAAGTAAAAAACAGGTCTTCGTCTTCTCAACTTCTCTCTCCAGGTTCTTATAAACATTGTTCTTTTTCCTTTTTTCTGTATTCTGTTGGAATCTTCCTTTCTTTCTTTCTTTCCTTTTTTTTTTTTTTTTCTGAAGCAGGGTCTCCCTATTTTTTTCCATGCCATACCCTGAAAAAAATCTCTGGGGAGAGGATCCCAAAGAGACAAAGGCTAATTTTCTCACCATGCTTATAGATTAGGGGCTTTGAGAAAATGAGGGTATGTTTTTAAAGTATTTTAATAGTGGACTGATCTATTTTACCTCCTGGACCAGATGAAATGGGAACTGTTCCAATTCATGGAGCAACCAGACATACATGTTCAAACAATTATGAAAAACATACAACAGATATTTATCAACAAATACATCAGTAAACAAACTTACATGACCCTGCTTGGCCATCACTGTTTCTTTTCAACACACACACACACATTTACAAATACATATATATGTGTGTGTGTGTGTCTGTCTGTCGATATATATGTGTATATATATATATATATATATATATATATATAAATAAAATAAATAGGTAAGAGCTGCTTATAGCCCTGAATCCCCACAGAAAACCCCGTCTGTCTTTAGTTTCATGAAAGCATTGTACTTTTTCTCATTATTTTTCAGACCATCACAGACACTTCTGATCAGTGTTCCACTTAAGCTTAGCCCCAAATACACAGAGGAATTTTATACTGAAAGTTAAAGAAGCGACAGTAGTTAGATTATCTCATGCCTCCTAGATTGGCTGGCTTTGAGCACTTTTTCAAAGTGTGTACCAACTAGGGTTTGTCCACCAAGTTGCAATGGCTTGTATTTGAGTCAGCCATACGTGCTCATGGATAAAAACAATAAGAACTCTTTATTAATATAAATATACTCTGTGAAGGCAAAGATGTGCTTTAAAGGAAATTTCTGAGCATGTGAGAAGTAGATGAGTTACATGAGGTTAGGAGCATGCAGCTGTGACCCTAAATGGGGAGAATACAGCCCCAGGGAGCTGTGATGCACGGCCACTGGGAAGCTAATGAAATGGGCAGAGCCAGGACCAGTGGGGTAGAATTAAGGCAGAAGCTTCCCTCTTGTGCTGGACATTGTGCTGGTCTCTTTCCTGCCCAGCACATGCCAGGTAGGAGGCTATAATGTGATCATGGGTCATTCCATGCCACAGGAATGGATTGGCCTGAGCTGGCCTTCTTCATAATCCAGGAATAAGGAGAAGAAAGAGGTAGGACAGAAGATGGTCCTTTATGGGGGATGAGGGGGATGGAGGGGGGAAGCTTCTAGAGGAATTGGAATTTTCACAGAAAGACATTTCTGCTTAGATACTAATACAGACGTACATATTTGGACAATATACATGTAGAATAAAAATTATTTGAATTACTTCAACAATTATGCCTACTTTTCAAAAGGCTTTGACATCAGCTATATAATTTAGCCATTTGGCAATATTAATCATAACTTACTAAACTAAATTTGACATTGGGATAACAGAATGGTAAAATGCAAACTGAAATCATAGCTTTATGATCACATGAATTTCCTTCAACAGCTGTTCACTGTTATTACTACTTATACCTTTGTTAGCATTCCAAGAGGATCTGATAATCATAGCTAGCATTGATTGAGCAATTATTATATACCAGACATTCTTCTAAGTGCCATTATCTCATTTACCCTACATAACAACCTTATATGGTAAGTATCTTTTCCTAGTGCCTTTTATTGATGACATGAATGAGGCACAGAAAAAATAGGTAACTTGTTCAAGTCCACACAGCTAGTTAGTGGAAGAGCAGGAATTGAATCCAGGCAGGGTGGTTTCAATACTTCAGTCTTAGACATAATACCATATTGCCTTCCTGGTACAATGGATGCTTTACGTAGGAGGTGTTATAGGGAGAAATTCCCACATTTTCCTTTTTATACTTGTATATTGTTTGAATTTGTTTATAATAAGGATACATCTCTTTTGTAACTTGAAAACCACAAAGAAGAAATAGAACAATAACCCCATTCCTTTAAAAATAGCATTGCAGTAGCTATTTCAGGTAGTGAGATATCAAACTGGTTTTAACTTTTTTGTTTATTTGTTTTAGTTTTAAGAATATCCAAACAAAGACGGATACATGTGAAAACTTGGGACAGTAAAATTGTGACCTTTCTATAAAGACAAAGAGGTAGGAATCAAGCCAAAGTGAGATTAGGATAATGTCAGGTCTTAGTACTCTATTCTGCATAATAGTTTATTTTAGGTAATTCTCTATATTGGTTGGCTTGCTGAAGCTGGTGTGTGTGTGTGTGTGTGTGTATGCGTGTGTGCGTGTGTGTGTGTGTGTGTGTATAAAAAATCTTTTTAGTCGTTCTTTTTTATTTGTGCTTCTCAACATGCTTAAGCAAGTGATATCTTTCCATATAAGGGGCAAAAGAATTTGGGGCTGTGAGGCAGGCTGACAAAGAGGAAATATATCCTGTCTAAGCAAGCAAGAAAAAGGGAAAGGAGTGAAAATTCTTGCAACATTTAGCTCTTCCGAAAAAAAAAAAAAAGTGGTCATGATTTCTCCTATAGTAGTTGATTTGTCACTTTACACAAAAGGCCTAGAAACATATCCATTATAGATATGCCTCCTTGGGGCTCAGCCTCTATCTGTCAAGTAGGGGTAATGGGTCAATGGAATTGATTATGTGATCTATAAACTTTGTTCCAGCTTTACCATATTGTGAATTTTGAGGTTTGGTCAATGAATATGCAAATCCAACCAGAAGTATCATTGGATACAAAAGTATCCGTATCATTTTTGAGAATAAAATTTCCAACAGCATTTTTATATATATCAGTGAAGATCTGTGTCACAAAACAAAACTTTATGAAATAGGAAATAATCTGGCTGATCTTTGACAGTACAAAATTTGACATTCCAAGTCAAATTTTATGTTTAGGTAGAATAGGGAAGTATTGGTTTTGCAGTTTTACCATATCAACACATATAATATTTCTGCATAGAAAAACGGACCATCTAAATGGGAAAGGGGAGAGCCAACTAGTGGGTAAAATGCTGTAACAGTATTTTAATGCTCAAGGCCCAATTATGACTTGAAGATGTTGTTGTACTGATTAGCAATACTAACTGAAAATTTTTCTAACAGGTTCATAACCTAAGTATTTTCCAGCTATATACTGTTGGTCTCAGGGATTGGCAAAGCTGAATCAGAACACTTCTTTGCCAAGACTTGTCTGCAAATTCTTAACCTTTTTTTGTTTGCCAAGAACAAAGAAAAATTGTTGTAAACTTAGCTGCTGCTGTAACATATGAGCAGTCTTTTCCGAAAATGCAAATTAGACAAACAAGAATCATTACATCATTTGCAGAAATGCAGTTACATTTGGTTTCTGCTATTGTGTGTGTATATATATATATGTATATATATTACTTTCATATCTTACTTGATACCTTTTGTAGTGCTTTACCATTTTCAAAGCACTTGCATATGTGTCGTATTATTTGATCTTTTCTGAGATCCAAAGTTTTTAACATGCTTCATGCTTGAAAACTTTGATACTTCAATTTATATGATGCATGTAACATACAACAAATGTTTTGATTATGGTTGTATGGAAAATTCTTATTATATCCCCAAATATAGGTTACACATTTTGGCAAAGTAAGCAGTTATTGATTTTTATTGCCACATGAACTGGATTTTCAAATATTACCAAATGCATGTGTTTTTGTTTTTGTTTTTAATACAAAAACATCATCTAATGGATAGTGATTTATGCCAGTATGTAGGAAATAAGCAAGTATTTTGGGTCAGGTGGATTACTGCTGAAGCTTTGATTAGGCTTGAAAATTTGATACACTGGAAAGCTAACTGTTACCCTATAGATTACTAACAAACTCATTGCTTCAAATAAAACTGTTATTGATTGTTCAGATTAAAAAAATAATGTCGACTTTTGTTTTAGATTCAGGGGGTACATGTGTAGGTTTGTTACACAAATATATTGCATAATGCTGAGGTTTGGGGTATGAATGGTCCCATCACCCAGGTAATGCAAGCAACATGATTTTATTCTTTTTTATGACTGTGTAGTATTCCATGGTGTATACATATCACATTTTCTTTATCCAATCCACTGTTTATGGGCACATAGGTTGAGTCCATGTCTGCTATTGTGAATAGTGCTGCAATGAACACGTAAGTGTGTGTGTCTTTTTGGTAGAATGATTTATTTTCCTTTGGATATATACTTAGTAATGGAATTGCTGTGTTGAATAGTAGTTTTAAGTTCTTTGAGAAATTTCCAAACTGCTTTTCACAGTGGCTGAACTAATTTAGATTCCCCTCAACAGTGTATAAGCATTCCCTTTTCTCCACAGCCTCGCCAGCATCTATTATTTTTTGACTTCTTTTCTGACTGGTGTGAGGTGGTATCTCTTTGTGGTTTTGAATTGCATTTCTTTGATGATTAGTGATGTTGAGAATTTTTTTCATACGTTTGGTAGCTGCTTGTATGTCTTCTTTTGAGAAGAAGTGTCTGTTCATGTCCTTTGCCCAGTTTTTTTGTTTTGTTTTGTTTTGAGACAGGGTCTCGCTCTGTTTCCCAGACCAGAGTGCAGTGGTGTGATCAGCTCACTGCAGCCTCAAATTCCTGGCTGAAGCAATCCTTTCACCTCAGCCCCCAAATAGCTGGAACTACATATGTGTGCCAACACACCCAGCTCATTAAAAAAAATTGTAGAAACAAGGACACAGTATGTTGCCTGGGCTGGTCTCAAACTTCTGAGCTCAATGATCCTCCCACCTTAGCCTCCAGAAGTGTTGGGATTACAGGCATAAGCCACTATGCTCAGGCCTTTGCTCACTTTTTAATGGGGTTATTTGTTTTTTGTTTATTGATTTAAGTTCTTTATAGAATCTTGATATTAGACCTTTGCCCACTGCTTAGTTTGCAAATATTTTCTCCCATTCTGTAGGTTGTCTGTGTACTCTGTCAATTGTTTCTTTTCCTGTGCAGAAGCTCTTCAGTGTAATTAGGTCCCACTTGTCAATTTTGTTTTTGTTGCAATTGCTTTTGAGGACTTAGCCATAAATTATTTGCCAAGGCCAATGTACAGAATGGTATTTCCTGGGTTTTCTTCTAGGATTTTAAAAGACTGGGATCATATGTTTAAATATTTAATTCATCTTAATTTTTGTATATGGTGAAAGGCAGCAGTCCAATTTTTCTTCTGCATATGGCTAGCTAATTATCCCAATACCATTTATTGAATAAGGAGTCATTTCCCCATTGCTTATTTTTGTCGACTTTGTCAAAGATCCGATGGCTGTAGGTGTGCAGCTTTATTTCTGGGTTCTTTATTCTGTTCCATTGGTCTATGTGTCTGTTTTTGTATCATTACCATGCTGTTTTTGTATCATTACCATGCTGTTTTTGTTACTGTAGCCTTATAGTATAGTTTGAAGTTCAGTGATATGATGCCTCTGGCTTTGTTCTTTTTGCTTAGGATTGCTTTAGTTATTCAGGCTCCCTTTTGGATCCATATGAATTTTAGAATAGCTTTTCTAATTCTGTGAAAAATGATGTTGGTAGTTTGGTAAGAACAGCATTGAGTCTATAGATTGCTTTGGGAAATACGGCCATTTTAATGATATTAATTCTTCCAATCCATGAACATGGAATGTTTTTCCATTTGCTTGTGTCATCTGTTTGTTTCTTTCAGCAATGTTTTATAGTTCTCTTTGTAGGTATCTTCCATCTCCTTGCTTAGATTTATTCCTAGGAATTTTAACTTTTGTGTGGCTATTATAAATGGCATTGCATTCTTGATTTGGCTCTCAGCTTGCTGACTGTTCAGATTATTGTTTTATAAAAGCCACAAAAATGTTCCATTAGCTAAAAGTCACGTTTCTTAGTTAATAGAAGTCATAGTACATAAGAAGGTAAGAGTGTCAAATTATTACTAGTTGTGAATGAATTATTACTAGTTGTGAAAGAATAGCAATTCATGGTTTTGTTTGGTCAGCAACTACTGCACCCTAGTGATGATGAATTCTCTAGCAGATTGGAAAGATACTTAGGGAGGGAAAAAAGATGACTTTATTAAGGATCTCTGGAAATAGGAAAATATTTAAGAAATTCTATAAGTAAAAATGAGTAATTTTATGTCAGAATAAAATAAAATTTGGCTGAATTTATAGTTCTCCATCTGCCTGCTTGCACCTATTTGGGGCTTATTTTACCTTTGTGGTTACCCTGAGAAGCATGGTATGGCTGGAGCCTAAGTGAGTTCTTTGTTTTCCAACCACATTGTCCTCTTTTCTTTTTATAAAATACATCAAATTCCTTGCAGGTTTGTCTGTCTGGAGTACTTACCCACCTTCTTTACTTAGTAAAGTACTACTTCTTTTTTAGGTGTCCATTTAAGTTCAAATCCTTGAAGAACTTTTATTTTGTAATAAAGATTAGATTCATATCTCCTGTTAAACACTCTTATAGTATTCAGGATATACCTTCTAAGTGGTACATGTGGGGCGGCCAGCAGAAGAAGATTTTGTATTAGGTATCACATTTGAGAGGAAGGAGGCCCCGTGGAAAAAGCTTCATCAAAAGAAAACAAAAGAGGTGTTTATATGTTTCTCAAAAGGCATGTATCTATGTGTTGGTGAAAACTGCCTTAATAAGTATTACATGTCTAATGTGTGTATACTAACATGCAGCTCTACGAAATATACAAAAAAGTTAAGCATATAGCCTATGCTTTTGAAAGCTTGAGATATATTTGGGGAAGTAACTATGAAGGGATGTCCCATGTAGCCTCATATGGAGCATAAAATAATGAAATGCTATTTATTATATGTCATGTATGGGACTGGCCTGTATGGGGTCATTTGAGTGCTAAGACAAGATTTCTTTAATTTGCAGTACTTTCCCACAATATTCATATGAGTTAATACATTATACTTAGGAAATTGCCCCTAAGATAATTAAATTAAAAATATATTACCATATTAACATGTAAACACAAATTGGTTTAAATGTTCTCTAGCAAAGATCAAATCTAGGACAGAGAAACAGGAGAAGAAAACAGGAAAATGGGGCTCAGAGCAGGGGAATGCTGTGTTGTTTAAAAGCCCTGGATGTCAAGATCTAAGGAAAAGATAAAAAAAATAGAACCACCACCAAATATAAATATTTATTTCCATATCTCACAATTTTTTCCTAGGCCATTGCTGGTGACAGACTTTCCAGTCCTTTTCAGAACTTACTCATCACATCCTTTTCATGCTTGTTATTTTGATCCTGAACATCCTTGCAATTCAAAGAGCATACAGAGGCAGAGTGAAATTAGCATAATGTCACCTATTGCTATGATGCTCGTTACCTCTACCTCCAGAACATGCCAAGGAGGCTTCCAGGAGCCCCAGAAACACAGAACAGCAAATCTTCAAAAGCCCAGTGCCCAGAGCAGATAGAGAAGAAAATTCTATTTTGAAATCCATAAAGAATCTCATAATTCCTTGCAATATCTAGTCCCAATTGTGTGGGTGACAAACTGACCTATGGCAGAATTAGGAATGTGAATAGGAATGAGGCTTGGAGTTCCCCATTCCTGCTGCCCTAACTCCCACTGGAATGTAATTTGTACAAAGAGTGACGACATGTGAAGATGTAAAAAAGAGGACTAGAGATGTCCTCCTGAGCTGCACAAGGAAGAAAGCTTTTTATGACCATCCAATTCTGCAAAGGACCTAGTTTCCCAGTGCTTATTACCATAAGGATGCAGAAAGAAAAAAGTTCACAGACATAAGATTTCATGTGAAAACCAAGAAAAAAAGGTTACTGTATTTTTTAAAGGAATAGCATTTGATTTGGTGTAATGGCAGGATAAAGAAATGAGAAATAACAGTGGGGAAAAAAGTTGACTACAAAGATGTGAATAAGATCAGATGGCATAGTAATTTTATTCGTAATTAAAAATCTGGTTCAGTTAATGGAGAGATTTAATTTCAGGAGCATTAACTAGTAGACTACTGGATACAATGTACATGTTTAAATAAATCATAAATAAGTTTCTCCTAAGAGCTACTTTAATGTTGTAGCATTCTAACTAATGAGTAGTATGACAAAATTACGTTGTTATTATAATAGCAATGTATCAGTTTTTCTGTTGATGAAATTTCTTAGGGTTAGAATTTTTTTTTACCAGATATGAAATAGACTTACACTTAAATACTGTTGAAAGTTGCCATATAATGTGGCTATTATCTTGGAGTTAATTAAAGTTAATTTAGTTTTGAGCATTATTAAGCTCTTTAAGAAAACTGGAAGACATCAAATTCTTATAAAGGAAAGCAGGACCTATTTGTTAAAACAAAAAGAAATAGCTCTGTATTCAAGAGTAGTTTTCTCAATGGATACTTTGCCCGTAAACATTAAAACTCACTAACACTTAAAATAAATAGATTTGAATGGATGGCTCTTACCACAAGTTAAAGGTTGTTATTTCATTAAGCTAAATGTAGTACGTATAACTGATTTTTTTTTTTGAGGGAGGAGGCATTACCTTGGAGAAGGAAATGGCTTCAGATAACATCTATGAAAATAATAATAATAATAATAATGAGATTATACGCAAGATTTGAAACATTTTCAGAGTTGGATAGAAATTTACACAAACCAGATTTCCCCTGGGAGATCCTAAGATAAACTAACAATAATGTCACACACATATCCTGTTATTTTATTTACTAAATTCTAAATTAAATTTCTGCTCTGGTGCTATGAAGGTCACCCAGCGTACTCTTTTAGATAATACAGGAGATTCCAGGATTGAACCAAAACCAAGCTAAGCAGAATATTTTCCTTCCGAGAGATTTGAAATTTGTGATAAACACGTTTGATTTTTTGTGTGACATTATTTGGTAAAAGTAACTTTTTCAGAAGCTCCCCCAAATCTCTATACCCTTCTTTGTGCCACCGTGTTTTCTTGTGTATTGGAGGTGGATAAGCAAACTGCAATTGGGATAGATTTTCACCTAAATTTCTCACATTTTCATAAGTGTTCTGTTCCTCTTATTTACTGCTTGCAATCCACATGTGTATACTGCACACACACTCACACACATATACACACACATACCCTCATATTCTAAAGAATAAAAACACAGGCACTGTAATTGCATATGTGTATACTTAGGGGGTTAAAGCCTGGCTTCACCACTCAGTGCTGGTGTGAACTTGGAGAGCTTACTTAGCTCAGGTCCTTTTGTTTTCTTCTGTTGTTTGTTTTTGAGACAGGGTCTCACTCTGTTGCCCAGGCTAGAGTGCAGTGGCTCAGATTTCAGCTCACTGCAGCCTCCAAATTCCGGGCTTAAGTAATACTCCCACTTCTGCCTGTAGCTGGTACCACAGGCACGTGCCACCTTGTCCAGCTACTTTTTTTTTTTTTTTGGTAGAAACAGGGTCTTGCCATGTTGCCCAGGCTGGTCTCGAACTCCTGGGCTCAAGGGATCCACCCGCCTCGGCTTCTCAAAGAGCTGGGATTACAGGCATGAGCCACTGCATCCAGCCTAGCCCAGGTTCTTTACCTGTACAATGGGGATAAGAGTACTGATATCACAGGGTGGTTGTGAAATTAAAATGAGATATGTAGAGATATGTAAAGCTCTTACTAAAGTGCCAGCAATATAGGAAAGAACAACAAATGACATTTACTCTTTTTATGTTGTCTAAAGTCATATGAGTATATAGTGAAGTTTTCAGCATAGGCTCTGTGTGAGAATACAGTAGTCCCCCCTTCTTTACAGTTTTGCTTTTGGCAGTTTCAGTTATCTGCAATCAACTGCAGTCTGAAAATATTAGATAAAAAATCCCAGAAATAAACAATTTCTAAGTTTTAACTTGTGCACTATTCTGAGTAGAGTGAAATCTCGCCCATCCTGTTCTGTCCCTCTGGGGACATGAATCCTCTCTTTGTCCAGGGGATCTATGCTGTCTACACTCCCCACCCTTTAGTCACTTAGTAACCATCTTGATGATCAGATTAACTGTCACAATGTAGCAGTGCCTGTGTTTAAGCAACCCTTCATGTAATCATAGCCCCAAAGTACAAGAGTAGTGACATCAACATGTTATTATTATTATTGTTCTTTTTTATTATTAAGTATTGTTGCTAATCTCTTACTGTGACTAATTTATAAACTAAACTTGATCATAGGTATGCACGTATAGGTAAAAAATAGTATATATAGGGTTTGGTACTATCCATGGTTTCTGGCATCCACTGGGGATCTTGGAACATATTCCTTGTGGATAACGGGGACCACTGTAGAGGCAAATGGATATAGAATATCCTTTAGGTTTATTTTTTTGTCTGTCTTTCCCTAAAGCAATAAATATAAAGAAAATCTAAATAGTTGGTTTTGACAACACATAGGTGTATTATATTCTGCCTTTTTAGTGCTCAGTATTCCAATATTTCATTTTGTAGATGTGAAAATTAAGGTAATCAAGGGTGGAAATGCTTATTGGAGATCATGGAACTGGCTCGTGATGCAACAGTCATGGAGTGCTGGTTTAACCGAGTTGAATACAACACGAATGCCCCCATGAAAAGCAATGAATACAGAAGTGCTCAAAAGAGTTTACCTAAGAAAATAAATAGGAAGAATAAAACTCAAAGACAGAGAAGGTATATTAATATTCATTATCACTGAAGAGAAGTAAACTTAATTTTTTAATATTATAAGTTAATGACCTCAAGCAAAGTCAGATATTGAAAGGTGATCGTTTCAAAGATTGAAACTGAGTGAAAATATTTCAGGAAAAGAGAGTTTTAGCTATTCTTAAAGAAAGAGAAAAAAGCAGATTCAAGGATAGCTTTTTGAAGAAGATACAGCTTGAAATGGCTTCTTTTACTCCCTCAGTTAAAAGTGGTAATGGATGTGCCTAACTAAAATTCCCACAGGAAAAACTTCTTTAGTTCACCTCTCTCTTCCTGCTTTTTTTAGTTGATTTCCTATGTAAATATGAGAGCTCTTAATAAAAATATGACAGAAAGTTGGAAAGAGTTTTCCTGAAATAAATACCAGATGAGTATAGTGGTTACTTGAATTATGTGCAGAAAAGAAGATGATACTCTACAAGCTCGGCTTTTCGGCGACAAATCTGAAGTCCATCTCCATTGTGAGTATTTCTTGTGTGGCTTGGACTTCCTCCATTCCAGAGAAAGAATCAGTCCTTTGGGAATCCATGAAGTGTGTCCTACTGTGCCAGGCCTCAGCCACTAACACAGGTCCCTAGAGAGCCACGCTGTCTTGCTCCATGACCTCCAATGAGAACCCCTTCTTACTGCCCTTTCATTGATTAAAACGAGACATTTGCTGGGACCTCATTGTGGGCTAAGCACATTGCAGTCAGTTTCCACATAATGTTGCTCATTGGATCATTATTTTAATTTTTCTCTCTTTACCTCCCCCACAGCTGTCTTTCCTTATCTGCAATGTTGCATGCACAATATTTACTTTCAGCAAATGATGTAAATCACCCTTGAATGAAAAGACTGAAGGTGCCTCACCTTTCTTCTTCCTGTCCTATTACTGTGTTCTCATGGCCTTGGATTTTCTCTGGATAACCACGTATCCTAGTTCATGCTTTTGTGTCATAAGGAAAAGTTGGCACTCCCTTTTGAAAAGCTAAACTTCCCTTCCTGCTATTCATCCTGACATTTCTGCCCTTTATTAGGAACTTGATTCAACAATTTTCTCTTCTCTTATATCTTCAATTTCTCCCTTTCTTGTTTCTTTCCTTTAGGCTTAAAAATGTCTTTAACATCCTTAGGTCTTTCCTATTGTTAAAAACAAGCAAACTCAGAATCCTTTTCTCAAACTTAATACTTTGTTGAGTTGGCACCCAATTTGCCTTTTTTTTTTTTTTTGAGACAGGGTCTGGCTTTGTCACCTAGGCTGGACTGCAGTGGTGCCATCATAGCTCACTGCAGCCTCAAACTCCTGGGCTCAGGTGATCCTCCCACCTAGCCTGAGTAGCTAGGACTATAGGTGCCCACCACCACATCTGGCTAATTTTTGAATTTTTCATAGATATGGAGTTTCAATATGTTGTCCAGGCTGGTCTTGATCTCCTGTGCTAAAACGATCCTCCACCCTCAGCCTCCCAAAGAAGTGCTAGGATTACAGGCATGAGTCCACGCCCAGCCCTTAATTTGTCTATTTTTATTGTTAAGTTTCTCAAAGAAATGCTCAATGCCTGGGTCAAGGACCTCTACAGATCTTGAGTCTCCTTAGGACATCCCTTTCCAACTACTCATCTATTTGATGCCAGATTTTCTACATGTACTTCAACCAAAACAACATATTGCAACAGATTGAATGCAGAAGCAGATATGAGAATCTGCTGCCTTCTATGAAGCAAGACATTAAAGAGATTTGCAAAAATGTAAACCAGTGCTCTCTTCTTTTCAAAATTATTTTTATTAGGGAAAATATATTTTTCATAAAAACTAGGTTATTTATATTACTATTTAATGGAGTTAGCGTTGCTATTTTTAAAAGAGTTTATTTAAAAAGTCTTAACTTCTTTAGTGGTAATTTCTAGTACGGTAAACACTGGTAGATTTAACCCACAGAATCAGAAGCTCTTTGGGGGTCCTCAGTAATTTTAATAGTGAAAAGGAGTTTTAAAATAAAAGTAGTTGACACTTTATGAGGCTGAGGCAGGTGGATTGCTTGAGGTCAGGAGTTCAAGACCAGCCTGACCAACATGGTGAAACCCCGCCTCTACTAAAAACACAAAAATTAGTTGGGCATGGTGGCACGTGCCTGTAATCCCAGCTACTTGAGAGGCTGAGGCAGGAGAATCACTTGAACCTAGGAGGCAGAAGTGAGCGAGATCATGCCACTGCACTCCAGCCTGGGAGACAGAGTGAGGCTCTGTCTCTGAATAACTAACTAACTAACTAACTAAATAAATAAATAAAAATAGGAGTTGCAAACAGTAGGTCTATATCCGTGATTGCTTTTCCTCACCACTGTTGCCTCCTTTTTTTAAATCTCTGACCAAAGAACTGGCTCCACTTGGTGTCCTGTATCAGATTTCTTGGGCCGGCCATGGTGGCTCATTCCTGTAATTCCAGCACTTTGAGAGGCTGAGGCAGGAGGATTGTTTGAGCTCAGGAGTTCAAGACCAGCCCGGGCAACATGGCGAAACTCTGTTTCTATAAAAAACACAAAAATTAGCTCAGTGTGGTGGCATGTGCCTGTAGTCCCAGATACTTGAGAGGCTGAGGTGGGAGGATTGCTTGAGCCTAGAGGGTGGAGGTTGCAGTATGCCAGACCTTCTAGATACAAGCAAGCCTCTTACCTTAGCTTCCTGAGTGGCTGTGATTTCCCTAGTCTTTTATCCTCCCTAGTTGCTAAGCAATGTTTAACAGTGCCTACCTCTCATTTCTTCTTGATATTCTTTCCTTCTACGGCAACAAATTCCCCTGATTTCTTCCCAACCTTCCTGACTACCCATCTTTTTCTCTCTTGGTTCCTTTTTCCTGGGACTGTATTTTCCTCTTAGCTGACTCAGTATGCTTTTCCTTAAAGATTTTTTTTTTCTATTGCCCTTCCAAAATTTTTTCTAGATCCAAAGCCTTTCTCACAGTGTCAAGAAAAAAACATTCCAGTTGCCAGATGAACAGCCTGTTTCAGTATCATGGGTCTAAAACCAGACACCGGTTTTTCCTCCAGCAATTCTTCTGGTTAACTTGATGCCTCTGTCTATCATGGAAACCGAATTTCCTAAGTCATGCGGATTTAAAATGCTAGAAAATTTCTTACTCCTGTCACCACTACATCTAATGAATCAGATGTTCTGTTTGTTCTTGTGTCATCCCAGTCCACTCCCTGACAAAGCATATCTGCAAGCTTATCATCATAAACCTAGGCTATTTCAATGCTCACGTATTAACCGCTCATCACATGAATAGAATTTCATTTGCCTGATTTACCCTACACAGCCCTTCAAATTTATCAACGAAATCACTGGTTTTCAACTTTTATTTTTAAGTAGGAAAAGCTTTTCCGTTAAGTTTTTGCAAACAAATATAATGCAATCCAATATTTGCCCTCCAGAGCTATGCCGATTTACCGCTGAAACCTTGAGCAAAGAAATACTCAAAGCTTCTTCTAGGTTGTGTATGTATCACAACAGAGGAAGGAAATTATGAGATGGGCACTTGGGAGACTGTTTTCTTGGTTGCCCTCTCCTTGTGAAAGGTAGGGCTACAAGCCCCCATTTGAGCCAAAGCTAAGGAGTCCGGTGCCCATGAAAAAGACGCAAGCAATGCTGTCCTCCTTGATGGAGGCTGCAGAGGCCAGAACCACACCTGCTCAGCCTGGCCCTGAGGCTGCCCCTGTGGCACTGCTGAAAGTCAGTCTTTTGTCACAAGGAAGGCAGTTTTTCTAGACAAGATTATTCTCATCTTAAGCATGAGGTAGGGGTGTGTGTGTGTGTGTGTGTGTGTGTGTGTGTGTGTGTAGTGTCTAAGTCTACTTGCCTGCTTTCTGGGAACTGGTAAGAGATAGGAAGATAGAAGTCATCATCATTCCAAATGTAGGCTTTCACTTAATTTCTCTATTTTCAGTCTGAGACCACACATTTACACGTCTCTCAGCCTGCATCCCCAAGCTCAAAATATTTCTGCTTTAATCTCTTCAGAGACTAAACCTCCTGTCCCCCACTACATGGAGAAGGCTTGGTTACCTGTTATTCAAGGTGTTGCCTGGATCTGTGTATATACTTTAATTCATTCCCTCTGTTTTCAGCACCAACACCCGCCCCCTTTCCTCCTAGCTTCCTTGGTACTTGGTGCCTCCAATTTTTGAGGCTTTCTATAATTACTTAGCACAAATCAACTTTCTTGTTGATTTTCTTCTTTATAGGAGCATAGATTTCAGCATTTGTGACTTTGACAAGTCAGTTGTTACAAATTCATCAGCTGCCCATCTGATAAAATTTTAATGTCTTTTCTACTCTATCTCTTCTAGCTTTTCTTTTCTTGTGTGTCGATACCCATTTTATTTCTTTACTTACCCTCATTTTAGTGGCATTTCAAAAGGCGTACTAGTTACCTATTGCTATATAACAAATTACCATAAACTTAGTTGCTTAAAACAATGCACATTTATTCTCTTAGAGTTTCTGTGGGCCAAGGTACTGGGTGTAGCTCAGCTTGGCCCCCTACTTTAGAGTCTCTCACAAGGCTGCAGTGAGGTGCTGGCCAAGACTGGGATCTCATGGGAAGGCTCAAAAGGAAAAGCATCTGCTTGTATGCTCCTGGAGTTACAGGCAGGTTTTAGTTCCTGATGAGCTGATGAACTGACAGTCTTGTTCTTTAGTGACTCTGGGCCAGAGGTCACCCTCATCCCTTGCCACATGGCTCTCTCTCTATAGCAGTTTGTTTAATCAAAGCTAGCAATGGTGAGAATCTGCCAACAAAATAGAAGTCACTATTTTGTGTGACATAATCACAGAAATGACATCTCATCATGTTTGCCACATTCTATTGGCTAAAAGCAAGTCACCAGGCCCGCCCATACTCAAAGTGAGGAGATTATACAAGGCGTAAATACCAAGAGGCAGATTAGAGGCTATTTTAGTCTGTTGATATAGGAGGCCAAGGTGATAAACACATGGGTCCAAGTCTCTCTCTAAAACTGGAGTCCCCTCTCTCTCACTTCCATCAAGCTTACAGTCCACTTCTCCTGTCAAGGTCAAGTAGTGACCTCCATCTTGCACAATCCAGTGAACTATCCCAAGTGATCATCATACTCAAACAAACAACCAGTAGCAACTGACATATTCTCTTCCTGAGGCATTTTATTTCTTTGGATTTGGGGATCCCTCACCTCCTTGTCTTTTCCCTTCATCTCTTGTCTCTGACTCACAGGCTCCTTTGTTCATTCTCATTTTTCTTCCTTTTGGAGGGCTAAATGCTAGAGGTCTACAGGGCTCCATTTGTAGCCCTTCACTCTTCTGTAATTGTACCTAAGAAATCTAGTCTCATGACTTCATAGTCCATGTATATATTGATGACTCTTACATTTATATCTCCAGCTCCAACCTTTCCCCTATGCCCCAGATAGTACCCAATTGGCATCTGTACTTGGACTCAAAGACATTGCAAACTTAATTTCTCAAAGAATTAAAAATAGAACTACCATTCGATCCAGCAATCCCACTACTTGGCATCTACTCAAAGGAAAAGAAATCATTATATCAAAAAGATACCCCCACTTATATGTTTATTGCAGCACTACTCACAAAGGGCAAAAACATGGAATCAACCTAAGTGTCCATCAATGGATTGGATAAAGAAAACGTAATATATATACATACACATACAACACACACAGACACACACCGTGGAATACTACTAAGCCATAAAAAATAAAATCATGTCTTTTGCAGCAACATGGATGGAACTGGAGGCCATTATCTTAAGTGAGATAACCCAGAAACAGAAAGTCAAATATTACATGTTCTCTACTTATAAGTGGGAGCTAAATATGTGTACCATGGATATAGAAATTGGAATAATAGACATTGGAGACTCATAAAGTTGGGAGGGTGGGAAGGGTTCAAGGGATGAGAAATTACTTAATGGGTCAATATACACTAAAAGCTCAGATTTCATCGCTATTCAGTATATCAGTATAACAACAAAACTGCACTTGTACCTTCTAAATCTATACAAATAAAAGCTAAAAAATGAAAACAAATTAGACATCTCAAATGACAACTTAATGCAGAACTCTTGATTTCCTCATCCTTCCCTGACCTTTACCTAAAAACACACTCTGCCCAAACTGATGCCCATTTCAATAAATGTCACTACCTTCCACCCAGTTGCTTAGGTGGAAATCCAGGCATTTTCTTTGTTCCTCTTCTTTTTTTCACACCCCACATACACTTCTCACTCAGCATATCCTGACAGCGCCACCTTCAGAATATGTCCATTATCCAACCGCTTCTCCCCAGTTCTCCTGCAATCACCCAGGCGTGGTCATGGTTGTCTCTTGCCTCCCCTTGACTGGTACATGTGCCGTTCCCCTTTGCATCAAGCTTACATCTGCTCCAGGATGTTTATATTTGCAGTTCTCTCCACCTGTAATTCTTATCCTTCTGATTTGCATGTAACTCACTCCTTTTTATCATCCAGGTCTCTCCTTAAATACCACCTCTTTGGAAAGCCTTCCTTGATCACTCTGTGTAAAATAGCCAAGCCTCCGTTATTCACTATCTTCTTTTGCTCTTTTATTTTTCATATATGACTACGTGAAAGTACTGTCTGTTGTTATATGTCTAGTTACTTGTTATGTGAGTATAAGCTTAATCAAGGTGATGCTTTATTGCACTTAGCGCTGTTTCCCTGCAATCCAGTACAAAGCCCAGTATGCAAGTTATAGGCATGTGGTAAGTGTTGGATATGTGCACCAGTTGTTGGACAGGATTGAACTTGCGAGGTCAGCTTTCTCAGGTGACCTCAAAGGCAAGCATCTAGTTTATTGAGTAGTACAACAATAGGTATGTTGCATGTACATATATGTATAACAGAAGTTTATTTTTAAGCCTGAATTAGTGATAGCAACTCTGTTCATGAGTGATTATGTGGTTCTTTTTCATCTTTACTCTTTCTCAGAGAAATTCTTCTCTTCTTCCCACATTGTTTGACTGCTTAGAGTAGATAATAGAGGAGTGGTAAGATGTCTGAGTATATAATGTAAGGGGGTTTGGTTCTTGTCATATATAGAATACATATAGGTCCTATTATAAACAACATATGGTTCTTCTCATATATAGAATACATACAGGTCCTATTAAAAACAACATATTGTAGCTTTAATTCAACACACGACTGGTTCTTGTATAAAGTTTCACTGAGATCTTTATTGTGGAGAATTGCATGACTATTCCAGTCCTGGACTCAATTTGAATAAAAACATAGGAACCAAATTCCTCCACTAAATAACTGATTGATACTTAAATTTGACAACGATAGCTTTATAGAATAGTCCAGAACATATACAGTCGTACCTCACTTAACAATGTGGCTACGTTCTGAGAAATGTGTCATTAGGCAATTCCCGTCATTGTGTGAACATCATAGGGTATATTTACACAAACCTAGATGGTATAGTTCACTACACACCTAGGCTATGTGGTACAGCCTATTGCTCCTTGACTGCAAATCCATACAGCCTGCTACTATACTGAACACTGTAGGCAATTGTAACACAAAGGTATTTATGCATCTAAACATATCTAAACATAGAAAAGGTACAGAAAAATGCAGTATAGAAAATAAAATATGGTACACCTATGTAGAGCACTTCTCACGAATGGAGCTTGCAGGACTGGAAGTTGCTCTGGGTGTCAGTGAGTGAGTGGTAAGTGACCGTGAAGGCCCAGGACATTACTGTATACGGCTATAGACTTTATAAACATTCTTCACATAGGCTGCACTAAATATGTATTAACAATTTTTCTTTCTTCCAAAATTAACCTAATTACTATATCTTTTCACTTTATAAACTTGTATTTTTTAAACCTTTTGACTTTTGTTATACTTACTTTAAAACACAGACACATTGTACAGCTGTGCAAAAATATTCTTTCTTCATATTCTTATTCTATAAGCTTTTTCTGTTTTAAAGTTATTATTAATTATTATTATTTTACTTTTTAAACATTTTTGTTAAAAGCACACATTAAACACACACACACATTATCCTAGGCCTACACAGGATCAGGATAATCAATATCACTGTCCTCCACCTCCACATCATGTCCCATTGGAAAAAGTCCAGGGACAGTAACACACACGGAGCTGTCACTTTCTGTGATAACAATACTTTCTTCTGGATACCTCCTGAAGGAACTGCCTGAGGCTGTTTTACAGTTAACTTTTTTTCAGATAAGTAGAAGGAGTGCACTTAAAAGAACAATAAAAAGGATAGTAAATACATAGACCAGTAACATAGTCATTTAGTGTCATTATCAAGTATTATGTACTGTGCATAATTGCACGGACTAGCCCTTTATACCACTGGCAGGACAGTAGGTTTGTTTACACCAGCAACACCACAAACACGAGTAATGTGTTGTGCTACAATGTCACTAGGTGATAGGAATTTTTTAGCTCCATTATAATCCTTTTTTTTTTCTTTTTTTTGAGGCGGAGTCTCACTCTGTCGCCCAGGCTGGAGTGCAGTGGTGCTATCTCGGCTCACTGCAAGGTCCGCCTCCCGGGTTCATGCCATTCTCCTGCCTCAGCCTCCCGAGTAGCTGGGACTACAGGTGCCCGCCACCACGCCCGGCTAATTTTTTGTATTATTTGTAGAGACGGGGTTTCACCGTGTTAGCCAGGATGGTCTCGATCTCCTGACCTTGTGATCCGCCCGCCTCGGCCTCCCAAAGTGCTGGGATTACAGGCGTGAGCCACCGCGCCCAGCCAGCTCCATTATAATCTTATGGGACCACTGTCATATATGTGGTCCACGGTTTAGAGTATGGAAATGACTCTATTTCCATACAGTACTTCCAATAATAAATTAAGTTGTTTGATTTCTAGATTGAAAATGGCTTTGATAATCTTGTAATTGGATTTATATGCCTTTGAGTCTCTCAAGTAGAACTGATTTACCTTTCCATTCCTTTCTCTTTCCTCTCTGGTCACATCCCTATTCCACATTTGTTTTTTTTGTAACCAGATACACAAATAATACTTTGTATTAAGTGGTTATAGTGAAAGCTGGGCATTCTGTTCTAGTGAATAATGATTCTTATATTCCAAGGACAAACTACCTATTAATAATAATTGGGTATTCGGGGCTTAAAAGTTGTATTTGAAAGATGCAGCCAGGTGTGGTGGCTCACGCCTGTAATCCTAGCACTTTGTAAGGCTGAGGCAGGCAGATAATCTGAGGTCAGGAGTTCAAGACCAGCCTGACCAACATGGTGACACCTCATCTCTATTAAAAAAGAAAATACAAAAATTAGCCAGACATGGTGGGAAGCACCTGTAATTCCAGCTACTTGGGAGGCTAAGGCAGGAGAATTGCTTGAACCTGGGAGGCAGAGGTTGCAGTGAGCAGAGACTATACCACTGCACTCCAGCATGGGTGGCAGAATGAGACTCCATCAGAAAGAAAGAAAGGAAAGAAAGAAAGAGAGACAGAGAGAGAAGGAGAGAAGGAGAGAAAAGAGAGAAAAGAAAGAAAGAGATGTTATCCATGATTTAGTGGAAATGAGAAAACCTAGAAAATACCATGCAATTCTAATGAAAATTCTAGAAAACTAGAAAAAAGGAAAGAGAAGGAAATTGAGAAGACCCTGTAATCTGTTGAAATGCTGAGTTTTCCTAATTAAGGAAAGTAAAATTCTAGTCACTTAAAATGCCTCCAAGAAAGTCACTGTTTTTGTCCATTTATATCTTTCTGCTTTCTTTTTCATTTTTTCCCTAAAAATTAATTAAATATTAATTACTTTTAGAGGAAAGATTACTCTGATAAAATGGTCAAGAAAAGCAAAGTTTCTTACTTTCTGTGCCAAAGATTTTCAGCCAAAGTAATAAAAGAAAAATCTTAAAAAGGGAAACTATGCAATTCGAATGGAAGATCCATTTTAAAAAGTTATTGTGGCAGTATAAAATGATACTGTGTGCTCAAATACCTAAAAACTTTTGCAACTTACGAAATGGTATTTTTAGTATTACTTAGGGTGTTGTATGGGTGTCTTATGTAACTTGTTAAGGTAAAGAATTTTGCTATTCTCAACTTCAGTTTATGCATCTATAAAATGAGAAAGCGCAAAATAATACTTCTACCTCATAGGGTTATCGTGAAAGTTAAATGACAGAGGGATAAATGAAATATTTAGTATAGTGCCTACCACAAAAGCCAAAGCTAAATAAGTGATAGCCAAGAACAAACACAGAAAACTTCCTAAATAAAAATATGACTAGAATAACTGCAATGTATGGACCAACATAAGCATGTTTAAGAGTGAACACAGGTGCTATTAGTAATTACACCTGGACCAAAAGTATAACCCAGGATGCTCCCTGACATACTAGAATTTATGGTTTCTCTATCTATAATCTATTAACATAGCAGGCAGTAAACCTTCTCTTTTGTGGAGACCACACATGCACCAGACAAGCAGAGCCTGGATTCAATAGTGTGCCAGTAACTCACCCAGATTTTCAAGAAGTAATATTTACTGGGATTATGGATTAATCAGAGCTTGTGTTTACCAAAGTAAAGTTCACCAATGATTCTTCAAATATGTTCACAAGCTAACTTGGCTTATATCCATTTACTTATAAATCAGAAGATTCCCCAAGATTTTACTGTCTGCCTGATTAAAGCTAGTATGTGCTATAAGTGTTTTCAAAATACTTTTTTCCAAAACTGTCCTTGCAGTTAAGGTGCTGTTAATTCAAAGTACCTATGACTTCCTATCAGAAATGAAAATGACACTTAATGAGAACAAAACATGTTTTCACTTGAAATGCAATTAAACCAAATTAGAGAAACAGTGTTTTTCTAACTAAGATAAAAACAGCTGTGTTTATGAAGCTGCTCTAATGGTATTAGAATTTCTCTTATGGAAACTTTTGCTTTATTTAAGATATATGATTTTTATTTTAATTGACATTTTAGACAATGATACTTTCATTACAATTTTTTCAGTCAAGTATTTCTTTAGGGAATCTTTCCTATAATTCATAGTGAGCTAATTTGATCATGTATTAATAGAGATTTCATGGAGATTTGTTTTTAAAGGTTTTTATGTGAAACCTTTAAAAGGCCTCCCAACAAAAACTTTACTTCATGACTAGATATGATTTAATCATGATTATGTCAAAATTGTAATTTTTAAAATGCCTTAAGAAAAATAATTTCTGCATACATTTGTGTAATTTTTCTAAAATGCAAAATTTGTAACAATTTCTAAGGTGTAGAAAAAACATTTACTTAAGTTGCTGGTTTTTTTAATATTCATGTGTATGTTTTGGGATTTTGTAGATATAACCTATGCCTTAGATTACTACATGTTGATGTGACTTGCTGATGTTTCACCAAAAAAAAAAGAATGCTTCCATTTCTACACTTAACATTTTTTTCTTTATCTTTCATAATTACGGTCCATAACACTTGGAGTAACAACATGTTTTCCTGTGTATATATAATATAAATGGTTATATACAAACAATAGAAGAAATACGCAATTTCCCAAAATGATAACATTTGAAGACGTCATTACCAACAACAACATCACTAGAAACATTACTGCTGTTAAGAGCTTGATCTAGAAAATATAAGCTTAAACTGCTCTGTTTGGAAACAGCATGTAATCGGGATATTTAACTAGAAATTCAAGTACAATAAAATGGATTTAATTAGTTATGTAGCTATAAAATACCTTAAATTTTTTTAGGCTATGTCTGCATGGGCAACTACTTAAATGTTTTTAGATTAATTTATTTTAGTCAATTTAATTTTAATAATTACCTCAACTATATGTTATTTTCTTCCTTTAAATAATCACAGAACACGCTGTTTTAGGATCAGGTAGAAGCTGAGACAATCTCTTTTGAACAAATTTTATTTTTATTCCAAAATTAATTGTCCTAAAAATAGTACATTTAGCCATGAAAAAGAGAAAACAAGTAAACCTATCAAAATGGGACACTGTTAATTAACTAAACATAGAAAATAGATTCATTCATTATCCACCAAAAATTTCAATGTACCTGCCAGGTAAAAGCACCATATTCAGTACCATGAAAGTGATAACGATTCCAATAACAGAACATCTTCCCTCAAAGAACTTATCACATGTTTATGTATAAGTTTAAATGCATTGAATGTCAAAAATGCAGATAGCGCTTTGATCAAGGACATTTTAGCAATGTATTCAGACAGGATCTTTATTTTCTAGGGTTTTCATTATAAGGCAGAAAGGTTAGACTAAAGAGTAATGTTAAAAATACAAATTATTTTTGTATTCTAGACATTTCTATAAGAAATGTATGGAAATAGAACTGTAATTTTGGCAGTTTTTGTCACAGTGTCAGTGAGCAAATAGATGTCATACTCATGAGTACAGAAAGAGGACATTCTCTTTAACAGCCACATACTTCTTACCCAGAAACCCTTGGAGAAGATTTATAAACCCACATACTCAGAATATGGTAATGAGGAAATGCTGTCTGCCCTGGGAAGGGGAAGAGGATCTAAAACATTTAGGACAGGTAATTCCACAACCATGCCTTAAGATAAATCCATGCCTTGAAAAGTAAAAAGAACAGCAAAAACAGCTAGTTAGTCAAAGGTCAAGATAGCAAACCCTAGCTGGTAAACTTGTCTGAATCTTTACTGTATTCCTCAAGCTATAAACTATGTTTATAGACTCCTTCAAACAGGATTAAATTTTGGAGGCATTTTCTTAAAAAAATAGTAAATCCCCACTGTAAAATTAGTTATAGGCTTTGGACAGGATTCTTGCCAATGGGGCTCAGAGGCTTAAGTTTTATTAATTTCACAGTAACTCCACCTTAGTTCACAGATATTTTCAAAACATGGAAAGTGTGATTGAAGTCAGGTAAGTCTAATCAAATATGAGTTCTGGTGCCACAGAACGGTGATGTTGAAATACTTGGCTTTTATTGGCTATTTATGGCTTTTATTGGCATATTAATGTCTTTTACTGATGATCTCAAGTTCTGTCTATAGAAACACTGATGTCTGATTGTAACAGTTTAATCAATGTATAAACCAATCTGGATGGTTCAGATCTCAATTCCAACGTTTCCTTTAGAATTCAGGCTCAATTTATCTAAATTGGGCTCATTATATTATTATTAATTTTACTTTGGCTGTGGGCTGAGTTAAAGCACACTATGTTTTTGAGCATTCTAAGATTGTTCCAGGATTTAAAAATTTAAGATTACTTTGGTTTCTTGGAATTATTTAATACACACTGCAATTTTCCCTGAAAAACACATGTAAGCTAAAATGGCTCTATGGAAATGTTTTATGTTTTAATGAGGTTGGGAAACAGAGATAAATTCACCTGGTCATAATCATATGGTAAATATTGATGAAAGGAACCTTTTTCTAAACTGCATAGCTATAATTCTATTCCAGCTGATTTTGTAGATTTAAAATATTTTACCCTGTTTTTGTGTCTCTTAAGGAGTTTCTGTTTGGGTTATTTGTACAGATCAACAGATAAAAACTTATGTCCTAGAACAAAAACAGCACACTTAAACACATCTTTTCTTTCAGGCCAAAAAGTTTGCTGTTTCAGGACCATGGACCTCCTTAGGAACATGTACATATTTCCCTAATGAATCCTTAGGCTGTGATATGTTTTCGAGTTAAATTGTTATTACTGATAGAAAAGTTCTTTATGTCTGCCATAAATGTGCATTAAAGTTTATATAGCATTCACCTTCATGATTGGTGTTTTATCTTACTGATTATTTTGGCAGAGAACAAATACCAAAAGTCTCCCCATGAGAAATAAAAACAAACCACGACCCTCTAAAAATAGAAAAAAAGCCACAACTCTTCAGGTCCTCCTTGGACCCATGGACAAGGCTCATAAACCTCCTTGGTGTCCATTCCATGTTCTGTGAATCTGGCTGATGGTCAAAGAAAGGGCTAGAGACAGGATGATCTACAAATAGAGGAGATTGAATTTCCAAATGAGGTTTGATCATCTGCTCTTTGTGAATTTTTTCCAATTGCTTCCCCATGTGCCTTGGTTTAGCCTTTCAAAAAATTAGAATTTTATACCCCTAGGATGTAAAATACCATGTCAGCGCACTTTTTGTGCCTGGAATGCACCTTGGAGATAGCCTTGCCCATTGACCAGCTCTTCATTTTTCAGAGGGAGAAGAAAGTGAGGTCTGGGAAAGTAAAATGCCTGCCCAAATCCACAGAGCTAAGAAGTAGCAGAGCAGAGATCATTACCACACATTCCAAACTTTCTTCCTATTTATCATTTTTCTCCTTGAGCCCCTTCTTGTCTGAGACACTACATCAATTAAAATTATTTTATAACTGCAACATCGTACAATTGCCATGTAACACATTGCCCAATGCAATTCAATCTTAGCATCTGGAAACAATACTCATTTATTAACTCACACTTTGTAGGTCAGAAGTCTGAGCACAGCATAGCAAAGTCCTGTTCTTAGGGTCTCACCAGGCTGAAATCAAGGTGTTGACCGGGCCGTCTCCTAATCTGGAGTGTGGAGTCCTCTTCCAAGTCCATTCAGGTTGTTGGCAGGATTAATTCGTTGTAGCTGTAGGACTGAAGTCTCTTTTCTTGCTAGCTGTCAGCCAGGGGCAGCTCCAAGCTCTCAGACGCTGCCCTCAGGTCTTAGATGTGTGGCCCTCTCACTATACGACAGCTACTTCTTCAAAGCCAATAGGAGAATATTTCTCTTCAGGAAAGGTTCACTCCCTTTTTAAGGACTCTGCTGATGAGGTCAGACCCACTCAAGACAATCTCCCTCTTGATTAGCTCAAAGCCAACCGACTAACAACTAGTCAAGAGTGGTATCCCATCATAGTCGTAATTCTCACTTGTGCTCAAAGGGGAGGGGATCATACAGCATGTGTGTACCAGGGGACAGGAGTCTTGGGAGTCATCTTAGAATTCTGTTTGTTGGGCCGAGCGCGGTGGCTCATGCCTGTAATCCCAGCACTTTGGGAGGCCGAGGCAGGTGGATCACGAGATCAGAAGATCGAGACCATCCTGGCTAACACGGTGAAACCCCTTCTCTACTAAAAAAATACAAAAAATTAGCCGGGTGTGGTGGTGGGTGCCTGTAGTCCCAGCTACTCGGGAGGCTGAGGCAGAAGAATGGTGTGAACCCGGGAGGCGGAGCTTGCAGTGAGCGGAGATGCGCCACTGCCCTCCAGCCTGGGCGATGGAGCAAGACTCCGTCTCAAAAAAAAAAAAAAAAAAAAAAAAAAATTCTGTTTGTCGGCCAGGTGCAGTGGCTCACGCCTGTAATCCCACCATTTTGGGAGACCAGCCTGGCCAACATGGTGAAATCCCATCTCTACTAAAAATACAAAAATTGGCCGGGTGTAGTGGCGCATGCCAGCTACTCGGGAGGCTGAGGCAGGAAAATTGCTTGAACCTGGGAGGTGGAGGTTGCAGTGATCCCAGATCGCGCCACTGCATTCCATCCTCAGTGGCACAGTGAGACTCCATCTCAAAAAAAAAAAAAAAAAAAAAAAAAGAATTCTGTTTGTCACGTTGGTCTGATTCTACTCATTCAAGTACTAGATTTCCTTTTGCCTCCTCTTACCTTCTGCTGCCCCCCAACTGAGTTGGTTCATTGTCTTCCATCCTACAGAAATCCAGAAAGGGATGATAAGAGAAGGTAAATTCAGACTAGGGTGACGAAAACTCCAAATCCATGAACATATGGCATTTTTATTGGGTTCATGTATTCTTTGCAGCTGTAAGGGCATTGGCCAGGGATAATTCAGAATTACCTTTTCACTAATTACTGAATAGTAAAATTTACCTATTCTTTGGGCATGAAGCTTCTTTTAATACGGCTGGCCTGGATTCAGAGATGTCTGGGGACACCTGTGCTGGGTTGGCAGGAGCAGCAGCAGCTGGAAGTCAGGGGAGAGTGGCAACTAAAGACCTGCCATTTTCTTAGTGCCTATGCAGGCTGAGACTTTACTTTCATGAGCTCATTTAATCTTCACAATGGTGACTGATACAGTCAATATTATAATCCTCATTTTACAGATGAGGAAATAGCAGAGATGCAGCAGAGTCAGAGTTCAAAGCTCGGTCAGATACACCAGTGCTTTTTCAAGGACAGGCTTCTCCTTCTCAGGTTTTGGTTACTCTTGTTTTCTTTTTTCTTTTTTGAGACAGAGTCTCGCTCTGTTGCCCAGGCTGGAGTGCAGGGGCGAGATCTCAGTTCACTGCAACCTCCGCCTCCTGGGTTCAAGTGATTCTCCTCCCTCAGCCTCCGGAGTAGCTGGGATAACAAGCACGCGCCACCATGACCACCTAATTTTTGTATTTTTAGTAGAGACAGGGTTTCATCATGTTGGTCAGGCTGGGCTGGAACTCCTGACCTCAAGTGATCCACCTGCCTCGGCCTCCTAAAATGCTGGGATTACAGGTGTGAGCCACTGCGCTCAGCTGAGACAGTGACCCTCTGAGGGTCTCAGCATATTTAGGCAGAGATTGGGGGATGGCGGAGGGAGCTACTGAGTGACAGGCACCCTCTGAGAGGGAGCCTATCTCAAGCAATCAAAAAATATCAACTATATGTAGGGACTCTTTCTCCCTTCAAGAGTTACAATTAAACTTTTCAGAAATCAAGATCAAGGCTATAGATGATAAAAATTTTATTCCTAAAGGAATTTATAGACAAGAAATTGATTGAACCTTATAATACCCCATGATGGTTCATGAGAAACACGTGTTCATATGATTATACCATGTTTTTAAATATGGGGAAATAAAGCACAGAGTAGGTGAATGTGAATTTAGGGACATCAAAATGTAATGACAAAAATCAGCTAGGCTTGTTCTTGAATCCCTCAAACTGTAACTTTTGGCTGAACAAATGAATTAAGATATAGCTAATACAGCTGCAGAGCTTGGAAAAGTTACAGTTGCTTTGTTAAAGTATATTGAGTTGGAGTAAAAAGTTCTATTTGGAAAGATTTCAAAACCCTTCAATGGCAGCCCAATCATTCCGAAGCTGAATTAAATGTAAATTGTGAATTATCTGCATACGTTTATAGTCTATTCATTTTAATATACATACGGTGGTTGTGTACTTTAAGAAGATAAAAAGATGATTCCTGAGGCATCATTACTGCATGGCAGAGAGACAAACTTGAAAACAAGTAATTATAATAATGCAAGTGTTAAACTGAAGATACAGAGAAGGAATACACATATTCCACAGTCACTGGTTCCCTTTGGGAACATCAGGAAAAAACAGAAGAGGAAAGTTTTGAGTTGGGTCTGGAAGAATGGAACTTTAGCAGGCAGAAAAGGAGAAGAAAATTCCAAGTGGTAAGAAAAACACAGTTAAAATCATAGAGGCAAGAAAATATAAGAGGCTAGAAAACCATAGTTCAGTGTGGCCAGGGTGCCCACAATGCACAGGAGAAGATAGAAAAGAGATTGTTTATGCAGCAATGAGATTGGAAAGGACCTGGCTGCCCTCTAAGGAGAAGTTTCTATTTTATAGCAGCAGGAATCTAATAGAGACGTTACACGAAGGAATGACAAGATAATCGCTCTATTTTAGAAGATTAACTCTGGTAGCAGGAGCTGGGATGGCTGGGGGTGTGAACTGAAACTGACGCTGCATAAGAAGAGAATTTACAAGCCCAGTCAAAGAATGAGGAAGAGGACCCAGGTCAGGGAAGAAGCAAGACAGGCGATGAGAATAAAGGCTGCTTCAGAGGTGAACACTGTAGAATTGGGGGCACCAGGTGGCTGGAGGCAGGTGAGAAGAAAAGGAAGATGTAAAGAGAAAAATGAAGGATGATGCCTAGTTTCTGATCCTGAGCTCTGTCTGGCTTTTTTTGCGGGGAAGAGATGGAGATTAATGAATTGTCTTTGGGCATGTTTAGTTTCAGGTACTTGGAAATACAGGCTTGCAGTTTAGAAAACAACTTACAGCTGTAGATAAACATTTACGAATTATCAACATTTGAGGTAGTGGCAAGTAAATGATGTTTTTATAGAATTATCATGTAGTTAAGAAGAAAACAGTTTTAAATATTGGACCATGGGCCAGCATTTAAGAGAAAGTTAAGGAAAAAAAAAAGATTTAAGAAAAAGACACACAGAAAGTCATGCCACTGAGATTTTACTATGAGTCCCAGGCAAAGGTTTTAAGATGAGTGTATCAATGTCCCCTAGGCATAAAAAGGATTAAAAAGAGAAGAGTTCAGATGACAATTTGGAAGGCACTGGTAAACTTTGAGCAGTTTAATTAGATTGGTGGAGAGTTGGAGACGAGACAGAGTCCTTGAACTGATAAACAAAAAAAATCTGAGAGTATTTGGTAGTGAAAGTAAAGGAAGGGTCAAAAGAAAGGTTTTGTTGTTGTTGTTGTTGTTGTTATGGTTTCTTCGATAGAAAGGGGAAAGATAATGGTTAATTGGGGTAACCCAGCAGTAGAGATTGGCAGGGCAGGTAAACCGGCAGGATAAAGGAAGGAGAGTATGGATTAGATTTTAATAAAAGTTTCTTAGGGAAGAGGGGAAGAAGGAAAAAAAATGAGTTGAGAAAATATATATTAAATTCTTTACATTGTGCTTCTGAGACAGAGCTATATTTAGCACCCATAATAAATATATCTGATAAGAATCCTAGTATGTTGCTGACTCTCAGCACTCTGCTTATTATTATGAAAATAAAAATGACTTCCATGTCATTCTGTCAGACTATCTTTTGGAAAAAACAACGACAACAAAAATAAAAATGTCATTCAATCCGAAAGCAAGAGAAAAGACACCTTAGTAAAAGTAACTTTCTTCTTCCACCTACAAAACCAGAACTTGAAGACACAAATCTCAGGTGTACTGAAATAATTTTTTTGTGCCTGGATATAACTGCTTTATGGGATCACAGAGACTTCAGTACACACTCTGGGACAAACAGATTATTCACAAATGATGATCCAAACATATTCTAGGCATTCAATTGAATAAGGCCCAGGATCACCCCCAGAATTTTTCTCTGGGCGCCAAAGAATCCTACATGCTGAATAAGACCCTAGGCAAGACCAGAGCTCCCTGCACCATTTGAATTAGGTAGTTTCCATCTTGCACCTATGGGAAAGAGTTGGAGCCAACCCAATCTTTATGATTAGGCAGGAAAAACAACATTTTCCATAAGAATGTAATCTTCTGCATGGTTGGTCACCAGTTATTTGTTGGACATCCATTTGGTTTCTGCCAAGTTAGCTAATTGTTCTGCTAAATCATCTTTAAAAGATGACTTGCCTTCTTGAGTTGTTAATACTTGTGAAATTCTTTTCCCAAATGAATGAGAATTGAAAGACATAGATTCTTTTAACACACACATACACAAAATTCCCAAACATATAGTGTGTTGAAAGTTAGTCTGTTGCAAAGAAACTTGAGTTCTAGGCCCGGATCCAGGGGTGGAGATGACTGTAACATTCCACCAAGAACTTCACTCTTGGCTTTCACCTCGAAACTAAAAATCCCTAGTTAAGTCAGATATATGAAGTATTGCACTCTAACATGAGGAGGAACTGAAGAAAAGGGAGGATGTTTTCATAAAGATTTAGTGAGGAAGTTAGAAGGAATTATGTGTGAAAGAAGGAAAAAGAGTAATTGTGGTATTATTACAATACATGCCTGGGCCAGGTACAGAATATGATGGGTCCGTGTTTCACTCCATACAGCCCTGTTATCATGATGACATTATGAAGTAATTTCCTATATACTATAATCTGTTTTGGAAATGCTTTCTACCAGGTGTCTCTTATGGAACATACAGGAAAAAAAAAAAAAGAGTTGACCTATTAAATTACTCTCGCTGTTCAAATATTTGAAGTACTAATTCATCACTCATGACATTCAATTTATATTTTAACATCATTATAAATTTAACAGGGTTGAATCTTTCAAAATAACAAAGAAAGTGCCTTTTGAAAGGAAAGAAGATAGGAACGTTGAAGAGGTTCTTGTGGGATCACTCTTAAAAGCCATCAAAGCATCTGAATCTCTCTCTTGGCTGTATAATAAATATTCACAGAAAATGACCGCCAAGTATGTATGGAGAAATGCCTTGGCATTTGCTGTATGAATATGGATGATGGGAATATAGTAAAATATTAGAGAGATTAAATCGAAACTCAAAGATAGTTCTAAGGTGTTTACTGGGTGTCACTTGATGAAATGACTCTATGGGGATTTATCACTAATCTGTGAAGTGAAAAATAATCTTAATGACGAGAGGAAGCTTACCTACATTATGCCTAGGACAAGAAGTTTTTAATTCCCCTCTAACAATGCAGTGTTTGCAGGTTTTCATCCATTATCACTTTGTTAGAGTATCTTTGCTAAAACCCAACTATTTTATAGGCTCCTCTGACACCTCACAAGAATCCAAGGGAGGAAATGAAGCCAATGAATGTAATCTACAGGTGAAATTTGCAGAGCAAATTCAGGAAAAAAAAGTAATTATGCTTCTTCGCATTTTATCATTTTATAACCTCACCTTTTAGAGAAGGTATTGAGAGATTATACTGATTAGTCCAGATTTTTATTTTACATATTTGTTCATGGAAAGGCTTATTTTAACAGAAGTTATATCAAGGTGTCATGCCCAGTACCATCATCATCATCATCAAAAATTTGACTGAATAAACCTAAGTACACACACACTTCTGTATGTATAGTCTTACATATGAAAGTAATATTTATTCATTCACCAAAAAGTGTAAAGAGAGGTTAAAACAGGATGGGATGAAACAGTGTACAAAGGTAAGGAAAAGCTTTTCCAAGCAACTGAATTTCCCTTGAAGCCTGAATGTTAAGTGGAATTAGGCAAAGTGTGGTGGTTGTGGGAAAATTCAGGCAGAGGATATAGCTAGTGCAAAGGCTCTAAGGCTGCAAAGGATGCAAGCTATGCAGGCATGGTGCAAGGAGGCCTTTGTGCAGGAAGCAAAGGGAGATAAGGCTGGGGTGACCCACAGCCTCCTTCTTCAAGGGCACTGGATAGACTCCTGGGAAGCAAAAAGTGACTGGATTAAATTTGCATTTCAAAAAGACTCTTCTGACTACAGTATGTGGCAAGATAATTGGGTGAAGCAATAGTCCAGGTGGAAAGCTTTATTACAGTCAAAACAAAAAAGGATGAAGACTTGGATTGGGGTGGTACTTAGTGAAGAGGCATAAAAGAAGACTGAAGTCAAAATGACAGGACTTGGGGATGGGTGGGCCACAGAAAGAAGGTGTCAAAATGATTGTCACAGTAGGTAATTAGTCATTGATTGATAGAAAATGGTAATCACTGAACTAGGCTTTTTATCTTCATTCTGTTCTATTTAGGTTCATTCTATCCAAAGTATTTAGTGCTTACCAGATGCAAAGTACAGTTAGGAATTCTAATGGATAGAAATATAAAATAAATGGATACAAGGTTATATAATCTCTGCCTTTTATAGGCTTATATTCAAATACAGACAATGCTTTCCATTTCCAGTAAAGGGAATGAGAAATTATATACCCAGATACATATATATTGACACACAAATAAACAGATGTATACACATGTATGTCTACATATGTATATATGTATGTACACATATGCATATATAAGTATATATATATTTGCATCATATACACATCTAAATTAAGGGTGCATTGCCAGGGGACTGAGGAGGATAAATAATGCAGAGGTCAGAAAAAATAACTGAAAAGTTGTGTGGGATGGTATTCTTCTTATAAGAAATTCAAATGTTTTCAAAAATGATTGTCTTATATATCTGCCTTATTACAGAAGAAATGTATGACGTTGGCCCTGTTTATCAGGGCCAGAAGAAGAAATTCAGCAATAGTATTTAGCAGTATTAACAATTTTAATCCATGATATCAGTCATGACACTACAATCCTGACAGTAATCTTATTAATAGTAATGATAAATAATAGTAATCATTAGTATGTAGTAATTTTTAAAAGTCACACAAGCAGAAAAACATAAACATAGATTTGATTTTAATGTTGTTTGAACATTGCCTTTTAGCATTTTTCTTTGAATTCTAAGCTCATAATTTTATCATAAAACTGTCTTTACAGCAGACAATGACTAATTAGTAATTCTATTAAATATTTGCCAAATGGAGGGTACCACTTCTAGTTTTGCCAGAGTGTCTTGCTGGTCAGAAGTGCTTTGCCTAATAAACTCAACATGCATGTTGATGCTAAGAGTCTAACTGAACACACAGGACAATCGCAAATCTGTGAATTATTAAGCCTCCTTTCACCTCAATTTCCTCCCTCATAGGATGGTCTTTGCTTATCTCAGTTTTGTGTGTATTCCTTTTGATTGCTTGTTAATGTCTCCTATTTATAGTGATATTATGTAACAGTATTATTTAATCTCCAAAATAGTATACAATTGTCAAGTACCATTGCTGTAATTATGGTGCAGATGTTGGAATATGCTTGGAATCACTAAAAGTGAATTTACCATAAGCTAAGGAAGCTTACTCTTCAGGGACTCTGACTTGCAAGAGCCTATTTAATTTCTTATTACCTAAATTTGTAAGTTTAATTTTGCAGTATTTTTCTTTTAAAAGATCCCCCAAATTTTATGAGCTTCATTTCCAGAAAACTCATCTGGCCTTGTTTTTCATATTGTATTGTCATATTTAATTTGTTTTTATGCCTTTCTCACAATATTTTAGGTTCATGAGATCAGAGACAGTATTTTATTTGTTTCTCTACTGCCTAGCTTATTATTTATTTATTTATTTATTTATTTATTTATTTATTTATTTATTGTTATGAGACAGGGTCTCACTGTCACCCAGGCTGGAGTGCAGTGGCACATTTATGGCTTACTGCAGCCTCAACCTCCCAGGGCTCAGGTGATCCTCCCACCTCAACCTCCCAGTAGCTGGGACTACAGGGGAGCACCACTACACCTGGCTAATTTTTGTATCTTTTTTTTTTTTTTTTTTTTTTTTGTAGAGACAGGATTTCCTCATGTTGCCCAGGCTGGTCTTGAACTCCTGGGCTCAAGCAATCCACTCATCTCAGCCTCTGAAAGTGTAAGAATTACAGGCATGAGCCACCATGCCCGGCCTGTCTATCACTTAGTTCAGTAAATGCTTGGTGAATGAATGAATCATATACATTTAGTGGTTGTTTTGAAGTTGACTCTGCTGAGTGAGATTTTCTTTGCATTCATGCATCTTCATTAATGTCAACTTTGTTGCAGTTTTTAAAAAAGTAATCTTTGTTTACATTATCTTAAGTTACTTGATTTAAAAAAGTTAAAAGTGACTATTTGCAGAATTCTAAAGTCCCATTACTGTCAACATGCATAATATTTTGCCAAAAATGCAATTTGTCTTGTTAGTCTTCTTTAATTTTTCCATGTTTTAAAACTTTTCTTGGAGTATTTCCCAAATGGGATTTACTGAGAGGATATATTCAGCCAGCTTTGTAGATTCTAAGAGTCCTTCTAAAAGTTAAGTCTAGCCAAGGAAAAATGTAGTGGCACACGATTGCGTTTCTCTTACGCTGTCATTTAATGTGAGATCTAAATTTTGCATTTCTTTAATGCCCAAGGTGTTTATTTTTTAAAATCTGTACTCTTTTTATCAGGAGTTATGTTGACAATTTACCTGGGAGCTGATATACCCTATATAATACATGATCTAAGACCTGAACAATACACAAATTAATAAAATTAAACCATTAAGATATGTCATCATTTCTAAATTATACAATTGGGTTTTTTTTTTAAAGCAAAAATATTCTTCCTCTTTTCTCCATCCCTTGTTCTGGTCAGTTCCAAGGTTTTTTACAAATGCAAAAGAAATTCATTTGCTACTCCTGACCACAGAGATGAATAATTTAAGGACAATATCAAATTCTTGATAAATCTCATAAATGTTTTAACTGTCCAAGAAATGGACATTTATTTGGTTAATCTTTTAGCTGGCCATAAATAATGTAATAAAACCCCTTAAAATTAACATTAAATAACATAAAGACCTAACGATTTTTAGAAAAAAACCTTTTTGGACTGAGCCTTGAATTTCCTGAGAATTCAGCTACAAGTGATAACTAAAATGTAACTCGAGAATCTGGATATGGTTCCAGAAAGGATTGTTGTCATGCAATTGCCATTTCATCATCTTTCCTTAAAGTCCCTTCAATATTTATCATTGCAATTTTTGTCCTGTCTTTTCCCCTCCATCACATCAAACCAAGGAAAAACAATTATTAAATGCTCATTTATACTCACCTCCCTCCCTTCATATTCATTCATTCCTCAGCCCTAAAATTCCTGTAGGAATCCTGCTTTTACGTTTTATCTTAAAGCCACCATAGTATCTGTAATCTCTTTTGTAGTCATGTATGCTTAATTTTGGAAGACTGTCAACTACCTCTTCAGGTTCATTCAAATGAAAATGTATCACAAAATCGTAGGCTCTTCCCCTATCTCACTGAAAAATTACTCTAAAAATGACCAGTAAGCTGTTTTGTTGAAGCAAAACATCCAGACCCTAAACAAAAGTAGCAGAATTACAACATTTCCATAGAAATGGATTTTGAGCTTCTTTTTTTTAATTGGGGAAAATCTTATTTTTTAAAAAAGAATCCCAGAATACATCTTTGCTTTCAGTCCTTCAATTCTAACATAATGCCATGTTAGAGAATATGTGGTAGTGTATACTAAGCCCTTATGCTGTCTCACATCCTTGGGACAAAATATCTGTTTTGAAAGGACTTCTCTGAATTTTGCTATTTCCTGCTTACTGAGCAGTGGCCCCCTCCTGGGAAAACAGAGTTATTTCAGCCAGTGTTCAGACTCCATCTTGCATACGTCTCTGTGGAATATTAATAGTGCTACTGAGATATATTCATCATCTTTTCTCTGCTTTTGCTGTCTTTATAGCCCAGTGAAATTTATATTTGGTGTTTGTAGGAAGGCTATCAGAAGCTACTTGGACATCAAACTTTTAAACTATAAATAATGATGGCAAGACTGCTAGGATATCTTTCCACAGTTAAACCCATTCAACAGAGTTTCGTTCTTATGACAGTGCAAATTAAACTAGAATAAAATTAGTGTGATTTTAGGACAGTTTTAAAGTGAACATATTTCCCTCCCTCCCTTCCCATCTACATATCAAGGAGACACTCCAGACTGCACTTTTATTTAAATTGCGGCCATCAGAAAATACCGTGAGAAGGTAGTGTGTAGGTAATGGTTCAGTTAGCATTGACCCCAGAAAATGGAAAACCAAGAGCAAGTCACTTTTAAAGTGAAGCAATAGATTTTGAATATGGATTGTTCCAACTCACCACTTCCCGACCACAACACAAGAGTATTTCACTGTAAATTAAGAGTCTAAGTTAACCACAGCTGTGGTATAACTCTGAGAATGTTTTCTCTACATGTAGACAATTCTGGATCCTTCCGTGGTGCCCGTTACCCTGGTCTTTAACTTTTGTCCTTTGCAGGGGAGGGGTCAATGCCTTCTTATTTCCTTGCTCTTTAGAATTCTCCACCAGAGGGAGGACAAGGGAAGGAGTAGGTTTCACGCGCAGTTCTGAGTAAAGTTTGAATCTGAGAAACCCCACATTCACGAATTAAGGATCTCCAGTTCTGTGTCTTTATTCTACCCCTCCCTGCCTGCTTTTCCACTCGGCAGAACTGAGTGACTTTCAGCGGCTGCAGTAATTTTAATTATTCTGAGTCGTGCTCCGAACTATGTTTTTTATCAGTTCCTCTGAAAATTAAGTTGTAGTAAGAGACGTAGTTTAAGGGCACCCCCTTAGAAGAGGCCAGGTTATTTTTTAAGGAAAAGCTGAAGATTTCTAACAGGCACTTACTAAACACACACACACACACACACACACACACACACACACGCACACGGCGCAGACCCAGCAGGAGAGCGCAACCTAGCATCTTTAAGGTTCGCTTAGCCCTTCCTGTGCACCTGGAAGGAAGCCTTATCTTAAACTCCCTTCCACCTAGAGTTTATTTTCGCCTGCGTGCGACAGGGCTTTTGTACTTAAGTGAGTTAAGGAATGAACCCCGAACTCTTCTGGGAAAGCCACCAACGTTCCCCCCGCACCCCTCCCAGGGTTCCTGACCACGGAGACTCTGCTTGGGGCACAGGTGTGGGAGTCGCAAACTTTTCTCTGCGCCGTCCTTTTCCGCGTGGAATGGGACGGAGCAGCCCTCCCAGGCGCTGCCTGGCTGCGGAGGGGAGCGGGCAGCGAGAGCCTCGGGTCTCCGCCTGGGTTCCCGGGTCTCCGGGGCGCTGGCCTCGGTCTCCGCGCAGCGTCCAGCGACCCCTGTCGGGGGTTCCCGGCAGCCGCGCCGCCACCCCCCGCCCGGCCAGCGCGGGAGGAAAAGGGGCTGCGCCCGGGAGCGCCGAGCCCAGGCTCCTCCCGGTGGCGTGTCCGCGCCTCGGGGTGGGGGTGTGGTGGGGAAGAGGGAGGGGGCGAGGCCAGGGGAGGGTGCGAAGGAGGCGCCTGCCTCCAACCTGCGGGCGGGAGGTGGGTGGCTGCGGGGCAATTGAAAAAGAGCCGGCGAGGAGTTCCCCGAAACTTGTTGGAACTCCGGGCTCGCGCGGAGGCCAGGAGCTGAGCGGCGGCGGCTGCCGGACGATGGGAGCGTGAGCAGGACGGTGATAACCTCTCCCCGATCGGGTTGCGAGGGCGCCGGGCAGAGGCCAGGACGCGAGCCGCCAGCGGTGGGACCCATCGACGACTTCCCGGGGCGACAGGAGCAGCCCCGAGAGCCAGGGCGAGCGCCCGTTCCAGGTGGCCGGACCGCCCGCCGCGTCCGCGCCGCGCTCCCTGCAGGCAACGGGAGACGCCCCCGCGCAGCGCGAGCGCCTCAGCGCGGCCGCTCGCTCTCCCCCTCGAGGGACAAACTTTTCCCAAACCCGATCCGAGCCCTTGGACCAAACTCGCCTGCGCCGAGAGCCGTCCGCGTAGAGCGCTCCGTCTCCGGCGAGATGTCCGAGCGCAAAGAAGGCAGAGGCAAAGGGAAGGGCAAGAAGAAGGAGCGAGGCTCCGGCAAGAAGCCGGAGTCCGCGGCGGGCAGCCAGAGCCCAGGTGGGTGCGCAGCGCGGCCCGGGCCCCACGATCCTCCTCCTGCTCCTCCTACTCCTCCTCCTCCTCGGATGCCGTGGCCTCTCCCTCCCCCTCTCCCTCGCCCGTCCTCTTCGCCCTGCGCTCTGAGCGCCCGTTGAGTCGCGCGGTGCTTCCCCTCCTGGGGGCCGCCGCTCACCTGGGCGCCGAGTCCTACCGGGCGCCTACGCCCAGAGCTCAGGGCAAGGGACAGCAGTCCCGGCCGCACCCTCCCAGAGTCCCGGGAGCGCTTCGCTCCCTGGCACGGCCCCTCCCCAGCGCCTTAGCGGCTGAGCCCAGCCCGGGAGTGGGACCTGGGCTATAGGAGTCGAGGCTGCGTGCGCGCGTGCCCCGCGCCATAAGCGCTTTGCACGGGGGCCGTGTGCCCTCTAGCGGGAAACGCTGGAATGGGCCGCCTGGAGGGAGAGCCGGTCCCCTCGGTGTGCCTGGCAGCGCAGAAGTGGGTGGTCGAGCAAGAGGCCGCGTGGGAAGTTAGCTTCGGCGTTTTGGGGCACAGGGCAAGCGATGTAGAGTGCGCGCCGGTTCATCTTGATTCAGTCCTGTGCTACGGAGACTCAAGAGCAGCGGCAGGGATTCCTAAAGGTCAGCGAAGCAGATGAAATCTAGTCCAGTGTCAGGAATCAGCTCTGCCCCAAACAAGTTCTACAAACTTTTGGCTTAACAGTTCTATTTTTCAAGACCTCTGTGATAAATATGGATAATTTACTTTCCCAAGAGATGTAAGAAAACAACCGTTTATCTGAATTTTTGAACCCAATTGTTTGCTGGTTATCTATATAATAAAATGGCAATTGAAGCTTTCTAGAAACAAATCTTGTATTTCATCATCAGAACACGAGCATGAACAAAAGCTTTACCTTAGATGTCCCTAGGAAGCGCTGATGCTTTGGACATTACCTTGGACAAAAGAGGCATGTCGAATAAATACTTGTTTATGAGTGATTGGTAGGTAGCTGATAAAAGAGGGGAGGAAGGAGATGGGGGAGAATTTATTTTTTGCCTCTGCAATTCCCAATTATTAATTGATCCAGATGCCTTAAGTCGCTTCGAGCGTACCCCCAACACACATTTCATGAAGCACTTCTGCAGAATTAATTCACTAGTACTTGATAATACTGTGGCTACAGTAATACTGTAGAAGTATTTGTCCCTTGCTGGAAGAAAACAAACCACATTTGCTTGGTCTTCTTACTGGTATCACTGATAGCATTTCAGAACCTGGGTTATTGGCAGAGACCTTCAGCAGAGTTTTGAGCAAAACAGAAATTGAACAGAGAGTAATTGTTTCACCACTGGCCATTCTTGTGCTTGCTTCTTTAATAAGATCCTGCTGATCATATTCACTTCAATTACTGATCATTGCCCCTCATGAGGGTGTATTGAATTTTCCCTTATTTTTACCCTATATTTTGGGGAGAGACCATAGCACTTTATTCAACAAGATAGGAAATTGGGGAGCTGGATTAGTTACCTCCCTGCGTGACTTTGTCTACTGTCCTTTCTAAGGTCATCATAGTACATTACGGAGATTTCAGACCTAGCTCAAATCGTTGTAAAGAGTTATTTTGGGGGCTCTTATCACTGTTTGTGGTTGTGTTCTCCTGTCTCCCTGCTCATTGGCTTCAGAAGAAGTTTCTGTGGTCCTCTGTAGATGGTCTAATGAATTAAGAAGGGGCCAGCGGTCTGAAGTAGCATCCTGTTCAGGTAATAGGTGTGCATTTTGTCAAGGGCTCCCAGCAGCAGTACCGTAACACAGCAACTTGACAAGTTCAGTGGGGGAGGGGCAGGCATTTCTGTGCCCTCCAGATCTCATCTACTAGGTAGGCAGCTGTCTTGTGATTAGCTACGCTCTCTTGACACAGAGCACCAGAGCTTCCTTGGTGGCTCTCATCTGCTTTCCAGTGGTACAGCAGTGATTCCCTGTAAACCAGCTAAGTCAGTATCTTTAAGTGACATTTGCTTAACTGTCTTCCCTGAAAAATTGGGGTGAATTTGGCTGTAGGTTAGTTTTTAGTATATTTGTCTCTGTTTTCCACCAGATTATAATCTTTTTTGGGGAGGGACTTTTTACCCCCTTCGAAGCATCTTGTGCTTTTTAAACCAGATAAGAATATGTATTCTTTATTTGATTCAGAAAGAATGGTCAACAACTTGAAACCAGCTTTATATAGAAGCACATGGCATTAAATACAATGCTTCAGAATCAGTGTTTCTTTCCTTCTTTGTCATTTTCCTTATAATGGTAAGTGCCAGTGTAGTTTTCCTTGTCTTAGGAGAATTCATACCTGATGACTATAATGGTTTGTGAGAAAAACCCACACTCTAGGTTTCAGGCATTCCCAAAGGAACGACCTATAGATGCCATAACTCTAGTATTCACACTTGCCGTGCCAGCCCAAATTAGGACTTAGGAGGACAAGTTTCTCTTGTATTGCTCCCATCTTAGTGCCTGTCAGTTCCAAGTTTCACTCCTTTCTTAAAACAGCCACTGCAACTGTCTGTCCTTGATGATATGTATGCAATAGCCAAGCCTCTCTTCAGCTGTTTTAACATTGCCTCATGACAGTCAGGGGAGAGATAATGGGGTGGGATCTCAGCCACTCAGCCCCGCTGTGTGCTATATTGTACGCATAGGCATAAACACATCTGTTGGAGGGAAATTTTCAGGGGGAAAAGGCTTCTTTAACTTTCATATGGCATGAGTGACTGATATGCGATACATACATGGCTATTTCAGAGCATCTGCACTTTTATACAATTAACTAAATGTTGAATTGCACACTATTGGGGCTGCAGATGTTCAACACAATTATCTATTCCATAATAATAGCTCTAATAGGTCCCAAGCCCTTGGAGTCATTGATTCCTTTTCTTTGCTCAAAATAAGCAAGCTAAGAATAGTCTTGGGTGCTGTATCACTGATCCACGTACCAAGAGCCCTGTAACAGCCTGGGTCTCCTTGGTGCTGGACCTCCCATATCCAGCCTCTTCATACTGATTCAGCTCAACAGACTTTTTCTCTTGAAGCCTGAATTACAAAACCAGAGCTTTTTTTTTTTTTTTTTTTTGACGGAGTCTCGCTCTGTCGCCAGGCTGGAGTGCAGTGGGTGCAATCTCGGCTCACTGCAACCTCTGCCTCCTGGGTTCAAGTGATTCCCCTGCCTCAGACTTTTGAGTAGCTGGGACTACAGGTGTGCGCCACCATGCCCAGCTAATTTTTGTATTTTTAGTAGAGACAGGGTTTCACCATGTTGGCCAGGATGGTGTCGATCTCTTGACCTCGCAATCCACATGCCTCGGCCTCCCAAAGTGCTGGGATTACGGGCATGAGCCACGGCGCTTGGCCGCTTTTTTTTTTTTTTTTTTTAATTTTTGGCCAATTGGTATTTGACTCTAAGCTTCCTTTGTGATTCTCTGTCGATATGTTGTTCTTACTCTGCACCTCTGCACGGAATTCTGTCTTTTTTCTTTTTCCTCTTAAATAACCTGGGAAAAATTCACTATCATGCCTAGCCAGATTCTAGAACTATCCTGTCTCCCTTCACTCCTGGTAGGAGGGGCATTTGTGAGTCTGGGTGATGGAAACATTGAGAAACCTAGTATCCCAAATAGGTAGAAGCAGGCTGTGTGTTTCCCCAATGACATCACCCACCTGTTTCCCTCACTAAGTGGCTCTGCAGGCTGAAGTGCTTGTAAACATTCTTGCGTATAAAGTACCCTGACCCTAACGGGGCAGCCTGTGTTTACAGAACAAGAGGAATGTCCAGTGATCTGTTTCAACCTGGTTACTTGTAACCACCTAGCCTATGTAATTATTAAAAACATTAAAGATTATTCACAGAATGAAATAGGACTTATTTTGCAGAATTAAAATAGCAGGAAGAGCGGAAGAAAGTTGTATATTCAGACATGAATACTTCTCATACCCATGAAATGGTCAGATAACACTAATGAAAAAGAGGAGAAAAAATATATATAGAGAACCAAAAAATATTAGACAAACATGAACACTGAATACCTACTACATGCCAGGCACTGTGCTGGACACTTTTATGTTTATTAATGAGGGACCTGCTATTTATTGAATTCTTACCATGTTCCAGGCAGTAAAACAGATGTATATTGTGTATTTTGTCATCCGTCCTTTCGAAAATAAGAAAATTCCTTGCTATTAGGCAGCAAGATGCCAGATGGCCTAGTCCTTAGCTCTTCAGCCAGATTGCCTGGGTTTAAATCCTAATTAGGCTGTTCCTTAAATATGTAGTCATGGGAAAGTTACTTAATCTTTCTGTGCCTAAATTTCCTTTTTCTGCAATATGGGGATAATAATACTATTATTATTATCATGAGGGTTTCATGAAGCTTAAAGGAAATAATCCATGAAAAGCACTCTGAACATCAACCAACATGTAATAAGTGCCCAGTAATATTAGCTGTCTTTATAAAACTACTTAAGAAATGAATTATCTGTGTCTTTGCAAAGATATTTGATATAATTTCCAAAATTTACCTTTTATGGTAAAAAATATCCAAAGCTGACCTCAGATTACAGTGGTTATAAATATTAATATGTACTACCTGTAAAACTAGAGAAAAGTGGATAAGAGTGTCAAATTCCATAACTGCATATATACATTATGAAAACAGTACTGAACTCAATCTAAATATTGAAAGTAGAGTGAGGTGCAACATAATTTTATCTCTGGCAGAAAAATGTTGAGGTTTCAAGCTATGAGAAGATTTTGAAACATGACTCTTTTTTCTGGCAACACTTAAGAGTTGATGCTTAAACCTCACTTTATTGTATAGAATACATAATCTTCTCTTTTGGGACTCGTATAAATTGCAGCAATTGAAAAACAAAAGTGTGCACCAACCTGCCCCTCACTATCTTTTTATCAAGCATAACAGTATATTGCCAGCAATGTTCATAGAATTGAGTGCAGGTGTTTCTAAATATAAACAAAATAAGGAATATATTAAATTCACATTTCTAGTTTTTTATTTCCTCCTCAGCCTTCCTAGAATGGCTATAGGTAGTGTTTAAAGTTCTGGAAGTGTGATAGATTCTTACCAAATCAATGTTCTGTTAGCATTCTCCAAGTAACAAGTTAAATTGGATTTGAACAGTACTGATAGTTTATCATGTTCTGTTAGGATAGATGAAAACAAACCAAATGCCAGTATTTTGGGTGAGTCACTTTATTTGCTCAAAGACGCAAATGAATGAACTTCTGGTAGTTTAGTTAACCCTGGAGCTCCCCCTCTTGACAAATAGAAAAAACAAAAAAATAAATCAGATAGTATTAGCTTGAAAACGGATTTCTTTTACCCAGATAAAAAATATGCCACTAAGGTACATACAATGAAGTTTTCTTGAAGGAACTAATGATATTTTGGATTTCTCCTAATTTTGTGCATGTCTGCACTTGTGTGTGTCCTTGTGTATGTTTTAATGGGTTAAAAAAAAAAGCGAGCTACCAAAATACCAATAGATGTCAGTGTTTGTCGCTTTAGAAAAAGTGAGGTGTTAGAAAAAAAGAAGAAATGGACAGCTTTATTTATTTTTGGTTTTACTAAACATAAAGCTGGCTACTTTTCAACAATTGACTAATAATTCACTGTATATAACCCTGTTTACAAAAGTACATTTTATTAAGGAAAATATTCCATGTTCTCATCTTTCTTCTAAATTTTTTTAAAAAAGCCTCTGCAGTAAATTCCCAAAAGAATTCAGAATGTAGGCAGAAAATATGTTAATTTTTTAAAATTAGGAAACAAAATTATTTGAGAATGTCGTTAACACATTAGATTTCTTTTGCATTTTTAAACTAGAAATTAGATATGCACTTTCTTATGTTGCCCTGATTATGACTGATAAAGTGCATTTTTCAGTCCAAGTCAAGTGAGATCTGTGGAGTTCTGCCTCTACATAAGAGCAGAGATGATCAGAATTCTCTTCATTCTTCCTATGCCCCATGTCACCTTTTTCTGGCCTCCAGAGGGTGCTCCAGGAGCATCACACTGCTATTCCCCAAAGACTGCTTTTTTCTTCTCTCTCTCTCTCTTTTTTTTTTTAAGTTACTGCAGTATTCTGGGCAATCTACTGGAAGAACAGAGTCCCGATTCCATACATGTTAGCTGCCTCAACTGGAGTTTGTTTTCCAGCTGGACCACATAGCCCTAATTCATTAAGTATTCTAAATTAGAATATTTTAAAACATTATTCTGATGATGTTGATGCAGTGGTTAGCTTGCAAGGGGACATCTGTCAGATTAATTCCCTCTAGGAATTTCCCCCAAGAGAATCAAGCATCTTTAAATACCTTCCAATCACGCCTTACAACAGCTCCCTCCCACTGAAGTGCACATGGTACCCACAAAGAGATTTAGTGCTATTTAAGAGTTTCACTCTGGCATTGGAAAACTATAGGTGAAAGCATCAAAGTTGGACAACAGATCTTTACTAACACATTTGTTTTCATCTCTTCCTATCTCTCTGTTTCCTCAACCCAGGGGCAACAAATGTTTAGGAGCCCCACTTTGATTGAGTGCACATTTTTGAACACAGGTTTGAGTGACTAATTCTTGTGGATCATGGGCTGATTTTATTTATGTACTTTTTTTGAGACGGAGTCTCACTGTGTCACCCAGGCTGGAGTGCAGTGGTGCCATCTCGACTCACTGCAAGCTCCGCCTCCCGGGTTCACGCCATTCTCCTGCCTCAGCCTCCCGAGTAGCTGGGACTACAGGCGCCCACCACCACGCCCGGCTGATTTTTTGTATTTCTAGTAGAGACGGGGTTTCACCGTGTTAGCCAGGATGGTCTCCATCTCCTGACCTCGTGATCCGCCCGCCTTGGCCTCCCAAAGTGCTGGGATTACAGGCGTGAGCCACCGCGCCCGGCGGGGCTGATATTTTAATATGGTCACACAGGCCTTGTTATTTATGGTTTACCTGCTTATGTTAATTCCACCCTGTACTTGTTATCTTTGACATGAGTTACTCTCAGGATATTACTCCCCTTCCCTTTTTAAAGTGTAATATTGTTCCCATTGTTTCTTGCTCCAAGAAATCTGTCGTTGATGGGAATAGTCTTTGACTGCCACAGTGCCCCGAACCTTTCATTCCACAGCTTTGATGGGCAGGGAGCTGCCTTCTCTGGGCAGCTGTGGAGTTTTACTTTCAATGATATGAGAGTCACAGAATGTTTTATTAGATTGAATCATATGAAATTGTCAGTTTTGTAGGTCATACCTGGCTGAATATTGTCCATGTCATACAGTTTAATATTTGGACTTTGAAAAAGTAATTTGACTTTACTTATTCTTTACATATTCTTTAAGTAATAATGACAACTTTGAAAAAGAATTATGTACGTTTTTGATAATTAAATAGGATTGAAGTAATACATAAAAGAAATCTGAGCTAGGGATAATTGAAGCAGTAACATTTTTTACAACCAATAAATCAGCTAAAATCATATCCATATTAAATGAATTTAGCATAAAATTAGAATGACAGAGCAACTAGCATTTTCCCTTGGTGAGAAAAGTAGTAAGTTTCCACCATAAAATATGACTCATTTTTATTTGACCTATTAGCAGATAGTTGTTATTGCACCTTATCTTAACCACCATTATTTCTACAGAGAGATTACAGAGCAATGAGTAGGAAATATGGAAGATTGCTGAATAATCCTGGCTTTAGTTATGGAGTAATATGAAAAAAGGAAAAGAAAACCTTTTGTTCACTTTCACAGTACTACATCAATGCAAGCTTTTTAGTAGTTTTAATGTATGAATTTTATCATCAGGTGAAAATGCATCTCATTATTAGATGGCCTATTTTATAAATAAAGTTCAAATTTCGATATAGCCAGTTTTTAAAACTGTATATGTTTATAACTCATCCCTTTGTTGCATATAATCTCCCAATTTTAGAGACTTACATTGCATTTTTAAAGGATAGCACAGTCTCTTTAGCAATCCCACAGGGAATCTAAAACCAGCCTTTACAAGGAGATGTCAAAATTCCAATTTGCAGTGATATTTTTGTCAAAACAAGTAACGTGTGTTATTACGTATAGTAAGTTAACACAATTTTTCATTTGTGTATCAAGTAGGCATTGGTTTTTGTTTTTTGGTTTTTGGTTTTTTTTGAGACTAAGTCTTGCTCTGTCACCCAGGCTGGAGTGCAGTGGTGCGATCTCAGCTCACTGCAAGCTCCCCCCACTGGGTTCATGCCATTCTCCTGCCTCAGCCTCCCAAGTAGCTGAGACTACAGGCGCCTGCCACCACACCCAGCTAATTTTTTTCGTATTTTTAGTAGAGACGGTGTTTCACTGTGTTAGCCAGGATGGTCTCGATCTCCTGACCTTGTGATTAACCCACCTCGGCCTCCCAAAGTGCTGGGATTACAGGCATGAGCCACTGCGCCCAGCAAGTAGGCATTGTTTTTGTGTGTACGTATCAAATCTGTTTTTATATCTTTTGGTATTTTATCTCTTTTCTGCCAACAGGGTGAAATGGAAGTACAGTATTGGGATTATGCACAACATTTTATTGTTTAAAATTATAGTATTCCTTTTCCATTCTGTTGTTTCAGTTGTTTAAAAATAAGTAACAAAAGAGAGGGGTCTGTCTTGAAGCCCATGAGATGGTAGATCTTTAGAAACAGTTATAATAGCAGTCATATTGAAACTGATTGTCATCTATTTCTGGGAAAAATATTGAAGGCTGGTATATTGTCCCCAGAAGGATTAGATGAAATACAGAAAATAGATTATGATTATAATTTTTTTTAGTGAGGTCACCTTGCTGTAGAGTTGGAACCTTCCCGGGGGATTGCTCATGCATTATCCATTTTGGGAAAGAGTAATACTTACAGGCATTATGGAAATGAGCGGGTAGGTTTGTCAAGAGGAAACCAATAATTTGAATACTGAGTTGAATGGAAAATGAAATACATGATTTTCCATATATTAAATTGAATAGAAATGGGAGACTTATGTCTTGAGGGTTTTTCTTTTCTTTTTTTGAAACATGTTGATGATATTGTGTGTTCCCAAGTGCCCTCAACCTGACAGGAAGGAGAAATGTCAATAGAAATAGTTACTTATTATATTTTGATATTTAGAAAGGAACAGTGGAGTTTTAAATGTTGTGCATATCATTTATGCCCCATCCAAAAGGATAGCGATCCACTTAAAAGAAGGCAGAAAAGACAAGGACCGCTATCGTTCTCCAGGAATCAACAGAAGCTAAGGGAGAGCGTAGAGTATAGTCCCTGTGGCCTCTACGGAGTCATCGCCTTCTCAGACTGAATCCACACAAGGCCGCCTTGACTGAAAGAGCCTCTACATTGGACTGTGCATGGCGTGGGGAAATGTGATTACTTGCAATATGCTACTGATTACAGAATAAATATTATGCATTCGGTTTTCACTAAACTTAAAAAGCCCAGTGAAAACCCCACTTCTGCATGTGGTGAATGTGGTTATGCTGTGTCAGGTGAAGACATGTTTCAGTGCCTTCGTTTACTTTCCATTAAGATATGCTGATTTCCTTCTCCCTTATGAAATAGAAAAGGAAGGACATAACCATCCTGCTGCTCTGCCCTGAGTGCACCAGTATAGGAATAAAACTCTGTAAACAGAGGGTGGTGGCAACCATCTAACAGGGACCTGCATTTGGACCTGTGTGTTTGGGAGAGCCGCAAAGTGGCTGTGCCTCTGATATCACAGGACTCTATGAAAGAGGCAACCAAAGAAGACCTGAGGCTCTTCTTGTCATTTTAGATATGTGATTTCATAAAGTTACTCTTGACCTTAATGCAGATGGCCATTTGGGATTTGTGTCTGTGCATTTCATCCACAGCTGGATGGCATAGTTGCTGAGTAATCCTGTTGCTCTGGAGCAATGTAAGTTACAGCTGTGGCCAGGCACGTGGCTCATGCCTGTAATCCCAACACTTTGGGAAGCCAAAGTGGGAGATCTCTTGAACTCAGGGATTCAAGACCAGCCTGGGCAACACAGGAGTCCTCATCTCTACTAAAAATCCAAAAAGTTAGCCGGGCAAGGTGGCATGTGCCTGTGGTCCAGCTGTTAAGGAGGGTGAGATGGGAGGATCACTTGAGCCCAGGAGGTTGAGGCTGTGGTGGGCAATTATGATACACCACTGCACTCCAGTCTAGGTGACAGTGTAAGACTTGTCTCAGCGAAAAAAAAAAAAAAAAAAAAAGTTAACAACCATATCAAAAGAACAATTTATTCACCCCCCAAATTGTCTTGGAATTCTCACATTAATTTACAGAGAGAAATAACCCTTTGGAAAATTCACAATGTTTTGCTAGTATTAGTATGTCATCTCACTCTAAAATGTAAAAAAAAAAAAAAAAAATCACTACTCAGACCTTATAAGAATCTGGTTTTTGATTATGAATACAGCAATTCTTTTTTGAAAACTCCCTTGACAAATTAAGCCAATGGTGGACATTCTAATAATTGTCATATTTTATGGTACATTTGTAACTAAAAGCCTCTTCTTTGGGTAATGACTGATAGTTTCATGGAAGAAGTCATTCTTTTTCTGGTCACTCTAGAAAATAAGAAATGGGAAATGATTGTATGTGATATACATATGCATGGTTCTAAGTACCAAATTTGCAGATTGCCTGAAAATGTTCTTATGTACTTTTTATGGATACAGGCTTTCTTTTCAATTAGATTCAAAAAGTATCAATACATTATTATACTTTAAATTGACTAGAGCTACCTTTTAAATGGTCAGATAGGTTTTCTTTTTAAAGAATTACTTTTGTGATTACTAGCCACCTGAAATGGTGTTTCAAGGCCATGCATGGTGCCTCATACTTGTATTCCCAGCACTTTGAGGGGCTGAGGTGGGAGCATCGCTTGAGCTCGAGTTCAAGACCAGCCTGGGCAACATGGCAAAAATCTGTCTCTACAAAAAAATACAAAAAAAAAAAAGAAAGAAAAAGAAAAACCATTAGCCAGGCATGGTGGGATGCACCTGTAGTCCCATCTACTTGGGAGGCTGAGGCAGAAGGATCACTTGAGCTCTCAGAGGTTGCAGTGAGCTGGAATCGTGACACCACACTCCAGGCTGGGTGACAGAGTGAGACCCTGTGTCAAAATAAAATAAAATAAGATATAAATGAAATAGTATTTTCAAGACTTGGTATAAATGCATAGCTGTTAAGCTGTAAGGACATCAATAAATGTTCATAAATAGGTAACTTTCTACATTCTATCACCTTATTTTCTATAATACAGAAAATATACTTTAAATTATTTTATTTATCTGAGTCCTTTTATTCTTTTTGCTTTTTTTTTTGTTTGCAAGACCAAAGTCAGAGCAATTTCAATTCTATTTTGAGCATTTTATTTTGGCACTCATGTATTTTAATTAAAAAAAATAAATAAACCATTGTCCTCAGCCAGAAGAATTTTCTGCTGAGTGGTCATAAATGCAGAGTTTAGCATTTCACATCTCTAGAATGTAAAAGCCACAAAGTCATATCTGTCTTTTATGTTGTCATATCACCAGGTGCCATCATGGTGCTGAGAACATAGTCTTTGTTTTTAAGAATTTATTCAGTAACTGACTGAATGAGGAAGTATGGCTAGTTTGCTTAAGACATTGAGTTGTAGGAGTTGATGGGTAGCAGTTTAGTTATTATGCTACTGTCAGTTAATAAGAAAGTATGAGTGCAATTCAGCAGTATCAGTGATGCATGGATTTGTTCCTAAATTGTTATTTTTGTGGTTGAAATTTGCACTGTTTATTTTGAAGCTCTCTGTGTAAGTCATAATCAGTGCTTAATTATTCAGACTAATGAATTGGAATTAGAGGTTTGCTCAGTCCACAATTCTTGCTACCATTAAAATATTTTGTTACATTTGTTTTTGAGTACATAGAAGCAACTAAGAAATGGATTAAGATGCTGCAGTTAATCTTTGTAAATTACTATGGCCATTGCCTGGCACCTAATGTTTGCTATGTTAAGAGTTTGTTATATGAATAAACGACCGCTGTTCCTGGTAGGTAATGAAAGTAATCTTAAACAATATTAGTACTGCCTAAAAAGTAAGGTCTTAAATATAACTACAGTAGTCCTGAGAAAAATCATAGAGTGTTAGAACTGAAAAGGTTGTCTTAGAGGTCATCTGCTCGAATCTCATCTTTTTAGTTGAGGAAAACCACAAGGTACAAACAACAAGGGCATCAATCCTAGCACTAGAACCCAGATCTCCAGATTTCAGGGTAAGGATTTTAATTATTACCATGCTATACTTTCAGTCTCAAGATGGCACTATATATGAATTCAGCTTCACTTTTATAGTGCTTTGGGTGTTATTATGCTTCCAGATAAGAGAGATGTATTTCTGTGCCATTGAGGAATAGCTTAGAGTACCTATGATTCATAGGAATTTGAAGGCTGTAAATCAACCGAATCTTTATATCTTTTTGTTCCTTCTTGCAGTATCTTGTACCCAAGTAGCTTCAATAAATTTTGACTGACAAGATGACCATAAAATAAGTAGTCCTAATGTCATAACATGGAAAAGGAGGGTAATGGGTGTGTGTGTGAATGTGAATTAGTATAGTATAGTAATGAGCTGCCTCAGCGCTCTTAAACTTTTTTTAGCACCAATGCCTTTATGCAGGAAACTCTGAAAACAAGCAAGAGATCTTTGTGGGCTCTCTGTAAATTATGTGCATGCAAAAAAGCATCCTCAGTGCTTGTCCCTTGACAGCTGCTCTGAGACCACTGAGTCACTCGCTTGCATCTGTGAGCCACTGACCAGTCACTGATTGCAGTGACAGTTTATCACTAACAACCTGAATTATCTTTGACCCAGAGACCCAGGGGTCAAAGGCCTCCTAGTCCATTATTAAATTTCCAGGGCAGTAGTTCAGTTTGCATTAGGGGATTTGTTTATATTTATTTATTTAGGGTTTTTGGGGGGTGGGGGGTGGAGGAGCTTGGGGGAATGAGACCTGCAGTTATTTTCCCCACATTATAAGATTATTTAGTCCTTTATTTGTGGGATTTGGCATCCTAAAAGAAAGGAAGACTCAAAGTATTGTGGTTCTGGTCTGGGCCTCACATGGGTGTCCTAAAGATTTCTGGGACCCATTTATGGGAAGAATGCCACTCTACAGATTATAGCAGGGAGGAGCTTTGCCCTCAGGAAGACACAGATCCTTTGAGGGTGGTAGAGACTCCTAAAGTCTGCTGATTCATACCCAGCTGGCCCCATTAACAAGAGAATTAAAGAGTGGCTAGAAAGGGACTGAAGAGTTCACTGGGGGCCCATCCAAAAAGCTGGGGGTACAGACAACTGCTGATTCCCAGCCAGTCATGGATTTTATTTTGAGACAGGTCTCGTTTGGTCGCCCAGGCTGGAGTGCAATAGTGTGATCATAGCTCACTGTAGCCTGGGACTCCTGGGCTCTAGTGATCCTCCCACCTTAACCTCCCAAGTAGCTGGGACTACAGGCATATACCACCATGCTCGGTTATTTTTTTTTTAATTTTGTAGAGATGGGGTCTTGCTATGCTGCCCAAGCTGGTCTAGAACTTCTGGGCTCAAGGAGTCCTTCCACCTTGGCCTCCCAAAGTGCTGGGATTATAGGCATGAACCACTGTGCCTGGCTTGCCAGTGATGGATTCAAAGTCGCCTCTGGGTTGTAACCAGGAAGCATGCCTGGGCCAGACTGAGAGGGCTGAAGGATGACGGCATGGTTTCAGTGTGTGAGTGTGCATGTATGTACGTGTGTGTGAGAATGTGGGTAAGTGTGTGAGCCTGTAAAAGTGTATCATGAGTAGCTGTCTCTTGGGAGGAGAGGGAATCAGGAACCTTGGTCAAATAACACCATGTACTGGCATGGAAAGGCACTGTTCTGGGCAGCAGTCAAGAAGACAGAGGAGGACTAACTGTATATGATTTGGGCAATCATTTAAAGTATCTGGGATTTATTTCCTTGTCTAATAATTAGCAAGGTTGATGTAGATGAGGTATAACAACTTTAGGGGTAGAAGAAAGCTATGATTCAAAGTCGGCATTTTATTAGATCAGTGGTCTCTGATTTGGTGTGATGTGTTCCTGGTATGTTTTCGCTTAGAACAAGGTTGTTTAACCCATGGCCCATGGGCTTCATGCATCCTAGGACAGCTTTGAATGTGGCCCAACACAAATTTGTAAACTTTCTTAAAACATTATGAGCTTTTTTGTGATTATTTTTTCCAGTTCATCAGCTGTCATTAGTGTTAGTGTATTTTATATGTGGCCCAAGATAATTCTTCTTCCAATGTGGCCCAGGGAAGCCAAAATATTGGCTCACTTAGAGTCTTTAGTAGTGACTATGTTTTTAGAAAGCCTAAGGTATTTGAAGAATAATAGTCACATAAAGTCTAGGCAAATAGCAAATTTGTTTTATGTAGGAAACAGCTTATCTTCTATAGAATAACTTTTGATGGGTGAAATTGTAGTGTTAATTTATCTTAGTGAACACCTAGAAGATTTGTTTAGGTATGTGAATTGTTTAGTGAAAATGTAGAAGATGGTAAGTATATTTGGGAATTACTAGTGCAGAAGCCTTTTATTAAATTCTCAATAGAAACTGGGTACTGGTTATGAATTGTGATCTCTCAGATACCTTTAACTTAGTCGTCTCTCATGAGTATGTGATACAATTGAAGTTGTGGGATTTAACCTCTGCTGAGCAGCAGAAAGATATGAAGCAGTGGAAAATACAGGCTAAACAGAGCCTTTCAGAATAATTTTTCCTCAGTGGTTTATGTTCTTCACATTCAGTTTTTATTCTTCTCCATCCTTAACTTTCTATAGCTGATACTTCCATTTTGGATATAGGCTCTGTTTCATTTCCAGAGGTATCTCTTTCCCTAAACTCATCAAGTACTTTTTCAACCTTGTTGATCATCTTAACAGAAGAATCGTAACATTAAGTTGATTTATGACACCATATCTCTGTAGTAACTCTGAATTGTCATCAAGCTATTCATTGAAAGGATACCTCTTAAACTTTCTATTACTAAGATCCCCAAATGTATCTATTCTCCTCTCGATAAAATGAGTATTGTCTTAGACAAGCAGCAGACTGCTTTTTAAGTGAAGTGGATTAAGCTGCTGTGATCGTCCCTGTGAATGTGTATGATAAATCATTTTGATGGCCTTTTTAAATCAGAGTCACCGAGTCCCACACAGAGAAACAGAGAATGCTGTCTGTCATTATTACAATAATAATTAAGCGTTGGCTGATAGGATATAAAGTATAAATCAAAGATCTTAGAGGAAATAGATGAAAGAAAAGCTTTGTTTCTCAAAAACTTAATCTAAAAGAAGAAATATTGAGCAAGCATTGGGTGCTTCATGAATGGCCTAAAAATATATTTAAGTCTATCACCTGGAGGTTCGTTCATTTATTGCCAGGAAAGAATCAATCCCACTTTTTTTTCTCTTTCCCTGTGGCTCAACTCCAGGAAGGTGTTTTAATTGATTGGTGGGAAGATTTTAACACAGACAAAACTTATAAGCTAAGCATCATTATTTCTAGTACAGTGGCTTCACCACATTATAGGGTAATAAAGTTAAAAGCTGCCGATTGTTTCAGAATTATTTTCAGAAATTTACATCCTCTTTATTCCTATTACCTTGAGAAAGAGTTCAGAGAATGGGCTTAGTCAGCATGCAATTATGGTATTAGATAAAGCATACAGTTTGGTCTAAAACCAAGATGCAGCTAGTCTCATCAGGGTACTTTAATCAATCAAGGGTTGTTAAGAAGGTAGGAATGTCAGTCTAACTTCATTCCTTTGAAGGTGATCAGCCTTTCTTCTCTGGAGGCTTTGAAGATTTTGTCCTATGGCTGGGCGTGGTGGCTCACGCTTATAATCCCAGCACTTTGGGAGGCTGAGGCAGGAGGATTACTTGAGCTCAGGAGTTTGAAACCAGCCTGGGCAACATAGAAAAACACCATCTTCCTCTCCCCACTACCAAAAAAAAAAGTTAGCCAGTTATAATGGTGCACATGTGTAGTACCAGCTACTTGGGAGGCTGAGGTGGGAGGATTGCTGGAGCCCAGGAGTTTGAGGGTACAGTGAACCATGATCATATCACTGCACTGCAGCCAGGGTGACAGAGAAAGACCCAGTCTCAAAAAAAAATTGTTCTCCAACAAATCTTTTTTGAAGTTATGGCATTTAACCCTGCCCACCATTCCCATTCCCCTGTCAGTTTCACTATCATGCATTCCTTTTTCTTTATCCCACTCAGGACCATTGGGCTTGTCAAACATATAAATTGGCTTTCAGGAAAATTCTTCTCCATATCTCTTAAAAATTTCCTGTATCCCATTCTCTTCCCTCTTTTTGGAATTTTCTTTTTCTATAATTTAAAGATAGAGTCTTGCTGTTTTCTAGGCTGCTCTCAAACTCCTGACCTCAAGCGATCCTTCTACTTTGGCCTCCCAGTGTTGGGATTATAGGTGTGAACCATTATGCCCGGTCTAGAACTTTAACTAAAAGTACGTTGGACCTTCTTTCTCTGAACACTGGTTCTTTTTACTTCCCTCACGTTTCCCATCATTTTGTTTCACTCTCCCGCTGTATCTCTTTTGAAGTTATCTTCCCCTTCACTCATTGACTCTTCAGCTATGTGCGGTCTGCTGCCAAAACCATCCATGAAGTTTTTCATTTCAAGGACTGTTTTCCCCCCTAAACCTAGCAGTTTTATTTGGTGCCTTTTCAAACCTTCTATGTTGTATTTTATATTTTCAAGGTCCCTGTAGATATTTTTCAGGTTGTTATTTATTTCTTTTAGCAGAGTAAGCCTAGTTGTTTCATAATTTCTGTGTGGTAATTTCAGTTTGTGTTGGTTCTCACTCTCTATGCCTTGGTTCCTTCTGTGCTTGATGGTTGGTCTCTGACCCTGTGTTGGCCATTGCTCTGTAAAAATTATCTGTGTCATTCCTCAAGGCATGGGATAGAAGCACATTCCTGCCGAGAAGGTAAGTGTTACTGCTGGGTACTTGGAAACTTACCGAGTTCGTGGCTTGAGGTTCTGTGGCCTACCAGCCTGTGCACACCTAGGCATGTAGAAACCTGTCGGTAGACTCAGCTTTTCCCTCTGGCTGAACTCAGGATCAAGACAATGTGTCTGGCCGGACACGGTGGCTCATGCCTGTAATCCCAGCACTTTGGGAGGCCAAGGAGACGGGTGGATCACCTGAGGTCAGGAGTTCGTGACCAGCCTGACCAACATGGCGAAACCCCATCTCTACTAAAAATACAAAAATTAGCCGGGCCTGGTGGTGGGTGCCAATAATCCCAGCTACTTGGGAGGCTGAGGCAAGAGAATTGCTTGAACCTGGGAGGGGGAGGTTGCAGTGAGCCGAGATCACACCACTTCACTCCAGCCACAGAACATCTCAAAAAAAAAAAAAAAAAGACAGCATGTCTTTAGTTCTCTGGGGCTAAATGGGTATGTTTAGATTTGGTGTAGCTTTTTTGGGGTTCTTTACTCCTTTTGGGGTCCCAGCTTAATGTGAAGAGGGTCTACTCTAAGACTCCCCACTTCAGGAAGATCCTGGAGCCTCTATCCCTTTCTCCAGGATGAGCAAATGCACTTGAAGAAAAAGTAGTTGCTTTGTCCAGGTATTTTGCGTCTATCTCTAAGGTTTGAGATTTGCCTTAGAATTTGTCCAAAAAATGATCTTTTTTGTCAAATTCTTTTAAGGTGATGTTTATTATATTTCATTCAGCACTTTTAATTGTTTCCAGCCAGGAGGTTCTTGTGAGAAACTTACCTTCCAGGAATGGAAGAGGAATCATTAGTCATTAAGGAGCTAAAAATGTTAGGAAAATATTAATGCTTCAGAAACAATTTGTTGATCTGAAGAGTACCTAAGTTAGGGATTTTCAGAAAGTAGCATTTTGTTTTGTTTTGTTTTGTTTTGTTTGAGACATGGTCTTGCTCTGTGGCCCAGGCTGAAATGCAGTGGCGCGATCTCAGCTCACTACAACCTCCACAAACGATTCTGTTGCCTCAGCCTCCTGAGTAGCTGGGATTATAAGCAGGCACCACCACACCCGGCTAATTTTTGTATTTTTCGTAGAGACGGGGTTTCACCATATTGGCCAGGCTGGTCTTGAACTCCTGGCCTCAAGTGCCCACCTCGGCCTCCCAAAGTGCTGGGATTACAGGCATGAGCCACTGCACCTGGCCAGTAGCATTCTTTGGATGAATTGACTCTGGTTTTGTTAGCCTTCAGAATCTAAGGAAGTTTATATCTGGTCAATTTTGAGAAAGAAGATCTCTAAGAAATGCCTCAAGTGGGGAAGGGATGGACTTTATAAACCAAAATGTCAATGTGTTAATCCTAAATATCTCAATGAAATGGGGCAAAATATGGCTAAGAAAAATTTGACAAGGTGTAAATCTCACTGAATGCAGTTGCTGTGGTTGCTACCAAGTTTACAAGAGAAGAAACCAGGTTTTGCCAATGCATCAAAAATTAGATTAAAAAAGAAATTTCTCTGGCCTAGTCTGATGCTTAGCCTTCAAGAGTAAAATGATGTGTTGTTAGATGACTTGACCAAAGTCCCATAGCCAAGGCAGGGAGAGTGTTGCAGCCTGGTGGTCCATTATCTGATGCCACTGGATCTATGTAGATGAGTTTGGAACTTCACTTTCTGCCTTGTCTGGGACGTAAAAACTTTGGGTGCCCCTCACTTCTTTTTTATATAAACTGTTGTGTTTTATTGCCCTGGCACTCTTAAGTTGCTGTTTCACCCTAGCAGTGCCTGCTTCAAGCCATCACCAATGAAAGTGCCTTTGAAGTGTCTTAAGGCGTGTGCATTGCCTAGACAAATAGTTGGCAGAAGAGGTCAACACAAGCGTCTTTGCTTTGGAGTGTCAATTGAAGAAATTGTTTTTCCACTTGAATTGGCAGTGTGTGCTCTTACTGCTGTTAGAGTTCTGGGCAGAGAAGTAGATGTGATAATTATGAAGGGAGAAGGGGGAAGAACAGCTGCAGAATGCAGGGAAGTGACTGGACTCCAGTAATCATATTTGGCAGGTCAAGGGTGAGATTTAGCCTGATGGGATTTGGACCATTCCCTGGGCTAGAAAGTAGTGTTAAAATCAACTCCAGGTGTTTCCGTTATTCTTAAGGCCTAAGTATTATTAAAGCAGAAAATAATATGGTTAGGATATGAATGGGAGGGGATTGGTCATTCGCTGCTTGGGAATCACTTATTTGCAATAGAGCTCATTCTCTCTTGACAGTTGCTCCTACATGTCTAAAATACACCATAAATCTCGAAGTGCTCGTTTCAATATTGAAGTTTCCTCCAAGTGAGCTGTTATCACTTTTGTCTTCAAGAGAATGCTAACTCACTGAATCTCTTTGAGCTTTTTATGCTTTACACTGTGGATTTTGGAGTTTGCTTTGGTTTTTCCACTAGTTCTTTAAGTTAAATTTAGGTAAAGAAATTTAAAATCATCAGGCTTATTCTTAAAAACTCAAGTATTATCAAATGATGGATGATAGAGATATGCTTTGGGAATATATCCAAGTACTTCAAATGATAGAAGTTAGAACACCAGGAGACATTTAGTAAGAGATTCTTCTGCTGGGTGAAATCAACATCAACATCACCTGGAAACTCGTGGGTAGTGCAAATCCCCTGGCCTCACCCCAGAGCTCCTGGAATGAAGCTGTCCGGGATAGGGCCCGGCATCCTGTGTTTTAATAAGCTGTTTGTGGGATTCTAATGTTCGCCAAAGTTTTAGGATCATGCCTGCAGAGAATCCTGCTCACTATGAAAGTTTGCATGCCTGAGTAAGTCAAAAGAGATCTTTGAAAATAGTATCTAGGTTTGAGAGACTTGCTGTGATTGTATAATTTTAGCAAATGTGTCAAAACAAATTTTTACTTGCAGGCAATATCTTGTTAGTACAGAGAAATAAAACAAACAAACAAAGATTATAAATAAGAACAAAAGTAATTCATCCAAGAGCCATGTGAAAATGAAAATCCTTGAAATGGAAAAAAAAAAAAAAGTTTTTCAGACTACCCTGTGGAAGTAGTAAGTTACATTGAAAGGCCGAAATCAGCCAAGATCATTTTTTGTTGTTTTGTTTTTTGTTTTTTGAGACAGCATCTCGCTCTGTCACTCAGGCTGGAGTGCAGTGGTACGATTTTGACTCATTGCAACCTCTGCCTCCCAAATTCAAGCAATTCTCCTGCCTCAGGCTCCCAAGTAGCTAAGATTACAGGCGCACACCACCACACCTGGCTAATTTTTGAATTTTTTGCAGAGAGGGGTTTTGCCATGTTGGCCAGGCTGGTCTTGAGCTCTTGACTTCAACTGATCCGCCCACCTTGGCCTCCCAAAGTGCTGGGATTACAGGCATGAGCCACCGTGCCTGGCCAGGCCAAGATGATTCTTGAAGTGTGTGTGCTGTGCGTACTGTGTGTGCATGTATACGTACATTTCTGATGGTTCACTTTAGTGATACTGTAGTTCAGTTTATCTGGGATTGCCTCAGTAGAAAGCTATACTCTTACTTGTTTAACTTTCTGTCTATTTTCTCCTTTAAAAAAGAAAAGATTATATAGTAGACTTATACTTGGTATCTGTCTGAAAAAAATTATATGAAAACTGTCTTTATTGCCAGGGAAGCACTTGTACTTTCTTTTCTCATTTATTCTTTTCTGCACTTTAATATTACAGTTTATTTGCTTCTGGCTTTCTTTCATAATTTATCAGAAATACAGGCTTGTATAGAAATCACCATTTTTTAAATAAAATTTTATTTTTATTAAATTATTGTGAGCTCATTGTTTTTTAAAACAATCATACACAAGTAAAACATTTACCTTGGGGGTGGGCATCAGTTCCTTTTCCCATCCGTTTTCATCTCTAGTTTTCTTTCCTAAAAACAAGCCCTCTCAACAATTCTAGTTAATTCTTTTTCTGATAGTTATCTTTTTTTTTTTTTTTTTTTTGAGATGGAGTCTTGCTCTGTCTCCCAGGCTGGAGTGCAGTGGCGCGATCTTGGCTCACTGCAACCTCTGCCTCCTGGGTTCAACCAGTTCTCCTGCCTCAGCCTCCTGAGTAGCTGGGATTACAGGCACACACCATCACGCCTGGCTAATTTTTGTATTTTTAGTAGAGACGGGATTTTTACCATGTTGGCCAGGCTGGTCTCGGACTCCTGACCTCAGGTGATCCGCCCACCTTGGCCTCCCAAAGTGCTGGGATTACAGGCGTGAGCCACTGCTCCTGGCCTCTGATATTTATCTTTATATTTTCTATATAACATGCATGTTCTGCTGTTTCTTTTTTAAAAACCTTTTATTTTAGGTCTTATAGGAAGCTTGTGCATTCATTTATTCAACACATAATTATTAAGTACCTAATACATTCTGTACATTGTGCTAGGTTCTGGAAATAAACAGAGAATAGAACAGACATGATTCTTATCCATGGAGAGCTTATATTCTAAAGATGCTAGGAAGTACTTTTAAATAAAACTCTGACTTATATATAAAAACTTCAGAAAAGAAAGGGCCTGCTTTTAAATATTTTTTTTGGTGTTGTCCACTACTTGAACTTCATCAAGTTCATCAGAAAAAATTTAAATGGTATTTCTAAATAAGTGGTTTGCTCCACTCTATCATTAAGCTTGTTAAGATGAATAAAAATCAGAATATTTTCAAATGTATGTAAATACATACATTCAGTGTATTTCCCAGCTTCAGAAAGTCCTAATTTCTGAAAGTCCTTGTTATCAACTCTTGTTTTGAAAGGACCCTTTCTTTAAGATAAAGTGTCACATACATTATTTTGTATTGATACAAATTATTGATGATTATGGATATTTTAGGTAATCAATACTAAGATAATTATGTTAATATGAATTATGATTATAGGGTATTGGTAACAGACAGGAGTGTAGGTGAATGATATGAATTTGCACTGAGTTTGTCATGCCCAGAAAGTTAATCTGAGCCAAATTTCTAAAAAGTGCCTTCCTTATTCCATATTATGTATGAAAGAAGAGCATAGTTTATGTGTGAATATATGGGCAACATGTATATAGATGTCCACATGAACTGCGCCTGGTTAGGTCCTAGAAAAGCCTATGGTGGGAAAGGTGGGTTAAGAGGATTGAAGTTAGGAGTGAACTTGTTATAGTCTTCATAAATATTTTTATAGCCAGTAACATAAAACAATAAAGACAGTGCTCCAAATTAAAGATACAGCAATGACATGACATCTACATTTGAAACTAGTAATAATGGATGCCGGGCCCTATTACTAATTTCTGCTTAGCATTCCTTACTCACCAGAAATGTTTTAGGATCTTAGTTCCTTTGCAGCTTGGGATGCTTGTAAATTCACTTGTTCTTTTATAAATAATGTGCATACAAGGAGATTTTCAACAGCATTTTCTTATCAAAGGTCTGGGCCTATAGTCAAATAGTCAATGCCATCGTGGTTTTACAGCACCCATGAGGAGGTGTTGACGTTCAGGTTTTAGCTTCAGGATTTTGACTTGTGTCTTCTTCCTGCTTGGGTCCTGTCTCTTCCCACCTCCCCAGCTCAGCCTTCATGTACGAATTTTAGATTCTTTTGCCTTCGTATCAGCCAGCAGAAGCTAGTTTTTTGTTTTGTTTTGTTTTTTTCAAGGCCTAGGTTTCCTTTTACTCACATCTTTCTTCAAGCTTTATTTGCAAACACCTCCATTCCTCTTGCCATTACTTTTGCTTCATGTCTATTTCAAAACTCTGTTTCATCTTTTTCTTGTTACTACCAATAGGAGTAAATTGAGTGACTTGCAATTAAGGTACAACAGAAGCAGAATTTTCAAAGTTACTCAAAAGGAATAGGTAGAAAAATTCCCATGGTAAGACAACTCAGTAAATAATTACATACAGGCAGTGACCATATATGCTCATTTTAAGTTACAAATATACACACATGGCCATAAAAATAGTCAGAGACTGAGCTGGAACTCAATCCGTAAACTGATTCCAAACCCCATGTAATTTTTATACACAGTTTATTGCTAGCTTTTTGTCCTTTTATGTTCACTTTTATGTCCTATCTTCTCTATATTCCTAAGTTGCCCACATTTTAAAATCTGCCTGTCTTCTGACTTTTTACCACAAGTGTTTTTTTCTCATCCACTTTTATTATTCTCATTTCCTGTTTTCAAAGAAACAATTGCAACACATTTTAGAAATGCTTACGACATAAGTGGCACACTCCTGAAGTCTTTCCAAAATCTATTTTCCTCCATGTCTTAATTTTTGAAATTTATATACTTAGCTTCTTTCTGCTAATTCCCACAGAAAAACTCAGCACAATTTTATAAGCAATGTGAATGATCTTAGAGCCCTCATAGGAATAAATTGCACAGAATGTTATCAATATATCATAAGTGAGGTACAGGATTAATTTTCTAAGATATCATTTAAAATTTCTTCTATTGTTACTATACACATTTGATTTATTAAGCCAAAACTTCATTCCTCTAAGAATAATAATCCCGTCACAGTTCTAATCCTAGCATAGTGTCGTCTTAACTGCAATGTACTATCCTAACTTTCAATTACATCTTATTTCAGCTTTCTTTATTATACAGTAGCTAAAAATCATTGATAGTTATAAAGACCATAATGCCATAACCTCTCAAATTTAAACAGGATAGAATATTTTATGTTACTAATACAGCAACAGAGGCATTTTCCTCTGTTGGGTAGATGCAATTATTCAGATTCCAAGTGGTTGAGACATTCCATAATTATGTCTCTAATTTTACATTCTACAGGCCTCATTTCCTCTGTCTGATAACTGTCCTCACCCAAGGGTTTCTACAAAGTCACAGTTTGGGTGAATCTGTCATCTCATTTTTTCAAAGAAGGAAATCATCATCAAATAAAATTATACACACCAAATAAATAAATATCAAATAATATATTAATCTACAAATTTGCGACATATTTATTTTCTGACTTTGAGGTTAATTTCGCCACCATTTTTCCTAATCTGTATATCCTATCCCCACTTGCAAACAATGTTTTGCCTGAACCGAGTAATGGCAACATTTATCGTAAGTATATCTTAGCTTCTTCTCCTTATCTGAATGGGGTTCTAGTTCCCTTAGCATTCTCAGATAACATTCTGAATATTCTACTCTGTATATCCAGTTTGTTCATAGACCTCAAAATGCAGACCCTGCATGGATTATTCCCATTCTGCTGTCTGTCTTTATGAAACCTGCCAATACTTATTGCTAGATGAAATTCTACAGATGTTCCATGATGACTTATTGACTCGATAACAGGGATCTGCAAACATTTCTGTAGAGACCCAACTCTGCAGTTGTAGCACAAAAGTAGCCACAGACAATTTATGAGCAAATGAATGCAAGTGTGCTCCAATAAAACTTTATTTACAAAAACAGATGGTAGGCAGGATTTGGCTTATGAGCCGTATTTTGCTGACCTCTGCTCTATAATATTCCTTGAAGAGATACTATTATCCCAATATCCTGACATAAAATATATATCCTTACCATTTGCTGTAGCAATATTCAATTTTTCTTTACCTGGCGTTGCTTATGTTCTCCAGCCAGTTCTGTCTTTTCATTAGGAATCTGAGTTAGGATTTCTTAGAACTATGTATTTGGGTAAGTTTATCAAAGGCCTTTTTATTTTTATTTTTTATTTTATTATTATTATACTTTAAGTTTTAGGGTACATGTGCACAATGTGCAGGTTTGTTACATATGTATACATGTGCCGTGTTGGTGTGCTGCACCCATTAACTCGTCATTTAGCATTAGGTATATCTCCTAATGCTATCCCTCCCCGCTCCTCCCACCCCACAACAGTCCCCGGTATGTGAAATTCCCCTTCCTGTGCCCATGTGTTCTCATTGTTCAATTCCCACCTATGAGTGAGAACATGCAGTGTTTGGTTTTTTGTCCTTGCGATAGTTTGCTGAGAATGATGATTTCCAGCTTCATCCATGTCCCTACAAAGGACATGAACTCATCATTTTTTATGGCTGCATAGTATTCCATGGTGTGTATGTGCCACATTTTCTTAATCCAGTCTATCATTGTTGGACATTTGGGTTGGTGCCAAGTCTTTGCTATTGTGAATAGTGCTGCAATAAACATACATGTGCGTGTGTCTTTATAGCAGCATGACCTTTTAAAGATCTTAGGAGCATAATGCTGTAACCTCTCAAATTTAAACAGGATAGAAGATTTTATACATTACTAATCTGGTTGGGTAGATGCAATTATTCAAATTCCAAGTGGGTGAGACATTCCGTAATTATGTCTCTAATTTTACATTCTCCAGGCCTCATTTCCCTCTCTCATTTCATCAGGTCTTCAAAAGGCTTTTAATAAACTTACCCAAATATATAATTCTAAGAAATCTCAAATTCAGTGCTTGATCAGATCACTGTGTGGTATAGTTTGTATATTTTTCCCCACCCAAATCTCATGTTGAATTGTAATCTCCAATATTGGGGGTGGGGTCTGGTAGGAGGTGACTGGATCATGGGGGTGGATTTCTCATGAATGGTTTAGCACCATTCCTTGGTGCTGTCCTCATGATAATGACTAAGATCTGGTCATTTTAAAGTGTGTGGTCTCTCTCTCTTTCTCTTGCTTGCTCGCTCCTGCTTTCACCATGTGATGTCCCCCACTACTCCTTTGCCTTCCGTCATGATTGAAAGCTCCCTGAGGCTTCACCAGAAGCCTGGCAGATGCCAGCATCAGGCTTCTTGTAAAGCCTGTAGAACTGTGGGCCAGTTAAACCTCTTTTCTTGATAAATTACCCAGTCTCAGTTATTTTTTACAGCAATGCAAGAATGGCCTAACACAATGTGTAATCTTTGTTTCATAGAGTTTACACTACAGCTTTGCCACCTAACTCTCCTATGTTAGTACATAGAATTTCTGAACCTTCAATCCTGTTCAGAATGCCAGATTGTGAGAGAATCAGTTATGCTTCAACCTTGAAAGCATGGAGTTCTCTGCTTTCAGGGAACTCCAGATGACTCAGGAACAGAAGTAAACCCTAGACAAATCTAAAGCCAAACATAGAATAAAGCTGAACAGCAGATCATAAATCCCATTCCTTGCTCCCTAGGAATACCTCTTCTTCTAACTCCAGCTTCAGATTTTTCCCCAGGTTTCACAATTGACCTTTGTCTTAGTGTCCATACTGGTTGGACATACCCCTCTGGCATAGACATTCATGATAGGCATTGCCATTCTTCATGATATGTCATTCTTGGCTACTTCCTCTTTTTCTAGGATGCATGTTTTAGCTCACTTCATGTTCAATTGCCTTGTGGTTGGCCTACTTCTTCTTTCTCTTCTTTCCTACTTTTGTGGTTGCTTTATAGTTGACTAATTACTAGTTCATCGGCTCTGCTTATTGCCTAATACTATAAAAGTTCCCTTCCTGGAAGGGTTGGGGATGGGAAAGTGGGGGTGGGTGGTAGTAAAATTAACTAAACTTTGTAGTGGGCTGGAGATAGGGCATGAGTAAAGGAAAAGTTGTATTTTAGGACTGCTCAACTGCATGGATATTTATACTTTTTAAGACAAGCAACATTAACAAAGTCTGGATCTTAAAGTAGAGATCTACACTGGAGATAATAATATCCCTGTGGGCATTTAATGCTCATGGTTACCTAGAAAATAAGTATAAAGTAGGAAATTTTGAGAGAGTATTCTTGTAAAGATTAAATGGTGACACCAATGTAAGGCTTGAATGTTCTAATAAGGGTGAAACTTGGTCTGGGAATGGCAGTTCTTACACCTTTTATAATTCTTAACTGTTATTTTTTAGATCTGGTCATTTAAATCTGAGGACCCAGATATGCTAGTCTTATAGAAAGCACAAATTTAAAATGGGTTCTTTGTCTTACATAGCTCTAAAGTTTAGGAAAAAAGTATCTTCAAGCAACCTTCATAGGAATTCTCCAAAATAAATGTGTTCCTGATTAATATGTGTTTTATTTTTTAAAATTTATTTTTAATTAATTTTTAAATTGACAAAATTGTATGTATTTATGGTATACAACGTGATGTTTTGAAATATGCATACACTGTGGAATGGCTAAAGCAAGCTATTTAGCATACGTGTCATCATCTCACATACCATTTGTTTGTGGTGAGGACATTTAAAATCTACTCTCTTAGCAATTTTCAAATAATGTAATTATTTTAAATCAGTTGTTTAAATATTATGAAATTACTTTCAGCCCTTAGAGAATAGTCCATCTCACATGACACATAAAAATGGAAGGAGGTGTCTAGCTCAGGAGAAACTTTTTGGAATATTTGATTCTCTTTCCCTCATTTTCTCTTCTTTTTTTGTTTTTTAAAAAATAATTTTTAAACCCTGTATTGACTCCTGGCTATTATTTTGAATATGAGTGCTAACAATTTGAGCCTTGTAGATAACTATCCCAATGCCAATTGAACCATAATTTTCATTTGTCTCTTTCTACAAGATTCTGAATTTTTTCAGAAGTGAAATTAAGTCTCAATTCCCTATAATTTACCCAGGGCAATAAATCTTAAACATTTTTTCTTAAAAAAACAAAACAAAACATTTTTACTGGAAAGACTTTATGGGGTGGACATTAACTCTGTAAATGCCATATAACTTTTGGAGAGGGCTGCCCCTGGCACAGTGTAATATTTATGAGAAAGTTGTGCCCATACTAACCACCTGTATGAGAATCGCCTGCGATGCTTTTGTTTAAAAGGCAGATTCTTTTTTCCCTATATTTTTCTCTTTTTAAAAAAATAATTTCGACTTATATTTTATATTTATATTTATATTATTTTAAAAAATAATTTCAACTTATATTTTATATTCAACCTACGTATGCAAGTTTGTCATATGAGTGATATTGCGTGGTGCTGAGGTTTAGGGTACGAATGATCCCATCACCCAGATACTGAGCATAGTACCCAATAGTTGGTTTTTCAACTCCTGTTCCCTCCTTCCCTCCCTGCTCTAGTAGTCCCCAGTGTCTGTTTTTGCCATCTTTATGTCTATGAGTATTTGATGTTTAGCTCCTACTTATAAGTGAGAGCATGGAGTATTTGGTTTTCTGTTCCTGCATTAATTCGCTTAGGATAATGGCCTCCAGCTGCATCCCTGTTGCTACACAGGATGCAGTTTCATTCCTTTTTATGGCTACATGATATTCCACAGTGTGTATATACTACATTTCCTCAATGCAGTCCACCACTGATGGGCACCTAGGTTGATTCCATGTAAAAGAGCATATTGTTAGGCTTTTCTCTGAATTACTGAATCAGAGTCTTTCAATGGGTTCCATGAATATTTCATATTCATTTTAGTAAACTTGCTCAAGTGACTTATGTATACAGTTATAGGTTTGGGAACCTCTGGCCTGGGGAAGTTGTCTGCAACACCACTGACAGGTCCCTGTCCTGCCACAGACATTTCTGCTGTAACTCCATGCTTGCATTTTTTGGGAAAAACAAAGCAAGACAAAACAAAACTCATTTTGCAAAATGACACACAAAATAAAGAGGCTTCTGGAAAAAGTAGGGCTAGGTGAAGAGAATTCAAAACTTACGAAACTATAAACTGAACACCAACAAGAATAACAATGAACCTAATAAAAAACTAGCATAGTTATGGCTCTAACAACATTTATTCTCAACAACTTAGTTAAATCGTTGTACCCTTAAACCTTAACACTTTTTTTTTTTGTTTTTCGAGACCTTGGTTCTTGAGGACATTTTCTTCTAGCAGAAATCAGTATTAACTTCTTTATCCATCTCTCTCTTTTTTTTAAACTGTTATGTACCATCATTATAGCACTTCTTACAAAAATGAGGAGCTGTCTTTGTAACTTCATCTGTGCCATCAGCTTTTCCAGATAGTTTAACATAAAAGGAAGATGAAGTGGTTCTGGAAGCAAGAAAACCAGCCACCACTTGCAGTAAGGAAGGCAGGTCTATGGGCCTATTAGCTCATGGAGGTTTTTGTTTGCTTGTTTGTTTGTTTTTGAGATGGAGTCTCACACAGTCGCCTGGTCTGGAGTGCAGTGGCTCCATCTGAGCTCACGGCAACCTCTCCCTCCCAGGTTCAAGCGATTCTCTAGCCTCAGCCTCCTGAGTAGCTGGGATTACAGGCACCTGCCACCACGCCCGGATAATTTTTTGTATTTTTAGTAGAGACAAGATTTCAGTATGTTGGCCAGGCTGGTCTGGAATGCCTGACCTCGTGATCCACCCGCCTCAGCCTTCCAAAGTGCTGAGATCACAGGCATGAGCCACCGTGCCCGGCCAGATCTTTTTAAATAAGATCTTCATGTGTTATAATACTAAGGTTGTCTCTTTAATCACAAAAAGCCAGTCCTTTATTGCTTCAAATTGTTCATGTGCTGATATCATATGTCTATTGAGGTCTGACTTACTACATTAACACACGCTGGCAGAACCACTGCAGACATTCTCTGTCCTCCTTTTTTTTTTTTGTCACTAACATGATAAAATTCTTAAGGGTTTGAATTCTCAGAGGTACTGTCTGATGGTTAAATCACAGAGGTCCACTGCATTGCTGATAGATTTTTTTTTCACCACAGTGCTGACAATACAATTGTTCAGGAATGGCCTTCATGACCATAAGGTTGGTTTGACCTAGGTTCTTAATTGTGATGTCTCTATAGCTTTTAACTTATTTCAGGATGATTTCCCCCATTGCAAATAGATAATTGTTCAATAGATTTGCTGCAGACTTTTGGACCTGATCTATAGTTTTCCCTTGGGATATGTAAGATATTTGAGGTACACCAAAGTAATGCAAGAAATATCTTTCTTTAGAGCTAGAGTTTAGACAGGAAGTATGTCATAGAACTATGGTGTGTCCTTCCCAAGTGAGGGATTTCATTAGACCTTGACTTAGAATTGAATGTAATGTTAATCTGTAAAGGCTTGTTGTGAGGGTTTTGCTTAAATTTTTAGGTTTATTAAATTTTTAGGTTTATTAAAATTCCTAAATGATGATATTTTTATCAGCAAAGACAAAAATACTGCTACTTAAGTAGTAGTCACTAGAAAAATAATTTATTTTGTTTTGTTACCTTAACTGTCAGATTTAAGCACATTCCTACCAATATTTGGGTTTGGGCTCTGAAACCCAAAACTTTTGAAAGCTTTGGAAAATTTTGTAGAAGTTCTTTCTTCTGTCTTTTTTTTTTTTTTTTTTTTTTGGATACTATTGCCACTGGGATGCAAGCATTCATAAATTATGTTTAAATATAAAAATTAGGTCGGTAACTCTCTGCTCGTGGATTCCTGAAACACAATGTACAAAAACCCAGAATAGATCTTCGTGGCTCACTTTAGAGCGTAACAGCACTGGGAGGTGATCTGACTTTTCATTTTACACGCAAGAAACTGAGGCTGGAGAGAAAGAAGGGTTGTCTGGGTCACAACTGTTGAGGTCAGCCTCTGGGATTGAACTTCATTTCCTGAATTCCTCATGGTTTTCCACCTCCATTCCTCAGCTTCTGTGATCCCTTTGGTATGGGGCTGTTTCTTGAACCTTGAATAGGAGGGTATGGAGGTGAAGTGACATGTGAGCTAATTCTTTTACCTCACTCTGGTTTATCTATTTTTATGTACTAAGGTCCTGTGTATTAATTAATGAGATGAGTTCCACAGTTGCTAATATTAGAAAATCAACACAATTGATTTCTCCTTGGGAACTGTATTAGTTTTCTATTGCTCCTGTAACAAATTACCACAAACTTTGAGGCTTAAAGCAACATGAGTTCATGAATTTATTATCTTAGAGTTTTAAATGTTAGAATTCTGTGAGGAGTGTCACTGGGCTAAAATTGAAGTGTTGGCAGGGCTGCAGGAGGCTCTAGGAGAGAAATCATTTTCTTGCCTTTTTCGGCTTCTAGAGGGGCTTCCCTTCCTCTTACTTCCAAGCCAACAACATGACATCTCTGAGTATTCCTCTTTAACTGCACCAAGGGAAGATAATCTCCTTTTAAAGATTCACACCGTTAGATTGGGTGAACCTGGATAATATAGTCAGCCCTTCCTATGCATGAGTTTTGTAGCTGCTGATAAGGAGGTCATCTGTAAGCAACTTGAACATCTATGGATTTTGGTATCTGCAGGGGATCCTGGAGCCAATCCCCCACAGTTAGTGAGGAATGACCATATAGCATAATTTCCCCATGTTAGTATCCTTAATCTCAAGGTCTCAATCATATCTGTGAAGTCCCTTTTGCTGTGTAAGGTAACATATTCACAGGTTCTGGGGATCAGGATTTAGGATCTTTGGGAGCCATTATTCTGCCTGCTACAGGAATGAATTTGTTTCCACTTGTCTCAACTCTAAGTGGGCAGTTATTTAAAAACTTTGTATTAATTTAGAGAGCTTCATAAAATGCTAAAATTTTCTGAGAACCTAAGTGATAATATAAGAAGAATAGCTACCAACATTTGTTGAGTGCTTGCAATGTGACACACACTGACTGCTATGTGCTTTAATTGCAATATCTTATCTAATCATTTTAGTAGCCCTATGAGATAGGTTCTATTTCATTTACATTTTAGAAAATGTAAAATGAGGCTTAGAGAATTTAAATAATTTGTCCAAGGTCAAACAACTAGCATATGGGAGACTAAGACTTGAAATTGGGTTTGTCTGACCCAGGCTTTTAATCAGCATATTGCACTGTTTATATGTAGCTCTGAAGTGGTAAAATTGTAACATAGTGTAATGCAGTACTGAGAATATAATATCTTAGTAATTTTTAATAAATAAGTGTTTTAGTAAGGAAAATAAGTTGTTATTAGGAATAAACACTTTCTAAATGACATAGTACCCATTGAGCAGTGTTCAACTGATTAATATTAGTTGGTTATATACTGATTTAGTGATCAGTTCTCAAAGCCTCAATTTAAATAGAAAAGGAGTTATGTGGAATTTAAGTGGAAAGGATATAGCTACTTTAACAATTTTTTGTGCTCTCAGATTGTAAAGAGGAAGGATTTATTTTACAAATAAATTGCTTGTGAAAGAAATTTAATTGGTTAATAAAGTCTCTATCTCTTGCCCCCTAACCAGAATGTCAACTCCAGGAGAACAAGGATCTTGGTTTTCATACTCAATTCTATATGTCCAGTACTTAAAACAGTGAGAGCAATGTAACTGATGCACAATGATATTTGTTGAATCAATGGGTACTGACAAATTCCTAAGGGAATAAAGCCAGTTATCTACATGAATAAGGCAGGATCTAGATACTAGCTGCATGCCAGAAGAAGAATATAGAGCGTTCTAATGTGTTTGGCTAGGAACAGACCATATCATGGGCTAATATGATAGAGTAATAAAGGTAGTGATAACCCTGATAAATTCAATATGTTTTTACATAAATCCTGTGCATTAAACTAGTAGCTCACTTGATATGGAGTGTTTGAATCACAGATTGACTTTGCTCATTCGTTCTTCCATTCAGTCAACATTATTGAGCACTGTGCTAGTTATTAGGATAAAAGATGCATTAAAAGAATAAAGCCCCTAACTTCCAGGAGCCTCTGTCTCCTAAGTGAAACAAACATGTGTAAAGATAAAATACCTTATATTAAATGGAATAATAATGGTTTTATAGAAACATGGAAGAGGGATACTTAACTTATTATTCAAAAGAGACACTTATTCGAAAGACATAAATTGAGTTTAGTCATCTTGAGTTTTAGAAGAAATAATTTTTGATTTATGGAGGGATTGCAAATATAGGACAGAGAGTTCTCCTATACCCTTTATTCAGCTCGTTTAATAATACATAGCTTTGCTATATTGATCAAAACTAAGAAATTAACATTGGTACAATACTATTAGCTAAACTGCAGACCTTACTTGGATTGAACCATCTTACAGCCTTTTGTGCTAAAGGGAAATTGTGTATGAAAGTGCTTTGTAAACAGTAGGCTAAATAGTGGTAGTCTAAGAAGTGCCATCTGGTGAGCCCAGGGTAGGTCACTGAGGGTGAAAGTTGCATTCTCTGAAGGGAGCTTTAAATAATCTAACCATGAACTCTATTTTATTTTATTTTATTTTATTTTGTTTTGTTTTATTTATTTTTGAGACAGGGTCTTGCTCTGTCACCCAGACTGGAGTGCAGTGGCATGGTTTCAGTTCACTGAAGCCTAAACCTCCTGGGCTCAAGTGCTCTGCCCATCTCAGCCTCCGGAGTAGCTGGGACCATAGGCACATGCCACCACACCTGGGTAATTTTTGTATTTTTTGTAAAGATGATGTTTTACCATGTTGCCCAGGCTGGTCTCAAACTCCTGGGCTCAAGTGATCTGCCTACCTCAGCCTCCCAAAGGGCTGGGATTACAGGCGTGAGACACGGCGCCCAGCCTGAGCTCTCTATATTTTAGTTTCCTTTAATAACATGATCAGTTCCACCCATGAATTTAATTAATTCCTTATGAGTTTGCTATTAAAATAAAATGAGCGGTTATTGATGCTTATTGTGTGTGTGACAGTATCCTATTCAAAGTATGGGATACAGTTCTTTGATTCTCTCACTCCATCCTGTGGAAGGTAAACTTACCTTGCAGATGAGGATGAAGTTCACCTAGGTAATAGATGGACTTGGCCAAGCCATGAGACTTTAGGTGGGAAAACTGGAATCAGAACCTGAGCCAACCTGACTTCAAAGCCCAAGTTTTCTCCTTTGTGTTGTCTCCTGAGTCATTTTCCTGTATAGCCCCGCTGAATAAGCATTTTCCAAATTATATTTTGTATTGTGCAAAACTTCACTTCCTTTTTTATTCAAAGACTATGTATTTCATGCTTCAAGGTTTTCTGAGAACTGCAGTATTCTGCAAATTCTCAAAAAATGCTTTTGCTCTTTCTAAGATTTCATGACTTTAAAGAACAGTTACTTTCTTCCTGGCCTTCCTGGTGTCAGTCTGTATGATTCTATAATGTTTAGTGTATTCCTTTATATTGGCTGCCCTTTCCTTTGAGCATTTCGGTAACTTTTCTTGATAGTTTCCAGCTACTTTTTTTTTCTTTTTGTCTCTCAAGAATGACCAAAAGTATATGTAGTTTTTCAGATATTTGTCATGTAATTTCGTGCCATCTAGATTTATATAACCTAACATTTTCTGGCTTTTTCTTAGATATTTATAGATGGTGGTGGTTAAATCAGAGTTAATAATATTAATTTTTAAAATATGCAAAATGCTTTTATTGCTCTTTTTAATTAGGTTTTTACAACTGTATTGAAATAGGTGTGGCAGGTGCTATTTCCCCTCCTTTTTCTGCTCAAGATGATTGAGATTCAGAGTAATTTTGTGACTGCTTCATCCTGCAGACCAAACAAGTACTTTACCTAAGTTTCCTGTCTCCATTCTTTTTGATAGGGTCTATCAAGCTTGTGGCAAAAGCTCAAGATGTTATGTGTAGAGTTCAGTAATTTAAATTCATGGACTTATAAACTATTAACAAAGAATCTAATTAACCTTCTTTCTAAGTAAAAACAAACAAAACAAAAGATACTTCTAGTAGAGTGCCAGTGTCTTTAGGGATTCATGGGGAATTAATTAAATTCATGGTTGGTACTGATCATGTTATTAAAGGAAATTAAAATCTAGAGAGCTCATGGTTAAATTGTTTAAAGCTCCCTTCAGATAATGCAAATTTCACCATCAATGCCCTACCCTGGGCTCACCCAGAAGGCATTTCTTAGACTACCACTATTTAGCCTACTGTTTACAAAGTACTTTCATACATGATCTCATTGTTCAGCACGAAAAAAGCTGTACACAAGTTGGTGCAATCCAAGTAAGGTCTCCAGTGTAGCTAATAGTAGGGTAAGGAAAACGATATGTTGACATGCTAAGTGAGCTTCATTTTGACTTCTTTCGTGTAACATGTTTGAGTCTTTGTGCTGAGAAAATTGTATTACATTCTGGGAGTCAGTGGGTTGTGTCAGAATGTGTGGGAAGCAGCTCACTTTCACTTTCAAAAGATTCTTTAAGGAATTTATGCTTTTTGTAAAATAGGGGAGACTATTTGGACTCTTTCTTATTGGGATTTCTTTTTGTGTGTTTTATGAGACCAAAGGGCACTGACTTCCATCATACGGTTTGACTTTGGAGGACAGTACGGGAAAGTGCAGCAGCCTTGTAGTTATAGTGGCCACAGAATGTAGTCACAGAATAATGTAGCACCAGGTTTCTTACTGTCAACAATCTGTTTAATTTGATTTTGGTTATTTTCCACCTCTTCAGCAAATTCATGTCACTGGGAACCCTAAGATAAGGAATTTGCCTTCCCTGATCTTCCTGTGGGGTAGAAGTAAAATGATAAGAATTCAATCGTTAGGTTGTCCATGGACCTGCTTAAGAGTGCAAGGAGGTTTTAAAGGTCCTTAGAAAGTCAAATGTGGACCCTGCTGAAGAAGGGATGCAGCGTTGCTTACTTAAAACTGTAGTGAACAGAGAAGAGAGAAATTTAACTTTGATATTGTAGGCCTCAACGAGTAAAGAAGGCTTTCAATCCTGGCAGGTACTAAGGTTTTAGTATCATTCTCTTTAATAAGTCATCTGTGGACAAAAATGAAAAAATCAGAAAGCCATAATTACTAAGAAAGGAGATCTGACTAAATAACAAAGAAACAGATTTTAGAAGTCCTGAAAGGACACATTTGTTTCAGAATTAGCTCTGCTAAAATTTTTCTTTTTCACAGAAGGAATAAGCTTTAAATGGCTATGTGAAAAATAGATTATAGGGAACTAATGTTCTTAGATCATGAATCAGGGACTTTGTTCATTTATATGCACTGCTTAAAAGTTTTCACATAGTTATCATTGTTTAAAACTAATTATAATCAATTGCTAACTCATCTTACCTGGGAATTTATTTAGTTTAGAACATGTAAGTAAATTTCTTTAAATAAAAAAGAGAATTTTAGTGGCATGAATTAAATGTAATTCAACTTGAGCAAAGAAGAAATGGTTATAAAGACAAATATTAACATATCAAAATCATGTTAATGTGCTAACTTTACCTAAGCAATAAACACATCAGAACAGAAAAAAACTTGACAATAAGAAAATAAGTAAATATATTTTTAATTTTTAGTAACTAGATGTTTCTCAGTTTTTCTGTTTAACATTTTGGAAGTGAATATGGCTGGTATGTATAATGCATAAGAAAAAAATCCTGTTTTATGACAATGGAAAAAATCATATTTATAAGCTTATGTCATGTGAACTTTGCTACACATCAATTAGGTAAAACTGTACTGGATCCATTTTAACCCTGTGAGTTGATTGCTTTCAGTGAAGCTTGCTGGACATCTTTATGTCCGAGAGTGAGATGTTCTTATAATTAGGGGCAGCTGTGGTGACAGAATCAATTAGGCAGGCCTGCTGAACACTTACCTTCCAGCTGCTGGCCGCGGCGCAGTGATTTGCTCCAGCATTCATTGTCACGGTGTATTGCCTTTACACCTCGAAAGAACAACATTAATCCATTAAGCCACTTTTGTTGCTGTATCCTCACGTGGGGGTTATCACATCGCAGTGAACACAGGAGTGAGATACAGCACTGTTCACCCTTGTGGCATTTGGCATATGACAGATAGACAGCTGCATAGTTCAAAAGAATTATTTTAACACCAATCGCAAGTATTGCCTTGTTTTATTTCCCCATCAATTATCCAAGTAGCTCAGAAAATTCAGCAATTTTGCATATCTACTGTATTTCTCAGACTGTCTTTTGCACGTGGAATAAGTGCAGAAATAATGTCATGTGGTGTATCCCAGGTTTTGTGAGGAAAATATGGACCCTATTGATAGATCATTAAATAAAATCTTTAGCACATTGTCTGGTAGTTAAGAGCCAGGGCTCTGGAGTCAAACTTCCTGGGTTCAGATACTGACTTGATAGTATACCAGCCGTGTGACTATAGACAGGTTACTTTACCTCTCTGTTTCTGTTTCTTCATCTGTAAGTTGGTGATAATGGCAGTAATACATATCTCCTGGAGTTATCATAAAACTTAAAAACGTTAATGAGCATAAAGCTCTTAGAACAATGCCTGGCACATAGTAGGTACTCAAGTATCAGCTATTATTATTCAAAGGTGTTTATTGTTGAAAGTACTATATATATATATATATATATATATAATGTGTATATGTATACATTACATTCTACTATATATACTATATATAAATATACTGTAAATAAAAAGGACTTTATTTAACTTCATCTCATAGGCTTTGGAAATACATTATAGTTGTTTTAAGATTTTTATCTTTAGTCCCTAACTGTGAAGTACAGGGCAAGGAACTGTATAGAAAAGAGAGATTGCTAATTTCAATAAATAACTAATTTCAATTATCAGGGTGAAAAATTATCTCACCTAATAAACCTGCATTCATTTTCCCTTGTAGAATTTTACAGTATTGTAAATTTCTCACAGACAAATGTGGAGAGGTGATTTGGTTTACATAGCTCATTATAAGAACAAAAAATTTACTGTAGTGGCTATGAAATGGAGTGATCTTTCCCAGATTTTTAATCTACTGTCCTTCTCTCCATTTTCTGCCTCCACTTCAAACTTTGTAGAAAAACTAGGTATGGTAAAAAGTCCTAGGTTTAAGTTTTGGTTCTGCAACTTGTTAGACTTACGACATTAAGTTCCCCTATCAGTTTCCATCTCCTCACCTGTAAATGGAAACAATCATTAGGTACCTTACATGAAATACACACCAGAACTGTTGCAGATGAAAGGAGATTTGACCAAATAGTAATTTTGCGGATATGTAGTGACAACAAGGCACATTAACAGTTAAGGGAGCAAACCAGCATCTTGTAGACCATGGTCAATCAATGGAGAAGAGCAACTTTGACTTGAGGGCATAGGAGGTATGGTGGCTGACACTTATAATCCCAGCACTTTGGGAGGCTAGAGCAAGAGGATTCCTTGAAGAGGATTGCTTGAAGTGTTTGAGACCAGCCTGGGCAACATGAATCTCTGTATACAACAAAACAAAAAGCCCAGCGTGGTGGTGTGTGCCTGTGCCTGTGGTCCCAGCTATGTGAGAGGCTAAGGCAGGAGGATCACTTGAGCTTAAGATTCTGAGGCTGCAGTAAGCTGTGATCACATAACACCACTGCATTCTAGCCTGGGTGACAGAGTGAGACTCTGCCGCCAAAAAAAAAAAATTAAAGCAGAGAAGGTAATGTGCTTTTCTTGCAATAATACAAGAACCGTCTGACCACTCTGGGTAGACTCTGAAATTAGGTGAAATAAATGAGCTAGCAAGGAACATGACCAGGGTCTCGGCTGAGGCAGGGTCCAGTTTGAGAGTCCT